>NC_000003.12:142796483-143099513 GCF_000001405.40 Homo sapiens
TTTTCCTTACCTGGTCCCAGGGTAGGGCCCTCTCTCAGGTCCCACATGCTTCCTGTCTTTATTCTTGTAGCTTAGTACAAAAGATGTGATTATTATCAGTTCCTCCTGCTCCAAGACTCTGCTGCGTGGGTCCCTGATTCTTACCCATCTGTAGCACATACTATTGGAAAAATGGCTCCCATAGACTTACTCAAAAAAGGTTGCCACAAACAACACAGTATCTGTGGAGCACCACAAAGTTAAGTGTAATAAAACGAGGTATGCTTGTATTTTGAGGGCAGTTACTGGTACTAAGTAGTGAGAGGGTTCTAACTGAATCTGGCATTTAAAGTGTAGAGTGGAGTGGATTGAGGAGGATAGAAGAGAAAGAGGCAAGGCCTTCAGAGAAAGCAACCTTTCAAGGAGTTTTACTCCTGCTGTCCAAGGGACTGTCAAATCCAAAATCTATCCAAAGAGAAACCTAAGGTTTATTATGATTGTCATATTTGATAGGACCCAGACATAAAGTCGAGTGGACCTGTTTGCCCTTCCTCTTTTTTTCTTCCCCTTCGCACTGTAAAACATCACCACCTTTTCTTCAGTGCTATGATAAGAAGTCCTTACAAAAGCAACAAGTCTCCCACTTCAGCTTCTGTTTTTGACCTCATGCTTTCAGGCCTCACATCTAGAGAAACTAAGTGGAAAAAAGGTTGTTTTTTTTTTTTTTGGAGGGGAATAAATTATTTGGCAATTTTCTCAAATATTAATCCCTTTTCTTCCCTAAAGTTCCTCCCCTTCCTACTTCATTTAGGATAGGAGGTGCGTTTCTTTCCCAGAGGTTGAAATGTTTCCTAGGGAAATCTGCCGTATCATGTGATTCTAAAACAGTTTAAAGGCACCACATACACTGATTAGGTTTCTCTGAGGAGGAGCCCCAAAGCAGAAATCTCTGGCAAGGATTAGTTCTGGAGGGGTGGTGATGAGCAAATCAGACCAAAGGAGGGGAGCTCTTGAGGGTCTATGCATGCATTCCTAGGCCTCAACATTTATGGTACTTGAAAGAGCTTGTATCTAACTGTCTTGCTTTTCTGTTTGGTCTAATTATTAGAATTACTAATATTACAAATGAATGAACATCCCCTTGGGTTCTGACAGGTTGGTTCAAAATCTTGCTCCATCACTTACTGTTTAGTGTCTGTGAGCCTCAGTTTCTTTATCCGTTATTGTGAGGATTAAATGGGTCAGTGTATGTAAGATGCATACCACAGTACTTGACACATGGTGGGCTTTACGTAAATGTTTAGGTCCATTTTTTCCATTCCTTTTATAGTTAGTTAACTATGGCAGACCTGAAAAATAATATAAGAAAACTTGGAAAGCTTAGTACTTGAAACATGAGTGTGTATTTTATTTCTAGTGAATTATTTGGTTTTACTGGATAATTATCAGATTTAATTTAGTAGCCTGTATAATATAAGTGGCATGTTGGTGCTGCTTCTAACGAGTAAAGAGCTGTTTCAGGTGTTTTGCATTTTGGTGTATATTAGAGTTAGAGAAACCGAGGAGTCATGTAGTCCAGAGGTTCAAACTGGTGGGGCTGCAGAATCACCTGGGGAGCATGTTCAACCTAGATTCTCAAGTCCTACCCTCAGAGATACTGATTAAATTGATTGGGTTAAAGCTGGAAAATGACATGCAGATGAGTCTGATGCAGCATTTGACTATATCCCTTGTATAGATCAGGAAACTAAGGCCCAGCTCACACAGTGTTAGAACCAGGACTTGGTGTTAATTAACTAAGTTAATTAAGAAACTAAGAAAGTGGTAAAGAATTATTCAACATTTTAATTAATGCACTGGGCTCTGGAGCTTACTAAGACATGGTGCCTGCTCTTAAAGACTGCTAGAGGAGACAAACATAACATAAATACTAGTATGAAGTCAAAAATACTGTTTTAGCAATAACAAACAAAGTTACTTTGGAAGCATGACTGAGGAAGTAGCCGGAGAGAGTCAGGAAGGCTCCTTAGAGGAGGTGGCATTTGATCTGAGCCTTGAAAGGATGAGAAGCCTGCCTGGCAAAGGACAAAGGGAAAGTAACACGCAGAAGCGTGGAGTCCTAAAGCATGGTGTGCTTAGAGAAGACAGCATATCCTTTATAGTTGGACCGTGGATTGGAGTTGGGGAGATGAGGCTAAAAAAGACAGGCTGGGCTGGACACTGAAGGTCTCTGTGCCAGGAATTTTAATATCACATGTGCAAAGGAGGTTTTTGAGCCTGGGTGACTTGTTTAGATAGAACTTTTGGACAGATAATTATGGCTTTATTCTGGAGGGAGATTTGGAAAGACAGTGACTAGAAGTTGTGATTATTATTGCTTTCTTTTGTTAGCAACTTGTGTAATTTAATGAGCCTAATGATAGCAACCTTTCCCTTATCAGAGATTTAGGTTGTTTTTGTTGTTCTGCATAGTACTCTGTGTATGAGGCTTTTTGCCTCTGTTATTTCTAAGGGTAAGTCTCCAAAAATAGTATTAACAGATCAAAAGATATGATCCACCTAACACCTCAGTATTTTTATTTTTTTACAATAAAGTGTGTTAATTTTCTGCAATACAAGCAGTATAAAAATAGTTTCACTACATTAATAGCATTTGGTGCTGTTTTAAAGTTATGCTAATTTAGTAGTTTGCTTTAATTTCCCTTTTTCTGATTAGCAAGAAGGATTTTTTCCTCTGTGTGTACTAGTATTAACTCTATGTAAATTTTAGTATTAATATTTTAATTACCTTTCTCTTTTCATTTCACAAGTTTTCATATTTCTCAAGTTAAACCGCCAAGTACTTTTTAAAAAGTAAATGTTTGAGAAAGCATTATTACTTTTACAAATACATAAACCTTATAATCTCTCAGTCTAAAATAAATTTACTGTTTTTAATATTTGCCTTTCACATGAATATTTCATTAGTGTCTTCAAGCCAGTGTTTTCCTCAGTGGTATCCACTGTTCTACTTTTACTTCTTCTTGTATTAAGAACCAATACCATGCTATTAAACAAGTCAGGCCGGGCATGGTGGAACACACTTCTAATTGCAGCACTTTGGGAGGCTAAGGCGGGAGGATAGCTTGAGGCCAGGAGTTCAAGACCAGCCTGGGCAACATAGCAAGACCTTGTCTACAAAAAAATAAATAAAAATTAGCCAGGCATGGTGGGATGTGCCTAGTTTCTCATGAGGCTTGAGTGGGGAGGACTGCTGAAGCCTAGGAGGTTAAGGCTACAGTGAGTCATGATTGTACCACCATACTCCAGCCTGGGAAACAGAGTGAAACTCTGTCTCTTAAAAATTTCTTTTTAAATTTAAAATTTAAGCAAGTCATGAAGTTTGTGGTGTTCTCATTCAGAATTGCTTACCTTGATATTGAACTCGATTACATTTATTTAAAACTTAGGTTAAATTAAAGCTACTTTGACTACATGTTTTAAAATTAAAATGATATCATACATGGTCACTATTGGAAAACCTGATTTACCTGTAAGCTTACAGTGTCCAGACTTTCCTCAAGGTGATCTTTTCTGTAGTTATCAAAAGCAGTTACTGTATTCTTACTGTCATAAGGGATTGAGTTCTGTACTGAGATGGTATAGCTTTATTCTAAGCAATCACAATCTGAATGGATGCTTTTCTTTCTCAAGGTGATCCAATAAAGCTGTCATTGATTAAGAGGAAAATGCATTTCTTCTCCTTCTTACATATTTTGAGTTTTCTGATTCTAAGTGTCCCCTGCTTCTTGTGTCAGAATTTTGTAAGGGGGCCAAGTGAGGGCAGCATAGGCCTTGAAAAGTACCACATGGTCTAGTCAAAAGCACAAGTCAGGCATATTGGACCTCTCCACTATGGCAGAGTCTGGGTTACTAGCTTGTGGCGTGCCTAAGAATTTAAACTCACCTATTCTGCTTAAGTAGCTGGTCCACTTTAGTGGGCTGGAAGCATCTGGCCAGTTGCCTGTGGCTACCATTTTGTATCACTGAAAGCGGGATGTGCTATGCTGGCCGACTTGGGCCAATTAGGAATTTTATTTAAAGCTTGATGTAATTAATTATATAAATTTGACCTGTTAAATTTGAGGAAGGGTTGTTTCAAAACACTCAATTTTGTACATTAAAAATAATGAGGCCAGGCACGGTGGCTCACACCTGTAATCCCAACACTTTGGGAAGCTGAGGTGGGCAGATCACTTGAGGCCAGGAATCTGAGACCATTTTGGACAACATAGTGAAACCCGATCTCTACTAAAAATACAAAAAATTAGCTGGGCATGGTGGTGGGCATCTGTAATCCCAGCTACTTGGGAGGCTAAGGCAGGAGAATCACTTGAACTTGGGAGGCGGAGGTTTGTAGTAAGCTGAGATCACACCACTGCATTCCAGCCTGGGAGATAGAGACTGTCTTAAAAAGAAAGAAAAAAAAAAAAAAGTCTCCCTACTATACCCTTAGATATATGCCCTTCCATAGATAAACATGGTTAACAATTTCTTATGTAAACTTCCAGAAACTTCCTATGCATATTAAAGCATATCTATATTAAAATATGTATCTTGTCTATCCTTTAACAAAATAGAAATGGGGGCCGTTCTACATATACATACTGTTTTATACCCTGCTTTTTGGATTTACTGTCTTACAGCCATCTTTGTATGCTAGCACATGTAGATGTTCTTCATTCTTTTTAAAAACAATGTTGAGTAATGTTACAGCTCTTTTAGAATTTGTCTAGCAGGCTTTCCGGTTCTTGCGGGAAAGTCCCCCCCAAAAAATATTAAAAAATAAAAAATAAAAACAATATTGAGGATTTTCTAAAATTTTTTTGCTACCTCTAACAATGTTGCAATGTAAATCCTTGTATATACATGCATCTTTGTGTACTTCCTATCTATTGGTTAAATTTCTAGGGATAGAATTGCTGGGTCAAAAAAGTACTATCACATTATTCCCCAAATTTGCATGCCAATTTAAAAACCAAGAATTTATGAAAAGTACCTAATCTCTAAATTTTGAAGAATGAAATTAGGATTAAAGCTTCCATATGCACTATACATGTCTAAACTACAAAAGATACTCACTACTAATACTGGACACCCTCATTTGGCTTGCACACATAATATTTTCTTAAAATGGACCCAAAGGGAAAGAAAATCTATCACTTCAGCAAAAGAAATTAGGGCAGTCCCATAGGAGGAAATGCTGATTTTAGGAATTGGTTTAGAATTGGTTTCAAAAATCAGGTGAAATACTTTGCCTCATAATGATTTTATGTTTGTAAAATTTAAGAAGCCATGTAAATATAAGCATTTATTTCTCTTTAAGTTTGAGCAGGGTATTTTCCTTTTATCCCTTGCAAATTAGGCCTTTTCTTAAATCTCCATATCTCTGCCTCTATCTCCATAACAACAATGTCCTCTGAAACCCTGATCCAGGTTCTAGGAACGTGCCATCTAACACTGATAGTGTTGGTATGATTAGAATGACTTTTTGTTAGGCAGCTGGATTTTCGATGTTTTTAAAATGATCTGTCTCAACCAGATGCAATAGAAGGGGTGGCCTGTGGATTATGTGTTTGTCTTCTTCCTTTTGTTGCTGGGTCATTTATATTTAATATTTTGTTTTTCTGATAATCTTAATGAACACCTGTGTAATATATTCCACAGATTTCAATGGGACAGATGTTACAAGATTTTGGAAAATTTCTTGGGATGTTTCTTCTTGTTTTGTTTTCTTTCACAATTGGACTGACACAACTGTATGATAAAGGATATACTTCAAAGGAGCAGAAGGACTGTGTAGGCATCTTCTGTGAACAGCAAAGCAATGATACCTTCCATTCGTGAGTATCTTTTAAATGTTTTAGTAAATATATTTGTCTTTTTTTTTTTTACCATCTTCTATATGAATTAGTATCTATAGAAATGGAACTTCACATTTTAAGAAATTCCTTAGTAATGTTCATAAACTTTAATAAATACTTATTTTTCATGAATCACTATAGTCATCTTTACATACAGCATCTTAAATAGTGGGTCCAAGTTATTACCTTGTCTTCCCTACTGCAGTCTATCTTAACAGAGGAATTCTTGGCATTTTGTGTGTTCTTAGCATTTTGAGCAATTCTTTGTCATTCCTATGTATTGCAAGATGTTCAGCATCTCTGTCCTTCAGGTATTAAATGTCAGTAGCAACTCTCAGTCATTGTTACA
This sequence comes from Homo sapiens, assembly GCF_000001405.40. Classification (NCBI taxonomy): domain Eukaryota; kingdom Metazoa; phylum Chordata; class Mammalia; order Primates; family Hominidae; genus Homo; species Homo sapiens. The sequence goes on from NC_000003.12 coordinate 142,802,715, forward strand.
GCCAAAAACGCTCACAGCTTCAACACTTTTTAAGAGGTCATTAGAATTGAGAATCATTAGAACTTCATGAACATTTTTTTCTCTAATGTATCATAAGGATTTGAATAACCTGTTTTGAGGTAAACAAAATTCCTCCCGTCATTTTTAAATAAAACAATGGAGAAGAGTTGTGGAAGGACACATTTGTCATGTTCTTATTATGTGTCAACTATTCTTTAGTTATTTTGTGTGTCATCTTATGTAAAGAATAAGATTAATGAGTATGTGTCAGTGTACCACTTACTATATACCAGCCAATGTTCTAAGTGCTGAGCAAATGAAGTATTAGTAAACAAAACTACCCTGATGAAGCTTACATTCTAGGGAGGTGATACAGGCAATAAAAAGAGGAGTAAAATATTCAGTATGTTACACAGTGGTCAGGGCTACAAAGACAAATAAAGCATGAGCAAAAGAGTGTCTGTGTGTCAGAGTTCAGTTTTAACTAAGGAGCTAGGGAGTGCCCCAGAAGAGATGACATTCATGTGAGGATCTAAAGCTGGTAAAGGAGCAAGCCACGAAGAACATTTCTGGGGGAAGAGCATTTACAGAGAGAGAGAACGGCAAAGGCAAGTGTCCAGAGGTAGGAGCATGACTGGTATGTTCAAGAAAAAGCCAGGCAGCCAGTGTGGATGGAATGTGTTGAATCAGAGGGGGAGTTGTAGGAAATGAAGTCAGAAAGGTAATGGGGATCATGTAGGACTTTTTTGCCCTTGTAAGGATTTTGAGTTATTGAGATTGAGAGTTATTTGAAGGTTTTGAGCAGAGGTGTGACAAAATCCAATTAGATATTAGCAAATCATATAGGCTGCCTTGTTGAGAACAGACAGAAATGAAGTCAGAAGGGTAATGGGGATCATGTAGGACTTTTTTGCCCTTGTAAGGATTTTGAGTTGTTGAGATTGAGAGTCATTTGAAGGTTTTGAGCAGAGGTGTGACAAAATCTAATTAGATGTTAACAAATCATATAGGCTGCCTTGTTGAGAACAGAAAGAAAGGCAGCAAGGGGTTAAACAGTTACAAATAATTTATCTTCCTTAGGGTCTCTTTGTTTAAATTTAAAGTAAGGCATATCAGTACTGTGGAAGTCAACATCATTTTTAAATAAGGAACTTTTCATGGATTATCAATGTTTTATTTAAATAATTTTGATATAAACAAATGATTCATTTTTGCTAATTTCTTTAATTGCCTTTTAAACAGAAATGCAATTGTCTTTACAGGTTCATTGGCACCTGCTTTGCTTTGTTCTGGTATATTTTCTCCTTAGCGCATGTGGCAATCTTTGTCACAAGATTTAGCTATGGAGAAGAACTGCAGTCCTTTGTGGGAGCTGTCATTGTTGGTACATACAATGTCGTGGTTGTGATTGTGCTTACCAAACTGCTGGTGGCAATGCTTCATAAAAGCTTTCAGTTGATAGCAGTAAGTTCATTCTTTTAAAAACTTTATATTCTCCTCAGACCATACTAAGTGCATACAATAGATAAGATAGCCAAAGATTATAAGATTATAAGAATTGAAAAATAGTATTTTTAAATTAAATATAGATTTTTAAAATGTAAGTAATGTATAATAATTGCAAATGTTGAACAAAATTTTTCTGCAAGGTGTGGAAACATCCCCCATATTTGTGTGTGTATTAATATTCTAGTTTGCTTTTTAATTTGCCTTTTATATAGAATCATGAAGACAAAGAATGGAAGTTTGCTCGAGCAAAATTATGGCTTAGCTACTTTGATGACAAATGTACGTTACCTCCACCTTTCAACATCATTCCCTCACCAAAGACTATCTGCTATATGATTAGTAGCCTCAGTAAGTGGATTTGCTCTCATACATCAAAAGGCAAGGTCAAACGGCAAAACAGTTTAAAGGTAAGAAATTAGAAGCTTGAATGGCAACATAAAAGTTTTAACAATTCCTAATCTCAGATATTTCTTAAAGCGTAAGTATGCAGGTTCCCTAAGGGCTGTGACTGTCTGACTTTTTTTCACTGCTATATACCCTAATGTACGGCATCGCATCCAACATAAAGTAAGGATTCAATAAATACTATTGAGAGTGAGAGGGCTGGGTGCGGTGGCTCACGCTTGTAATCCCAGCACTTTGGGAGGCTGAGGCAAGCACATCATCACTTGAGGTCAGGAGTTTGAGACCAGCCTGGTGAAACCCCATCTCTACTAAAAACACAAAAACTAGCTGAGTGTGGTGGCACATGCCTGTAGTCCCAGCTACTCAGGAGGCTGAGGCAGGAGAATTGCTTGAACCCAGGAGGTGGAGGTTGCAGTGAGCCAGGATCATGCTACTGCACTCCAGCTTGGGTGACAGAGCGAGACTCCACCTCAGAACAAACAAACAAACAAATATATATATACACACACACACACACACACACACACACACACACACACACATATAATTATTAAGAATGGGAGATAGTACTGAGATTTTTTTTTTTACTTTTCAGATTCCTCCAATATATAAAATTTCATCTCATAGTTTTAAAACATGGGAAATATTCAAAATACCCATTCTGTCACTGTAGCTAAAGAATGACTACTAGAATCAGCTCATATTTTTCTGGTTCTTCTTGAAAGTTATTCAATACATCAATAATTCAATATATGTTACTATAAACCAGGGGTTGGGACATTTTTTCTGTAAAGGTCCAGATAGTAAATACTTTACACTTTTCAGGCTGAGACAAAATCAGAGATATTGTAAGCAGTGATACAGTAAGAGAGAAAACAAATTTTCACAAAACTTTTATTGATAAAAGTCAAAATATAACAATAACAGTAATAACTTTTTAAATATAGGTCTACTAGTGAAAAGAATGGAGTTCCTTTTGGGAGGGGATAAAATTTCACTTAACTAGAGTTTAAAATTAGTGTTATTATCAATTGATGATAAATGTTCATCTGTAAAATCTATTCTTAGCTCACAGGCTGTAAAGTCAGGATATGGACCATATTTGGCTTGTGGGTTGTAGTTTGCCAATCCCTGCTATAAACTAAGGATTCCTAAGACTAATTTTTTTCAATCAAGATAAGCATAAAATTAAATTCATTAAACAAATATGCAGGCTATATTTGTTTTAAACAAGTGTTGAATATTATACCATGTAGTAGAAAAACTATAGTCTAATAAAGCATTTAAAGATGTGTTTGTGTCTGTGAATATATTTTTGAACTCTACCTCATTTAAATATCGTTTCTGCATATCCTTAGTATCATATTGTTGTTTTGAAGGAATGGAGGAATTTGAAACAGAAGAGAGATGAAAACTATCAAAAAGTGATGTGCTGCCTAGTGCATCGTTACTTGACTTCCATGAGACAGAAGATGCAAAGTACAGATCAGGCAACTGTGGAAAATCTAAACGAACTGCGCCAAGATCTGTCAAAATTCCGAAATGAAATAAGGGATTTACTTGGCTTTCGGACTTCTAAATATGCTATGTTTTATCCAAGAAATTAACCATTTTCTAAATCATGGAGCGAATAATTTTCAATAACAGATCCAAAAGACTATATTGCATAACTTGCAATGAAATTAATGAGATATATATTGAAATAAAGAATTATGTAAAAGCCATTCTTTAAAATATTTATAGCATAAATATATGTTATGTAAAGTGTGTATATAGAATTAGTTTTTTAAACCTTCTGTTAGTGGCTTTTTGCAGAAGCAAAACAGATTAAGTAGATAGATTTTGTTAGCATGCTGCTTGGTTTTCTTACTTAGTGCTTTAAAATGTTTTTTTTTATGTTTAAGAGGGGCAGTTATAAATGGACACATTGCCCAGAATGTTTTGTAAAATGAAGACCAGCAAATGTAGGCTGATCTCCTTCACAGGATACACTTGAAATATAGAAGTTATGTTTTAAATATCTCTGTTTTAGGAGTTCACATATAGTTCAGCATTTATTGTTTAGGAGTATAATTTTATTTTATCTAAAATAATAGTCTATTTTTTCTTTTGTATTTTGTTATAATCTTAAGCAACAAAGAAAAAACCCTAATATTTGAATCTATTTATGTCTTTCAATTTAAATTCACTTCAGTTTTTGTTATTGTAATATATTTACTTTTACATGGTTATAATCACTTTATATTTTTAATGTTTTTTTCACTTAATATTTTATATATACATTTCCATGTATTGATGTAGTTAGTCCACATTTAAATTTTTATAGAATTATATAGTTTTTGAAAAATACAGTCAGTAGATGTTTTATTTTTTAGCTATTCAGTTATGTTTATAAGTTTGCATAGCTACTTCTCGACATTTGGTTTGTTTTAATTTTTTTGTATCATAATAGTCCTATTTTTTTTTCAAGTTGGAGTGAATGTTTTTAGTTTTAAGATAGATAGGAGACACTTTTTTATCACATGTAGTCACAACCTGTTTTGTTTTTGTAAAACATAGGAAGTCTCTTTAATGCAATGATTTGTTTTATATTTGGACTAAGGTTCTTGAGCTTATCTCCCAAGGTACTTTCCATAATTTAACACAGCTTCTATAAAAGTGACTTCATGCTTACTTGTGGATCATTCTTGCTGCTTAAGATGAAAAGCATTGGTTTTTTAAAATTAGAGAATAAAATATGTATTTAAATTTTTGGTGTGTTCACATAAAGGGATGTAGCTAAAATGTTTTCATAGGCTATTATATATTCTCGCAGCATTTCCAGTTAAGAGGATATTAGGTATATAATTCTCTTCTTAACCGAATGTCAGATGGTCTTACGCCACAGGGTGCAGGTAACCCTTGGTCTGTAAGCACCACCGATCCAGGGATCATTGTCTAAATAGGTTACTATTGTTTGTTTCATCTTGCTTTTGCATTTTTATTTTTTAATTTCCAAATTTTAAGTGTTCCCTCTTTGGGGCAAATTCTTATAAAAATGTTTATTGTAAAGTTATATATTTTGTCTACGATGGGATTATGCACTTCCCAATTGGGATTTTACATCTGGATTTTTAGTCATTCTAAAAAACACCTAATTATTAAAACATTTATAGAGTGCCTACTGTATGCATGAGTTGAGTTGCTTCTGAGGTACATTTTGAATGACAGCATATTGTAAGAAAAAAAAAGGTGAATAAAATTTGACATTAGATTATAAATGGAGTCTGTTCATTGTATTACCAATTTTAAAAAGTTGAGATATACAGTAGTCCCCCTTTATCTATCTGCAGTTTCACTTTCCATGGTTTCAGTTACCCACAGTCAATCATAATCTAAAAATATTGAATGAAAAATTCCAGAAATAATTCTTGAAGTTTTTTTTATTTTTTAGAGACAGAGTGTCTCTTTGCCCAGGCTCACTCTGCAGTGGCATGATCATAGCTCACTGCAGCCTCGAACTCCTGGTCTCAAGCAATCCTCCTGCCTCAGCCTCCCAAATTGCTGGGATTACAAGTGTTAGCCTCCATGCTCAGACAGTTCTTAAGTTCTAAGTTGTTCACTGTTGTTCTGAGTCACATGATGAAATCTCATGCCATCCTGCCTGGGCGTGAATCATCCCTTTGTTCAGCATATTCACAGTATACACTATCCACCACTGAATCACTTAGCATCATTCTCTGTTATCAGATCGACGGTCATGGCATCCCACTGCTTGTGTAACCCTTGCTTTATGTGTAACCCTAATTTTACTTTATAATGGCCCCAAAGTGCAAGAGTTGTGATGCAGGCAATTCAAATACGCCAAAGAGAAGCTGTAGCCTGCTTCCTTTAAGTGCAAAGGTGAAAGCTCTTGACTTAAGGAACTTCAGGAAAGAGAAAAAATGTATCTGTGGTAACATCTACAGTAAGAACGAATCTTTTGTCTGGGAAATTGTGAAAAAGAAAAAAAAAAATCTGTGCTAATTTTGCTGTTACACCTGAAACTGCAAAAGTTACAGCCACAGTGTGGGAAGTGCTTAGTTAAGATGTAAAAGGCGTTAAATTTGTGGGTGGACAGTATGAACAGAAACGTGTTCCAGTTGACGGCAATTGGGCTCAGTAGTATCTGTGGTTTCAGGCATCCACTGGGGTGTTGGAACATATCCCCTGTGGATAAGGGGGGACTACTCTACCATGTTTTGAAATAATCTGTCAAAGACCTGTATGTGAACATTTATAGAAGCTATATTCATGGTGTCAAACTGAGAACAACCAAATGTCCATTAACTAGTGACTGGATCAGCAAATTGTAAATCCATACAATGACAATTTATTCAGCAGTAAAAAGGAATTGTATCAGTCACAATCAGAGAAACAGAGCTACTAGGATATTTGCAGGCACACATGTATGTGTGTGTATAGTGATTTGTTTACAGGGATCTGACATTACACAACTGTTGGAGTTGGTAAGCAGTCTCTGTAAGTCCCTGTTTTTTTATCTAATGCTGGAGCAGAGCTGGAAGTCCACAGGGTAGGCAGGTGGGAAGAAAAGATGGATGTCAAGTGGGAGAGATCAGGGACAAGCTAGAACCCATGAAGACAGACCGAGTCCCATGTGACTCCTCACATCTCCAACCTTATGATGTGGTACCCTGTTGGAGAAGTGTTGCCCTTTGCCACTTGCTTTTGCAAGTATGTTACTAAACACTCACTTGGCCCAGGAATCAAGAGAAGCTGAAGCAGGATCCAAGGAAAGGTGGGTCAACTGTAGGCCTGGCTGCTGCCCCACATTAGCAAAGTGAACCAGCAGATAAGTTACAGCACGTGTGAGCTGCAGAAGTGCCCGCATCAAGAACAAAACGGCTGCTGCTTCACTTCTGCTCTCCAGTCTTGCACTAAAATGTCTCTTGTAACTGGAAGCATACAAGAAAGGGAATTTTGGGAAACATAATTAGGCCTAGCCAAGTTGATACATTATAAAGCCACCACAGGAACAAACTGCTGATATATGCAATAGCATGGATGGATTTTAAAAGTAAGTGAAAGAAGCCAGTCACAAAAAGCTACAATACTGTATGGTTCCATTTAGATGACATTCTAGAAAAGACAAAACTATAGGAACTGAAATCAGATCATTGAGTACCAGGGTCTAGTGGTCTAGGAGACAACTGACTGCACAGCTCATCAAACTGTATGCTTAAAAAGAGTGAATTTTAATGTATAGAAATTATGCCTTAATAACCCAGACAAAAAATCTAAAATACAATGCTACAACATACTAAAATAAATAAGAAAATAACAGTGGAATCTTAAAATTCATTACCACTGCCAAAGAAAGCAGTGCTTGCATCTGCAAGTTGGTAGCCCATCACTCACACAGCACAGTGGGGTACAGTAATAAATGCCAAGGTGAATAACTTCGTATTACTTTTTCAAAATTATTTTTGCTATCCAGGTTCTATGATTTTTCATTTAAATTTTGGAATCTATCAATTTCTTAAAAAATAAACGGGATTTTTATTGGAATTGCATTGAAACTAGAGACCACTTTGGGAAGAACTGACGTCTTTACAGTATTGTCTAAACTATCAACATGATGTAGCTTCTCATTTATTTAAGTCTTCCTTAATTTCCCTTAGCAATGTTTTATAGTTTTTAGCATTGAAATCTAATAGCATTATATATTAATAACTAAAAAAATAGAATGAGATTCTACTCACATGCAATCCCAATGAAGACCAGTTTGCTTATCATTTAGTTATGTGTTCAGATTTCAAAGCTTAACATCTTTCCTTAAAGTAACTACAGGTTGTTGTTATTAATTGTTTGAAGGATACAAACCAACTGCTAATCATTGACAGTCTTTCTTAAAAAATGATAAAAGTGGAAGTGCTCTTAATCTTATTAATAAATACTTATTATCTCTTTTCTACCTGATAAAGAAAACTTTCTTTGATTCCTTAGACTTCAAAATTTTTGTTTTCCTCAGAAAATACGTGTATAAAATACCAAATAAATTGAGGGTATAGATCCTGGGAGTAAACCAACTGGGTCTAGTTATTCAGATTACACTAAGAAACTAATAATAGTATCAGGGATAATCACTGCTCTGAATTCCTCATTTATAAGTTAATGTATTAGTTTTCTGGCATCACGGCCCCATTCATAAACAAGCTGTGTTTCTGGAGGATATACTTAGAAGAATTTCCCATTACAGTGCTTCTCTTCATTTGATAATTTCACATTGTTTTTTCCTATTCTGCTCTCCCTGCCCCCAGACTGAAATAAATACTTCAGATATGCAACACATAAATTAGGAAAATTTTTATATACTAGTTGATGCTTTAAAAATAACCATCTTCTGTAATCCCAGCACTTTGGGAGGCTGAGGCGGGTGGATCACAAGGTCAGGAGATCGAGACCATCCTGGCTAACACAGTGAAACGCCATCTCTACTAAAAATACAAAAAAATTAGCCAGGCATGGTGGGGGGGGCCTGTAGTACCAGCTACTCGGGAGGCTGGGGCAGGAGAATGGCATGAACCTGGAAGGCGGAGCTTACAGTGAGTCGCGATCACGCCACTACACTCCAGCCTGGGCGATGAAGCGAGACTCTGTCTCAAAAAAACAAAAAAACAAACAAAAAAAACCATCTTTAAGAGACATGATTTCTGATATAAATTAAATTATAGTAATAAAAGAGGCAAAACAGCAGGTTTGTGTAGGAGGTAAATGTATACTTAAAAAAAAAACAAAAAACAAAAACTACTATCCCAGCCAATCCAATATGTGACACAGTAAGTTCCTTTTTCTTCATCCTGCTACCAAGAATCTGGAAAATTATCTCTCTCTCCCTCTCTCTCCCCACTAGAAAGGTTATTTAATTCATCCTTCAATTTTAGGCAAATTTATTCTTATTGAAAGATAAAATGGGCCGGGCATGGTGGCTCACGCCTGTAATCCCAGCACTTTGGGAGGCCAAAGTGGGTGGATCACCTGAGGTCGGTAGTTTGAGACCAGCATGACCAACATGGAGAAACCCTGACTCTACTAAAAATACAAAATTAGCCTGGCGTGGTGGTGGCGCATGCCTTTAATCCCAGCTACTCCGGAGGCTGAGGCAGGAGAATAGCTTGAACCCGGGAGGTGGAGGTTGTGGTGAGCCGAGATTGCGCCATTGCACTCCAGCCTGGGCAACGAGAGTGAAACTCTGCCTCAAAAAAAAAAAAAAAAAAATGAGATAAAATGATTGAGTGCTGTTTTAAAAATTTTAAGGAGGAAAATGCACAAGCTACCTCAGTAACTCATTCAGAAATTGAATTAATTCTGTGAGGTAATTCAGCTTCTCATTTTAAAATTCATTTCCTCCAATTTTATTTCAACGGAAAAAGCAATCACAATATTTTCTGTGTTTGCTTGAATGCAGATGTTTTCTTCTCCCATCCACCCCCGCTGACCCCAGTGACAGAGTCTCACAATATTTTCCAGGCTGGAAGTACAGTGGCTATTAACAGGTGCCATCATAGCACACTACAGCCTCCAACTCCTGGGCTAAAGAGAACCTCCTACCTCAGCCTCCCAAGTAGCTGGGACTACAGGAGTGTGCTACCACACCCAGCCTCTTTCTTTTGAAAAGCTGTAAAACAAGACCAGGCACAAGAAGGAACAGTTCTCTCATTCTCTTTTGTATCCTCACTCTAAGTATAGTATTAATGTTGAATGGCACAAAGTTATTGAATAAAAATTTAGCCATTATCCGTTAGTGTAAATATTCTAGGAATGACAACTAGTTTATTAAATACTCTTAACAATTGTGTGCTCCAGATCCTATTTTCTCAAACTACATTAAAAGAAAACTTAGATTCCCTACTTCAACCTTCTAATTTAATATACAGGAAAACTAGCATTTTGAGTAATTTGTCCAAGTGTATATACTGACTGGAGATACTGAATTCAATTGATTTTTCCTATCAGTCAATATATATCCAAAAGCTTTCCATTTTTGAATTAGCTTCTCATTGTAGGTTCATCTTGGTCAGCAAACAGAACTTAAGTTCCTACTTTTCTAAATAACTAATTTGTTAAAAACTTTTATGACGAGGGTCAAGCAGAGACCAGCAAGATGAGCAAGAGTTGGAGGAAAAGGATGGACAGGTAGGTAGTGAACATCATAGGAAAGGGGGAGTTAGCCTCAGAAAGTAACAGCCAGACCAGAAGGGACCAGAGTGTTTAAAGCACACAGACTGGTGAATTTTATTTCTGTGCCACTTTCTATCCTAATCAATTTGAATATTCAGCCAGGCGCAGTGGCTCATGCCTGTAATCTCAGCACTTTAGGAGGCCAAGGCAGGTGGATCACCTGAGGTCAGGAGTTTGAGACCAGCCTGGCCAACATAGTGAAACATTAGCTGGGCATGGTGGTGTGCGGCTGTAATCCCAGCTACTCAGGAAGCTGAGGCAGGAGAATAGTTTGAACCTGGGAGGCAGAGGTTGTAGTGAGCCAAAATCACGTCACTGCACTCCAGCCTGGTCAACAGAGTGAAACTCCATCTCAAAAAAAAAAAAAAAGTACATATTCAAGGATCCAGAAACCACTTAAGACCATAAGGGATCTCAGAAAGTATCCAATTCAACTTCATGTTACAGATAAGGAAACTAAAGTTCTCCCATTGCCACACTGTGAATGAGAATCCAAGTCTTTTTCCTTTTCAGCTGGGAGGCTCTTACCTGCATTATGTTACTATTAATATCAGTTTTTTTGTGAGATGAATTAATCAGATATATGAAGTCTTACTTTCAGCTTGTAAATTTTCTTCATAGGTTTCTATACTTAAAAGCTTCATCTCGTTGAAATCTAACCCAATCTTAGTATTAGAATGCTACAGGGACATCATTCAGGCAAAGATGTTTCATTTATATCTAATCAAATTTTAGCCTTTTAAACTCAATTGTTGATTTTGTTTTTAAAAGGGAGAAGCAAATGACAAAAAAATCAAAACCAGGATTTTTAATAATAACTTTAGAATACTTCAGAACAAATTTTTATGTATATCCCAGAGCTACTCACCCAGAACACCCGATTCCATGCATCCATGGGCAATCCCACACTTGTACATCCAGAGAGCCTTTGTCAAAAAGAGGCTATTCGTGGCCCAGTGCTGTGGCTCACGCCTATAATCCCAGCACTTTGGGAGGCCAAGGCAGATGGATCACCTGAGATCAGGAGTTCAAGATCAGCCTGAACAACATGGCAAAACCCCATCTCTACTAAAAATACAAAAATTAGCTTTTCTTAATTTGGTCAGAGTTTTGTCAATTATATTAGTCATTTTAAAGAACCAACATTTGGCTTTCCTTTTTTCTATTATTTAAGATGACAATTTTATTCAATTTCTGCTCTATGCTATTTTATCCTACCTTTTAAAAGTTTATGGTGTTTTCCTTTTACTAAGTTCCCAATTTGTATCATTCACAAATTAATAATTTCCATCCTTTCTTTTATAATGTAAACATGTAAGATTATAAATTTTAAAGTGTTATTTAAGCTGCATTTCACACATTTTAAAATGCAGTTTTTCTATTGTTCAGTTTTTAATATTTTGTTTTCCATTATGGTTTCCTTTTTATCATGAGTTGAAAGTACATTTCTTAATTTCCAATTTTTTTCTTGTTTTTTGTTGTTTACTTTTTGTTATTAATTTCTAGTCATTTACTGTTAGAGAAGGCTGTTCGATACCAGTTGTTTGAAATTTGTTGGAATTTGCTTCATGGTGCATGGCAAGTTCTGAAATTGTTCCATACGAGCTCAAAATAATGTGCCCTTGGTTCTGTTCTACATATGTGTGTTAGGTAAATCTAGCTAATTGTGCGGTTCAACACTTCTATATTTTTAATGTTTTCTCTTTTAAATCTGTCAATACTGAGAGAAACATGTTAAAACCTCCCCTTATGATGGTAAACTTGTCCATTTCTATTTATACTATATCAGATTTAGTTATATATTTTGAAGGATGTTATTAGCTGTGTGCAAATTTAGAATTGTTATATCTCCTTGTAACTCTCTTCATCTTGAGTAATGCCTTGAAGTATTTTTTTTCTGGTATTAATAAAACCATACCATTTTTATTTTGGTTAATGTTTGCCTGGTATACTGTATTTATCTTTTTCTATCCCTTTCCTCTCAACTTTTCCGTGTCCTCATGTTTTAGATGTCTCTTTCAAATAGCACATAGCTGTATTTCTTTTTCTAAGCCAGTCTGACCATTTTGACGTATAACTTTCAGGACTTAGTTTAGGTGTTTACTGAAATTATTGATATGTTTGTATTTTTACCTTATTTTGTTGTATTTTTCCTGGTTTCACTTTCTTTAATTTCTTCTTTTTTTTCCTCTGCTGGTTTTAAATGTTGATGCTCTATTTATATTATTTATGCTCTATTTATATTATTATTTTATTATATTACCCTAGAAAAATTAATGTAAATACTTAAATTATCAAAGTCCTAAGTTAATATTTTTATCTTTCTCTCTCTCAATACGAGGTCTTTAGAATACTTAGGTCAAATCTTTTTAAAAAACATTTGCTTGCTAATTGAATTTAATTGCAAATTTTTTGTTTCCATTTATATAAAAAATATAAATTTGTTTGCTTGAATCCATGAACTCAAGCAAAAGGTGTTTCTGATTAATATTACTTAACTCACGTTAGAACTTTCTCATTAGTGCCTGTTTAATTACAGGGCTTTTCTTTAAGGGAGTTTTTTTTGTCATTAGTTGATACCATTTAAATAGTCCAGAAGTAAATGGGAGCCTGGTAGCAGTAGTCTATTAATACATGAAAGAAAAGAAGGTAAATGTCTTCCAATTAAGGTTAACTTGGAAGTAAATTACAGAATTTAAGACTTGGGAACTTGGGAAAAATCTTAAATGTTCATTTACAGGAATTCAAAGGATGAAAATCAAGCTAGCAAGATGCTCTGAAACAGTGAGATTTATTTATAATTTTGAAATGTTTTGTGATATGTTAGTATGGTCACCTATTCATTCTTCATGTGTATTTGATTCCCCAAGTATAAATACTTAAAAACAAAAACAAAACCTTATCAACTATTCTTGAAAAATAAACAATTCCTAAAAGAGAAAATAGTATGGGATCCCAGAAGTTATGTAGTCTAACTCCCTCAAATTATAACTAAGGAAACTAAACCTCAGTCAAAATAAAGGTGTCTTAGTCCGTTCTGTGCTGCTATAACAGAATATCTGAGACTGGGTAATTCATAAAGAACAGATATTTATTTCTTACAGTTCTGGAGGCTGGGAAGTCCAAAGTCAAGGGCCCACATCTGGTGACGGCCTTCTCACAGCATCATCCCATGGCAGAAGGTGGAAACGCAAGAGAGCACATGAACACATCAACACATGTGCATGCCCAAAAGAGAAAGACAAGGATGGAGTGGGGACGCAGGGGGCCAAATTCATCCTTTTACCAAGGACCCATTCTCACGATAACTCACTCACTCCCATGATAATGGCATTAATCCATTCGTGAGGGCTCTGCCTCATAAAAGAGCCCACCTCTCAACACTGTTGCATTGAGGATTTACTTTCCAACACATAATTTGGAGGATACAGTCAAACCATAGAAAAATGATTGTTTAAAAAGGAAAGAAATTACAAAGTGGTTGTTATTCCAGAAAGAGCAGCTTCACGATTCATCTTATCTCTATGTTTTGAATAACTGAAGTAAAAGACAAACCAGTGCCACACACTTTTAACCGTGAATCCCCTAAGCAGTTGTAAAATACTGTGTCAGAGATGTCAATAGTATGAATAGTTTAGATTACTCTTCTCAGTTTTTACCCCACTGTGACTCAAGCCCCCACTCACCTGAAGAAGTCTTTCCGCTGGTCATGCAGAAGCTTGATACCCGCCAGCATGCTGCTTGTAATTCACCAATAGGAGATTCTATTCAGAAAGAAGAAATACTGAAATCTTTAGGATTCCCTCCTAAGTCCCGGAACATGTATTCTTAAAGGGAAGCAACTTGCTTTGAGAAGGCTGGAATCAATGAGGAGTCCACAGTTACATCCTGTGCTGGGCGCAGCTGGTCTGCGAAGTTCAGCTGGCTAAGAGAACTTTCTAAAAGCTGACACTGGCCAGGGAAGCCAGTCACCCACTGTCATCAGGGTCTTCTAGTTCATCTACTTCCTGCTGACGGCTCCTCAGTGGGAAAGTATAGGAGCAGTTTCTGACCTGCCTGTCAGCCCAATTTTGTCGTTTCCTTAGGCTCACCCAGCTGCCGTAACAGAGGGAACAGAGTTCCTTCTGAACTTCTATTTTGCCACCCTTTAAATGTCTGGTCATCCTAGGGCTGGGAATTATTGTTTTCATCTAAAAGAGTATTTTCCCTTATTTCCAAAACTTTGCTTCTACCGTGGAAGAGTTTGTGACCCACGTCTTTGTTCATCCCTAATGTTCTTTCAGCCTTCTTTGGATAGGGATGGTTATCCGCTCTCCCACAGCCCCTGGCTGGTAACCTCCTACAGGGCTGGTTGCTGCACTCATATAGTTGTGCCTTAAGCAGCTCTATGTGAATGAAGGTCCTTTTGCTGTTCTTCCACTAATGAGTGAAAATAGATTTCTCAAAGGCTCTTAGCTGATACAGCCTGATCCAGTTAACTGGGGATAAACAGGGCAGCAGTGTCAAGCTCACTTCTAATTTCAAGTTCTGTAAAATGACCAATTATATAGGCTAGTAAATACTAGCCTAAGTACTAATATTTAGTACTTCACTCTTCAAATCAGGATAAGAGGGCTTTCCTCTGGGGGTAGGGAAGGCTCTTCTAGTGGCAGTGAGGGCAAAGGGTTTGGAATTAGGACTCTTTAGCTTGATTGTTTTGTCTCTTAGGAGACATGTGCTCTGGCAAGTCACTAAACATACCTGAGCTTCCGTTTCAATTACAAAATGAAACAGTGTGGACTAGATCCCTGAGAGATGTTATTCTAGCACTAACATTCTCTGTTTCTGCAGAGAGAAGAATTATAGTCTATTGACATTACTGGATCCATTTAGTCCCTGAAATTCTTGGAATGCTCTTTTAGCAAAGTGTAAATTGATACAAAGGCAATCTTATGCATAAATCACACTATTCTTATTGCTAAAAGGGAATATTCCTTCTACAATGTCCCACTATCTATAAAAAGAAGTTTAGTGGTTGTTCTGTAATCCTTTAAAAATATTTTATTAAGCATTGATTTAGAAAACGCAAGACAAGATTGTAACACCTCAGGGCAAAGGCTTGAAGGTGAAACAAATAACACTATAAATATTGCACTTCTAAAATCTTTTTTTGACATCTTCACACAACTCAATTCTAAAATATCCTTTTACAGAGATGTATAAATAAACGCTTCCAAGCTGTCAACGCTTGACACTTTTAGCTTCCTATCACCGCACTAAGTCGGCAGGTTTCCAATCAGATAGCTGCTCCTCTGACAGCAGGCAAAGAACTTCCCTCAGCTATCTCGGAGGCCTCATACCTCCATCATGTGAAGAGTCAACCAGTCCCATCTTTCGGAATCCTCTTTCAGAATATGTAATTTTATAAGTATTTTTTTTTCTACTGAGAGAACATAGATCTTTCAAAGGCAATGGCAGAATACAGCTTAAATGGACACAGTTCACTGTTAACATTGCTTATTTTTTAAGGCATCCAGGAGCTTCTGATTCTTGGTCTTGAACATCATGATAAAGCTGTTTGGCATGATTTTGCCTCGCCCATCTTCACCTACTTGGCCCATAATAATGTAATTTAGACCTAAAGAAAGAGAATACAGAAATTAATCTTTTTCTCTATGTATCATGTGTGAAACAACTTAGACTGTAAGTTACCTCTAGATAAATGTTCTCTTCTGCAAATGGTAAGATTATACATGTATTCCATCCACGATAAAATCTGGGTTTCTTGTTTTTGCTTTTTAGAGATGGGGGTCTTGCCATGTTCCCCAGGCTGGTCTTAAACTACTGAACTTAAGCGATTCTCCTGCCTCAGACTCCAAAGTAGCTGGGACTACAGGCACACGCCATTGTGCCTGGATGATAAAATCTGTTTTAAGACTCTCATCGGCAAAAAGCCAAATTCAACTAGTAAGGTATTTCAGCTACGCTAACACCAGGAAGCTGGACTGAGTGGTTAGATCAGCCATGTCCCGCTCTGCAGTGCTGTAGGTCTGTTGTGGTTTCAAATGCCTGCTATGAAGAATGCACCGCGTTAACGTGAAAGACTCTCCTTCCTCGAGGGGCCTCCAGGGCTCCATGATGGGCCATCCTCAGATGGCTTCTCAGTCCCATCATGTGTCTGGATTTTCCTGGCATTTGGCAACCAATGATCCACTCTCTTATGTTGCTGTTGTCTTGAACTTTAATCAACATCTCAAACATGTATGCTACGCAAGCTTCTTGAGGGCATAGATGGATCATATACTACTTGCATTTGTACAGTTTCTTGCAAAACATCGGTGTCAAGAGTACTTATATTGGTTATACTATGTTTTTATACATTGGTGTGACTGGCTAAGTTAGGCCTAGACTGGGGCCTGAGGTGTTGGGTAACTCTGAATATTTATATTACCTCAGAAATAAATCAGAAAAAAAGGTATGGGTTAATTCCTCCTTTAGTTCCCCTTTCCCCTGGTGTGTCATAGAGAAAATGTGTCCTTTTTCTCTTGCATTTTCCTGTGTGGGTGGACCTTGTCATCACAGTGGTCTGTGAGAGCCTGAGAGTCTGGGCAGGTAATGCTGCCTCAAGGCTGAAGTGCTAGCAGCATTATGAGACCTTATAGAATCTTGAGGTGCAGTATCTGCTGCTCCTGGCAGTTCTGGAAAGAAATGTTTCTCTTTTACAGAGCCTTTGTGATTCTCTCCAGAGACTCAACATGAGGCTACTAGCCTCCTGACTTTTCTGAACAATCTGAATTCACAGTAAAGCTTGCTTTATTTTTAAATTTTTTTCTTTTTTTAGACAGTCTTGCTCTGCCACCCAGGCTGGAGTGCAGCAGTGTGATCATGACTCACTGCAGACTCGACCTCTTAGGTTCAAGGCATCCTCTTGCTTCAGCCTCACGAGTAGCTGGGACCACAGGTGCGCACCACCACACCCGGCTAAATTTTTTTATTTTTAGTAGAGCAGAGGTCTCACTATGTTGCCCAGGCTGGTCTCGAACTCAGGCTGAAGCAATCCTCCCATCTCAGCCTCCTAAAGTGCTGGGACAGTAAAGCTTTCTTGAAGTGGATATTCTGTATCTTTCTCTCTCTTTCTCTCTCTCTCTCTCTGTGTGTATGTGTGGAAAGATGTTAGAGCTTATGTAGGGGAAAAATTGCAGAACTTGTGTGTGATATGATTCCATAAGTGTATATGCCCATGCTTTATGTGGATAGAAACTTTCTGGAAGGAACTTAAATTTTTTTTTTTTTTATAGAAATAGGGTCTCACTACATCACCCAGCCTGATCTCGAACTTCTGGGCTCAAGCAATCCTCCCACCTCGGCCTCCCAAAGTGCTGGGATTACAGGCATGAGCTACTGTGTCTGGCTGGAAGGAACTTTTTAGAGTACTTCTAAGGAAAGGAAAAGGGTTTCACTTTTAAACATACTCTTACCTACTTATTTCAACTTTTTAAAAACCATGAAACATATGTTACTTTTATAAGTTGTTAAATACATATTCTTAAAAAGTCATGTGCCTCTAGCTCTGGAGTAACTTTCCGTTTTTCGTAATTTCTTTCAATAAACTCACTCCCATCCATGGACTTAATAGTCCTATCTCTGCAAATGATTCCCAGATCTTGATTCTAGCCCGGATATACCTCCCTCTTCTGAACTTCGGGTCTGCATTTCCTGTTGGCTGCTGGATATTTTTCTTTAAACCTAGACAGTACTGGCATCTTAAGTGCAATAGTCTAAAATCTCTCCACCCTGCACTGCTCTGTGTGTCTGTTGCCTATTGACTCAACTTCAAACGCTTCTTTCACTTGTTCATCATGTCCACTACCCCTTCTTCTGCCACAAGTTACAAGGACTTGGATGAGAGCCCAATTCTGCCTGACTCCAAAGGCCTTCCTGCTCTGCAAGAAGTGGGCAACATATTAGCCCTGATTTTACTTCCCTAGACCAACCATGGCATGGAAAATCCATGGCTTGCTCAGAGACACCCAGTTTTCTCCCTACTCACCTCTTCTGAGGAGAGGGCACTGCTTGCAGACGACAGTCAGCCTGGCACTCATGTTCTTGCCCGCCTGCTGAATCGCCAAATTTCCCTCTTTGTAGATGTTGATGATCGAGACTGTGGCGTGCAAACTCCCATCGCGAGTGATGGTTGTGATAACAGTGCCGGCTAATACTGCAGAAGAAAACATTTTGAAGTGATGTGACAGTGAAGGCAAATGCAAGCAGAACTGAAAAACAAGTTTACATTCTTCTAAGTTTCAGATACGAAACATTTTAATGTTAAAGAAAAGGCCCTCATAGAGGTTTCACATTTGCTTCTGTACATTTGTCACCAAAATTCAGGTTGGAGCTGTGATGTTACGCTGGTTGTTGGGGATTGATAACTAGAAGAGAAGCCTAAATACTTGCCACACTGCGGTCCATTGCCAAGGTTGAAACTCTTTAAAACGTTTTATCCAACTTGTGGCTTGATTGTCACATAGGGGATAGTCTGGCTTATGAGGCTCTACCTGTGAATACTCAAAAAGATCTTGTATCTTTAGAGGCAGTACCACGCTAAAAGATTGCGCGATGGGGGTTTGGGCCACTAAGATGTGAGTCTTTGTGTCGGTGTGGGTGTGTAGCCACCTTTCTGTGTCTCTCCTCACCCTTCTCTGTAGCTGTCCTTTCTTCCTGAACTTTTGTTCATTCCCTGGGTCCTCACCTCTGTCTAATTATCAGGAAAGCTCTGTCTTCTACGGTCTTTCATATTCTCTTTCTTATCCACTCCGTTTATTTCATTTAACAAGCTGAAGTATAGAACTGAGGTATTAACTTAAACTTTTTTTTTTCTTAAAAAAAAACCTCTAGTAAAATTCAGTTGATTTTTTCATTATGTAAACCCCTGTTTTTTCCATCATGACACTCCGAGAAAAGAGTCTCTCTTTGAAGCCACAGAAGGAAAGATGTTGTCTTTCTCACGGGGGTGCGCCTGGCATTCTGGGGGCTTGAGCAAGGACAGTTCCTTGTGGTGTAGGACTTGCACTGAATACAGTTTTTTTTTGTTGTTGTTGTTTTTTCATGAGATGGAGTTTCGCTCTTGTTGCCCAGGCTGGACTGCAGTGGCACAATCTCAGCTCACTGCAACCTCCACCTCCCAGGTTCAAGCAATTCTCCTGCCTCAGCCTCCCAAGTAGCTGGGATTACAGGCATGCACCACCACACCCAGCTAATTTTGTATTTTTAGTAGAGATGGGGTTTCTCCATGTTTGTCAGGCTGGTCTCGAACTCCCAACCTCAGGTGATCCACCTGCCTCGGCCTCCAAAGTACTGGGATTACAGGTGTGAGCCACTGAACCTGGCCTGAATACATTTTTTACCAGCCTTGTCCTTCCTAGAAAAATCAGTAGCAGTTCCTAGTTATTGTGACAACCAAAAAAATGCAGTAATCTAACATCTCTACCACTCCCCAGGGGAGCATTATCAGCCCTGGTTGAGAACCAGTGACTGATGATAGTTTTGGTCATTTTGCCATGTAAGCGGTCACATTAATGGAATAAATCAAGTTTTGGACTTGGTTAATCTGACTCCTTCAGAATAAAGTGAACACTCACTGCTTAGGCAGTGTGCAATGTTCATAAAATCAGAATTCCTATGATGCTTTACTTTGATCCTGCGTGATAAGTGTTCACTCCAAAATTCAGTCTATAGTCAAGTGAAATCAGTGGCTCCCAAGACACAGGGAGGGAGACTTCCTGAAGCACCTCCTACAGAAGAGTAAACTGGATGTGGTAGCAATTACATGTGGCGTTGTTTTCACATTTATGCCAGTTATTTGAATTTCAGCATGTGAACTCTAGTAAGGTTTAGGGTCCCAGAGTCTTCAGTGTCTTCACACCTTCACTATGATACAGCTCGTCTGGACTACAGAAGTCACTTCAAGGCACAGAAAAAGCAAGCAGAGCCTCTCTGGGGAAGTTTTGTTTGGGGAAATGTATTTAGGCCATAGCAACTTGCTCTTCCTGATCAGATTTGTCTTAAATGTTCCTTTAAAGCCACTGAAAAAATAACCAAGATAAAATGTTGTATCTTTTGCTCTTAAGTAGCTATCATAGATGGTGCAATCTTTCCACTGGAAAAAGCTCTTAAAAATTCTAAATCATTAAAGAACACCTCCTCAGGTTCCAGTTTGTGAGAGTTTCCAAATGGACTCCAGATTTCCAACTTTTACTTCAGTACCTCAGAAAGGCAGTACAGGGGAAATACTTGAATTTCTTCTGAGAGAGACCAGCTTCTGAATATAAGCTCGGGTATGTTTCTAATTTACTTAAGTTGAGTTATAGATGTGTGAAAAAATACTCTGTATATGAAAAATATATAAGGAAAAAAGTACATAGGTTTTTTGCAGGAATAGTCAGCCAGAACACACAATGTGGCAGTATCATGTACCAAGAGTCAAATTATTAAGCTTATATGAAAAAAGTATATTTTCTAAATCCATATTTTTCTCAGTGGTGAAATCTAACAATTTGACCATTCTGGTGTATAGGCAAGTATTTTCTTGGATAAATGAGCAGCGTTATTGACCCTTCACCATAAATTCATAGGAATTCCTTTGAGATTAAGCATGCAGCCTCAAGTTTCTGGTTAAAGAGAAAAAGACTGGCTTTTATTTCTTACCAAAGTCACTTGAACAATAATTGCCCTCCAGAGTCCCCGTCCGTCTACACTTTTGTTGACACAAGGCCACGGTGGGTTTTAAACCTTAATTCAAAGAAGACATAAGTTTCACGAAAAATGAATTCAAGCATAATTGGTCTTTAGTTCTGAATCTACCCATTTAAAATTATCATTTATTTCCCTGAGCCACCAATCTATCACTACAAAGAAAAAATTTAAAACCACGCAAAATAAATTCTCCATGCTACCAACTACTGCTCTAATTTCACCAGGACAACTCAATACCCTCTATTGAATTTTAAACCTGAGTTCAAAGATAGCACAAATGTAGCCCTGTTCTCTTCTTCCTTTATATAAAACAAACACTATAAGAAAATACAGGCGTACTCTGAGTGTGTGCCCTGTTTAGAAAAACCCAGAACAACAAATTGGAACTCACAGAATGTAGGTTAATCCCTCACTTTACAAAAGGAATCATAGGGTGTTCCCCTGAGGACATCCTTAAAATATGCAATTGCCTAAACATGAGTAGCATAGGTTTTTAGAAATACTGTTCATGTGTAAAGTGTGTTACATCTGTAATTAGATGCAACCCATCACTAAATATTTATTTTGAGCCTGGCACTGGCTATAAGAATCTTAAGAACTAAGAAGTAGACAAATTTAAAAGTATACCAAATAGACAAAACACAGCAGTTCTTAAGTACGGGTGACGTTGCCCCCAGCAGGCATTTGGCAATATCTAGAAACATTTCTGGTTATCACAACTAGAGGGTATTGCTAGCATCTAGTGGGTAGATGCCGAGACGCTGCTGACATCCCACAGAAAAAAGGACAGTCCCCGCAACACAGAAGGATCTGGCCCAAAATATAAATAGTGCTGAGGTAGAGAAACCCCGGGTTAACAACGTGAAAATAGTTCATCCTCATAATCATCTTAAGAATGTTTCAGAAATACTTGCTAATTATTTGTTTCTGTGTGACAATATGCTAGGAAGAACTAAACAGAACCACGGTAACAGAATTGCCCTTGTTGGGTGAATATCCACAGTTGTAATATTGCTCTTCCAACAGGCCCCACCAACTCCTCTGTTAATTTATTATTTATCTATTTATTTATTTTTGACATGGAGTCTCTCGCTCTGTCGCCCAGGCTGGAGTACAATGGTGTGATCTTGGCTCACTGCAAGCTCCACCTCCCGGGTTCAAGCAATTCTCCTGCCTCAGCCTCCTGAGTAGCTGGGACTACAGATGCCTGGCCAATTTTTGTATTTTTAGTAGAGATTTCATTTCGCCATGTTGGCCAGGCTGGTCTCAAACTCCTGACCTCAGGTGATTTGCCTGTCTCGGCCTCTGAAAGTGCTGGGATTACAGGTGTAAGCCACCGCGCCCAGCCTATTTATATACTCTTAATCTGTACCCCCTAGTTAACTCCAGAAAGAATCTGAAGCAGATGGCAATATTAAAACATATGTAATTTAATGTTAAAATACATATAATAGCTTAAATATGCATTTTTAAAAAAGGGAGAGAAAGAGCTCAGAAGATGTTTGGAAGGGAGAGACATACCATTGTTCCAGAAGTTGGGAACCTCACTTCAGCTGTAAATTTATGGAATTAAATTTACTCAGTTAACTGAGTCAAAAAGTTGTGGTGTGTCTGATGGTGAGCGCCCTTTCCCGGGCCCATTGGGAACCGGCTGCTTCTCAGCCTCCGAAGGTCAGTCTGGAAGTGGGGTGGGTGTCCAACATGCCCTTCTCCTGCTTTGGTGGGGCCTGCTGTCTGGCCTGCAAGTCACTGGCTCTCTCCTTCCCCTCCTCATCTTAACTGTCATCTGTCTCCTTGCCCTTCACTCACAAAGCTGGTCCCGGTTCTCAGCCCTCCCTGGCTGTGTTCCCGCGATCGTTTCTATGGGTCCACCCTCCCATGTCTGATCCCGCAGTCCCCGTGGCCTCATCTTCACCAGGGACTTTCCTAGACACTCAGTTCCAGGCTCGGATGTCTTCATGCTATGGCTGTTCATTGCCAGTCTATCAAATTTAGACCTGCTGGCAACCAGGACAGCGTTCTCCCCTCCAAGCTTATTTATTTAATCACTCTATGACTATGTTTTCTTCCATCTTTGATGGTTCAATATATTGGCTGCTCTCATTTTTCCCAACCCGTCAGCCCTGGCCTGTCTTTACTTCCTTAGCAATTCTATTTCATTTCCATGGTCCATTATTTCAATCATTTTCTACACAATGCCTTAAGGTCCCTTCCCCTCTGCCCTTCAGCCCTGTATGAATCTTCAGAGAAATCTGTTTTTCCTGTGCCTGCCCTCAGACAACTGAGTACACAAATGGGCCTTCAGCAGAGTGACAGGCTGGAGTTCAGCCTACTCTCCAATTTCTACAGCTGTTTTTCAAATTCTTTCTCATTCTCCTAACCTCCCGTGCTGCCACTCCCTTCTCCCTCTCAGAGGTGACCTTGCCTTTTTTTTTTTCTTTTTGAGACAGAGTCTCACTCTGTCGCCCAGGCTGGAGTGCAGTGGCGCGATGTCGGCTCACTGCAAACTCCGCATCCTGGGTCCACGCCATTCTCCTGCCTCAGCCTCCCGAGTAGCTGGGACTACAGGTGCCCACCACCACGCCCGGCTAATTTTTTTGTATTTTTTTAGTAGAGGCGGGGTTTCACCGTGTTAGCCAAGATGGTCTCGATCTCCTGACCTCATGATCCACCCGCCTCGGCCTCCCAAAGTTCTGGGATTACAGGTGTAAGCCACCGCACCTAGCCGACCCTGCCTATTTTCTAGGAAGAAGAGAAGCATAGCAGAAAATGTTCTCAAGATCCCCACCAAACCTCCAAGTCATCTTTATACCATCTCTCTTCTTTTCCTCCTCTGAGAGAGGGGTCACCCCCCTCCGACCTGAAGTCATGCCTTCTGTGAGTCCTCTGGAGCCAGCCCCTCTCACCTTTATAGAAACTTTCCTTCTCAGTTTATTCCTTCTGTCTGCCATTGCCTTCTTCTTTGCTAGTTACTCCCATCAACATAAGCAGGTTCAAGACTCTCAAAGCCTCTCCTTCTTCTTTAAGGCCAAACTTGGGGAATGAGCTACTGAACTTATTATCTCAATTTGCCATGCTCCACACTCCCCTCAGCACACACTGTCCGGGTTCTGCTGGCGGCACAAAGCCACTTACATAGATTGTGCTGGCGTCTCCAGTAGACTCCATGTCATGAAACCAAACGGAAACACTGTAGTCCTCCCTTATTGGAAGTCTCATCAACGCTTGACTCACTTACCACTCCCTTTTGTAACATTCCCTTCCACGGCTTTCACCACACATCCTCCCAGTTCTCCTCCCTCCTCCCTCGCCACTGCTTTTCAGTCACCTTTGCCAGTGTAACCTTCTCTTCAAAAAGACGGAAGTTTCTAGAGGGTTAATCTCCGCGCCTCTCCTCCTCCTGCCCTCAATCTCTGCCTAGGTCATCTCGTTCTTGATCATTGTTTCAACTATCTATATATTGATGACTCTTACTTTTTTTTGGCATAAAGACAAACTTTATTGAGCCCCTTAGCACTAGTTCTCTTTCTCCTGCACAGTCTTGGTTCCCCAGAGACGTCCAGTCTGGCGGGCAGCAATGAGACCCATTTTGCAGCCAGCAGGGTCATCTCTGAGATGGCGGAGGGGATGCCGATGTGCTGGTGGTTGCCACCTCCAAAAGGATGCTCCATAGGGTTCATGGCCACATCCCATACTCGTGGCCACCAGTTCCTCTTTGCCTTATATTTGTGGTAGGCTTGGCAAGCCTTCAAGATGGGTTTGTCAGTTCGGCCACCTCCAGCCACCACACCAACCACAGCTCTGTTGGCTGAGGAGACAACCTTCTTGGAGCCAGAGGGCAGCTTCACACGGGTCTTCTTGGTCTCAGGGTTGTGGGAGATAGCAGTGGCATAGTTCCCTGATGCCCAGGACAGCTTGCTACGGCCTCCAGGCTTCTCCTCCAGGCAGCACACGATCATACCCTCAGGCATGGTGCCCACAGGGAGCACACTGCCAATGTTGAGCTGGGCCTTCTTGCCGCAATACACAAACTGGCCCGTGTGAATGCCCTCGGCAGCAATGAAAAGCTCCGTCCGCTTCTTAAACCAGTACGGGTCGCGGAAGACCACCTTGGGGAGGGGCGCGCTGTGACCCGAGTTGTGGATGATGGGTGACTCTTAAATTTAAATCTGGCTTAAATCTTTTAGTCTGGGGACCCGTGTACCCCTACGCATGGCATATCCACTGGAAAATCTCACGGACACCTCAAACCCAACAAGGCGACAGCCTAATTTATAAATCCACCTCCGAATCCAGTTCTCTACCTCTGTGAACAGTGGCAGTATCCCCCTAGCTGTGCAAGCCCGGGACCTGGGAGGCATTCCTGACACCTACCTCCCTGACCTCCCTAGTCCAATGAATCACCAAGGCCTGTCACTGTTTCCCTCTCATCTCTTGACTCTCTCTGAATTTGTGCCATAGCACAGTTCGCCTGGACCAGCACGAGACTCTGGTGACCCCCTGGATTTCTACAATTCATTCACCTGACAGTGGCCACAGTGATCTTTGTAAAATGTGAAACTAATCCTGAACTTTGCTTAAACCCATCAACAGCTTCCCCCACACATAGGATAAACACAAAAATACTTAGAGCATAGGAGAGAGTTTGCAAGGCCTGAAGACGAAACTAGAAAGAGAGGCTGGGGACAAAGTGTGAAGGGTCTGACACACCACGGGAAGGGGTTTGGGCTCCCATGTGGTCCAATCTGGTAGTCACTAGTCACATGAAGCTTTTCAATTTTAAATTCATTAACATTAAATTAAAAGTTCAGTTCCTCAATATCATTAGCCACATTTTAAGTGCTCACAGTGGCTGCCATATTGGATAGCATAGCTGTAGACTATAAATTTAATGGGAGAACAACACAGTCTACTCGGTGTGGTGGGAGCGGGGTAGGGCATGAGGTCAGGAGAAAAGATAGAGGATATCAAAGATGACCCTATGAGTGCGGCTACCGATGCTGTGGACGTGCTTGGGAAAATAGGTGGAGAAGTAGGTCTGAGGCAGAAAATAGTGTGATAAAAACAAGTTTGTATATGCTTTCATTTAAATAGCTACAGTCACATTGTGTCCAGGAAAGAATTACAAATCCATGCTTGCGATTTCAGAGAAAGTTGAGGATGGAGATAAAAGCAAGGGAACCACTAGCTCAATGGGTGTGACCAGATAATTCACTGGAAAGAACATGGACACCAAGGCTTACTGAGCTGAGCTGGAGAAATACAGCAGTTACATGAGGCAGTACACGTCCACACCACACAGTGGCGCACTTGCAGAGTGCAAGGAAACGTTAGACCCAGAGGCGCCTGCCTGTACTCAGCCCCAGCCTAGGTGTACATGGAAAATGTGGGCAATAAAGCTGGGCTTATTTCAGCCTATTTTACATCTTAACCTTCAGTCTTTCCTTCCCGCTTTTCCCCCTCCTCCCTGGGTTTGGATTTTTAGATCTGAGGCCTGAAATCCCAGGGGGTGGAGCTGATAGGCCAGGTACTACCTACAGAGACCCTGCCTCTCCACTCCCTACATACATGCCTCAGCCCCCCAGGCCAGTTTCCCAACCAGCCTCTGTACTTCGTTGAATATTGTTGTTTAATTTACTCCGATTTGAAAATAAATAAATAAATAAATAAATAACATTTTATATGACATTTCGCTGAGAAGCAAAAAAAAAAACCAAAAACAAACATTGGCAGAATATGAAAACACAGATAGCAAGGCCCTAGAACTTCAACCTAAAATATCACAATTCTATGTAATAAAAAGCAAACGACAAGTTTGTCAGTTCCAGAAACAGAAACTTAGTCTTAGAATGATCTGTGCTTCTAATAGGCTTCCTAGTCATTGTTCAATGGTCATAATTTTCTTACCTGATATTTAAAAACTATTAGCTTACAAGCATTCTTACACCCCATACCTTTCTTTCATTAATGCAGTCATATTATTCTCTTACCAAAGCTTTCATCCTATTTAACTTTAATTTCAAGTATCTTCCTCTTATTTTTTTTCTACTTTAAAAGAATTCTTCTTATACTCCTAAAGTTTTTGCACAAACTTCCAAACAGGAAAACTTACCCGTGGTTACAGGGAATGTGGTGGTGACAGGCTGTTCTGTAGTTGTAGGCAGTTTTTTTGGCCTGAATATGTAGTGACCAATAAACCCATCTGCAGTTAAACTTAAGTCTGATAAAAACTGAATAAGAAGTTCATTTCTCTCAGACACAATTGGCCTAAAAAAAGAAAAATGTGTTTTTTTATAAATACTTAAAAGTGGTGCCTCTCTGAAAATGTAAAATTTTCTAGTTTTCCATTAACTTCCGACAATAGATTACCAGTTGTTTAAACTTAAAAGTTAAAACGTTTAAAAATACCAATTCTAATAGCTAACATTTACCGAGTGTTTGCTCAGCTAGGCACTGTGCTTTATGTGAATTGTCACATTCCACCTTCACAACAACCCTATTTTTATCTCTTTTTTTATGGAAAAGGCAATTGAAGTTCAGAGAGTTCAAGTGATTTACTCAAGGCCCTATAGCTAGTATGTTGGGAGAGTCAGAACTTGAACCCAGGACCAGATAACTCTAGAGACTGTGGCAGACGTTGGGACATGGCTGGTTTTCAAAAAGCACCTCATGATTTGCCTGATTGGGAAAAGGCAGATTCTCTGAACTAAGACTTGCGTTCAAGCTGGCCTGGGTTTGCCATGTTGGCTACAGAGCATAAAATGGACAAATCTGGTGAACAAATTCCCACGCCCTGTAAAGATGCAGCCAGAGGGATTATCTCAGTGGACTGATTATCTTTTCTATCCACTCCGGGCTAAGAAAGCCATGCAAAGGACTTCCATTTCATTTTCAATGGCAGTTCTTCGGTATGTCTGAAATGGAAACATTTCTATTATAATCTCCATTAGCAAAATGCTGTAAAGGAAAAAAAAGAAAGTGATGAATCTGTTTTGGTGTTCATGAATGGCATCATTGATTAAGAGCTCTAATTTTAGGAGCTTCCTGGTTAGCTGGCACTAAAGATTTAGTGGAGATGGTAAGTGAGGCTCAAAAGCTCTCTAAAATCTTAGGGGATTACTATATTACACAAGATAGTTTCATTTAAGTTTTGCTATTGTTATTTACACAATGGTTAAAAAAATGCTGTCTGATTAATTCTGTTTAAAAACTAATTCAGAAGTAGAAAAAATTTAACAAGTTATTTAAATGAATTAACCAGTGGTCTGACTGAACACCTTTTTGAGACATCTTCTCAGCCAATCACTTCTTACACATCATGGACACCAAATAATGAAGCAGCATTTTTTTCCCCCTACTGTCAGCTGTGCTGAGTGGGGTTGGGTGGCAGAGAGGGTAGATCTACCTGACCCAACCAGTTAGAAAAACTGCGTGATCTTTTCCGTCCTGAATATAACCTTCTGAGCCAGGGGATGAGATGAATCAAAAAGTGAGCTTTGTGATCTACATTTACAGTTTACTATGGGTTGAATATTTATCCCCTCCAAAACTCATGTTGAAATTTAATGCCCAGTGGGGCAGTATTGAGAAATGGAACCTTTAAGAGGTGATTGGGTCATGAGGGCTCTGCCCTCAGGAATGGATTCATCCATTCACAGATTAATGGATAAGTGGGTTAATGGATTAATGGGCAATCACGGGAGTGGGACTGATGGCTTTATAAGACGAGAGACCTGAGTTAGCATGCTCTGCCCCCCTTGCCATGTGATGCCCTGTGCTGCGTGGGGACTTTGCAGAGAGTCCCCACCAGCAAGAAGGCTCTCCCCAGATGTGGTCCCTTGACCTTGGACTTTTCAGCCTCCGTAACTATAAGAAATTCTTTTTCTTTATAAATTACTCAGTTTCAGGTATTCTGTTATAGGCAACACAAAACGGACTAAGACACTTCCAGCCACAAAAGTGATGAAGTTATTTAAATAATGCTTCTGAGATTCGAGCCTTTCACGAAAATATTCTATCATGCTTTTGAAAAACACTCCCATTAAATAAATAAAAACAATGCACTACACACAATTCTAACCTACAATTACAAATAAAACATGTTAATTTTGTTTAAATGATAAAATTACAAAAAAAGCACTTATAAGCAGCAAAGGAAAGGAAAGACTCAATCAGGTCAGCCTTCTAGACATGATGTTATAATTATATGATCATTCACTGCCTTTTCTATGAATTAACCTTGGGGGTAGTATATTGGAAACTGAATTTTCTCAAGGAAGAGTATTTTAGGAACAAAGACATATTTTTGTTCTGCTGCAACTGAGCTTTAGGATAAATGTGACAGAATCACAGTGCCACAAATGTACTGGGGGCCATGTTACATCTGCAAATTGTTATAAATCACTAGGCAGACAAGAGGAAATTTCACTTAGATCCACTCTGCATTGGCAAATCCCAAGAACGGACTGAGATGCTGTTTCATGTGGTATAGAGCCAGTTACTGTTAGCTGTCTCTAGTTATCATTCCATAGTCTTCCTGTCCTTCAGTCACTACAGCCAACCAAACACCATGTCCTGCCATTTTTGCCTCCTAAGTATTTCTTGATCCACACCCTCCTCTTCATTTCTACCACCCTTCTCCACCTCCTCGACTTTACCTGGACCATTGCAACAGTCTCTGAACTAGGCTCCCTGCTCACCTTCTCTAGGACGGGGGTTCTAGAGCCTCTGGTCCTGTCACGCCTGGCCTAAATTCAGTTGAGCGTTACCATCTCTGCAGCACACGGAAGCCAACTCAACCCTCCTGCCTCATCTGTATAGAGGCCCCAACTCAAGGTTTTGGCTGCAGAAATAACACACATCTCTCCCGCGTATCTTTATTAATGGAGTTACCTCTGCTTGGGATGAGCTTGTCCTCCCTGCTGTCTCTAACTCCAACTCTTCCTTCAAGACTCATCTTCGAGAGGCACAATCTCCTTTCAAAAGCTTTCCCTGATCACTTGTCCAGACTGGGCCAAAGAACTCAAAAACCCACCCAGGACATTCATTAGCCAATTTACTTATCTGCCTTATTCTGTTCCCTCCCAGTACTTTTCTTTGCAGTTTTAATTTATCTTTGTATTCCAGGTGCCCAGCACACAGCCGGGGAGGAATCAATGTTTCTGAACAGAATTCAATGGCATTGATCTACACTGAATCAAACCAAGTATGATGGGGTGCTGTCTACCTATCCCCAGTGCTCCTCCTGTTCATTTTTTAACAGGGAAAAGCTCCCCAAACAGGTTTTCTCATTTTCTGCACTGCTCTAACCCAGACGTATTCTGACTATGAAAACTATTCCTCTGGATAAAAGTGTTAGTTGGTGAGCTGGCAGCCAAGCTCTTCCAGTCAAACCCCTGGTAAATGAGTGATGCTCAATAGCCGCCGCCAGGGCTGCCCCTCCTCCACCCTCATGGAGGCAGCCACTACCCTGAATTTTGTGCTTATCATTTTCTTGTTTTTAGCTATAGGTTTATCACACACATATGCATCACTATGCGATATATTGTGTAGGTCTACATGTTTTTAAACGTCATAAATGAAAGGGTACAGTGTGCATTTTTTTTTTCTTTTTTGTTTTGTGTTTTTGAGACAAGGTCTCACTCTGTCGCCCAGGCTGGAGTGCAGTGGCATGGTCTTGGCTCACTGCAACTTCCATCTTCTGGGTTCAAGGGAACCTCCCACCTCAGCCTCCCAAGTAGCGGGGATTACATGCACTACCAGGCGACATTAATTGTTTTGTATTTTTAGAGATAGGATTTCCACATTGCCCAGGCTGGTCTCGAACTCCTGAACTCAAATGATCCACCTGCCTTGGGCTCCCAAAGTGCTGGGATTACAGGCATGAGCCACCACGCTCAGCCTTTTTTTTTTTTTTTTTAAACCCTCAACATTATAACTATGAGATTCATCCACTGTTTTCATTGCTTTATAGTGTGCACTATAACACAATTTAAGAATTCTCTTGTTGATAAACATTGGGCTATTTACTCTCTCCCACCCTCATTACAAACCATATTGCTGAGAACATTCTTGTATATGTCTTGCAGTGCAAAAGTGGTCGTACCAATTCACACACCTTTCAAAGGTTTATTCACTATGCAGCTTTCTTCTTTTGGGAATGCCTTTTCATGTCTTTTACCCCCTTTTTTTTCCTACTGGGTGGTTATCTGTTCCTTGTTAATTTTTAGGATTTCTTAATACGTTCTGGAACCTAAGCCTTTGTCAAATATATGTTATAAATATGTTTCCATTTGTGGCTTTTCTTTTCCCTCTCTTTCAGGGTATATTCTGATGAACAGAAATTCTCATCTAAGTTTCTCATTTAAGTTTCTAATCCATCTGTCATTGATTTTTTGTGTGATATTAGCTATGAATATAATTTCATTTTTCCATATGAATAAAAATAGTCTAGGCCCCATTTTTCAATGAGGCCATCCTTTTCCTGCTGACTGATGGTTCTCTGTGACGGGCCCAATCTGCAGATACATGTGGATATGTTTCTGGCCTCTCCTTGTTGTTTAATTAGCCATCTACCCATCACTCTTTTAAAACCACACTGTCTTAATTACAACAGCTTTCTGATAAGGTTCCATACATGGTAAAGCAAGTCTTCCTGCCAGGTTCTTCTCCTTCAGAACTGTCTTACTTTTGCCCCCTTCTTCCTATCCCCTTGCAATCCCATGCACATTTTAGAATTAGACTGCTAGGCTTAATGGAAAACCAGTTTTAATATTTTTAAATGATATTGAGTCTTCCTATTCATGAGCATTGTATATAGCTCCATTTATTTAGCTCTTTTAAAATATATTTTAGCAAGGTTTTATAATTTTCCCTATTAAGCACATTTTTATACTTATTCCTGAGCAGGATTTTTATTGCTTTTAAAATAAATTTTTTTCAAAATGTAAACTTTTAAGTTCAAACTATCTAAGAAAAGACATTTGTGAATAAAATGATTTTTCCATTAAATAACATAAGTCCACAAGTCACACTTTAATCTGGTGAGGTATAAGGTTAAATTAATAAAGTTTCTAAATTCAAACCAACCTTGGATTCCTGGTCATAGAATTTTTTTTATACATTGCTAAATTTGGCTTGCCAAGTTTTTTGTTTCAGCGTTTCTTTTTTATCATACTGATAAATGAGATTGGTCTCTAATATTATTTTCTTGTACTGTCCTTACCTTGTTTTTGTGTCAGGTTCATACTAGCTTTATAAAATTAGTTGTGGAACAATCCCTATTTTTCTCTGGAAGATTCTGTGCAGTATTAGAAATGTCTGTACCTCAAATATCTGTCAGAACTTTTCCTTCCTTGACAGGAAAACCTTTAATTACTGATTAAATTTCTTTAGTGATCATTTGGCAAATATGGCTTTTTCTTTCTCCTGTGTCCATTTTTGCTTGAAAAAAATAGAGTTTCTCCAGTTGCTGGATGTAGTGTTCTCTATTTGTCTATTAGACCAAGCCTGTTCATTGTTTTTCAAATCTTCTACCTCCTAATTTCCCATCTTTCTCTCATTAACAGTTAGTTAATCTGTTAATTATTGAAAGAGATGTGTTAAAAATCTCTACTACAATAATGAACTTTGTAGATCTGCCTTTCTTAATTTTTTAATTTTTTTGCTTCAAATAATCTTATGTACAAGTTTACAAGTTTAAAATTTTACAATTATTACATCTGCCTGATAAATTGCATCATTTATCATTTATATAGCAACTATTTCTGGTAATGCTTTCTGCCTAAAATTGATTTTTTCCTAATATCAATGAAGCTATGCCAATTTTCCTTCAATTAGTGTTTGCTTCTAATCATTTTTATATCCTTTTATTTTCAAACTCTGTTTTTATTTTGGGGGGATGTGTCTTGTAAACAACATATAACTGGATTTTGTTTAATTATTTAGTATAACACTTTTCTATTAATTATTTGGTCCATTTGTATTTATATTGATTACAGTTATATTTATAGATATACCTATATATATCTAGATGATAGATACATTTCTACCATCTTATCTTGTACTTTTTGTTTGTCTTTTGAGACAGGGTCTTGCTCTGTCACCCAGGCTGGAGTGCAGTGGCACGATTATAGCTCAGTGTGGCATCGATCTCCTGGGCTCAAGTGATCCTCCGCCTCAGCCTCCTGAGTAGCTGGGACTACAGGTGCATGCCACCATTCCCAGTTAATTTTTTTAAAAAAATTTTACAGATGGTATC
The DNA here is from genome assembly GCF_000001405.40 of Homo sapiens. Taxonomy (NCBI): domain Eukaryota; kingdom Metazoa; phylum Chordata; class Mammalia; order Primates; family Hominidae; genus Homo; species Homo sapiens. The sequence continues at coordinate 142,835,839 of NC_000003.12, forward strand.
TTACCATGTTGCCCAGGCTGGTGTCAAATTCCTGGGCTCAACTGATCCTCCAACCTCAGGTTCTCAGAGTGCTGGGATTATAGGCTTGAGCCATCACACCTGCTTTGTCATGCTTTTGAAAATATTTCTCATTTTTTCTTTTCTTACTTTCTTTTGCACTGAATTTTTTGTCACTTCATGTTTCCTTCCACTGTTTTGCAAGTTAAAAACTGTATTTCTACTGTTTCTAATGCAGGCATTATCAACTTGGAAGCTTTAAACTAAATTCTTGACCTGTTTTTTTGGGGACAGTCAGGTAGTGTAAATTCTAACCCCAAATGTTGGCTGGTTTTTGGTCAGAAATTCTCATCGGAGACTATCCGTTCCTTCACCAAAAGCCAAGGCAAAACCAGCCAGTTTTCCTTACTATCTCCCTTAGGGAAGGGAGAAAGTTAGCTTACTTATATTGGTGTCAGCTTCTCTGGGTCCCTTTTCTATACATGCTGTGGTCTTTGCTCCAAACCCCCCTGGCCTGGACCCTGAGCTTTGTCTCTTGTCTGCAAGCACAGTCTGTTAGAATGAAGTGCTAGGCTTCCAGGAACTGGCACATGCCCCGGGGGAGCTGCCATCTTCAGCATGTGCTTCTCTCTCTGGCTTTGGGCTTCTTACTACTTTTGACCTCTGATGACTTCTCTTATTTTTTGACAACTCAGCGATGCTTTCAAAATTTTTTCTTAATCTTTAGGAATGTTGTTTAGTGTTTATTCTATAAAGTTTTCAAGGATATCTTATCTTGCATATTGCTAGAAAATGAAGCTTGAAATTACTTTTTAAAGGTATTTGGATATGAAGAGGAGAGACATGGAAGAAAAGTTAGACCAGGACAGAGTCAATAGAGTTTAAAACTTTTTTTTTTAATTTGGGAGAACTTAGGTTTATAGGCTATGGGGAAGGAATAAAAAGGGAGGTAGAGGATAAACATGAAGAAAAAGAGGAGGGTTAATAAATGGAGGAAAGTTTCAAGGGAAAAAAGGAGGAGGTCCAAAGGAAGACATAGATTAATGTGTTGGCTTTCAATAGGGTGTGTAGTCCCCAACAATGTCCACATCCTAATCCCTGGACACTGTAAGTATGTTTCTTTATAAGGCAAAGGGGCTTTGCAGATGTGAGTAAGACTCTTCAGAAGAGGAGAGTGTCCTTTATTACCTAGGTAGGCCCTAAATGTAACCACAAGTGCCCTTATAAGAGGGAGATTTGACTAAGAAGAGGAGACAGAAGCAGCGACTGAAGTGACACACTTTGCCGATGAAGGAAGAGGGCTACAAGCCAAGGCATGCAGGCAGACTCTAGAAGCAGGAAAAGCCAAGGAAACAGATTCCCTTTCAGAGCTTTCAGAAGGAAACAGCCCTGCCGACACCTTGACTTTAGTCCAGTGTCTGGCTTCCAGAACTGTAAGAGAATACATTTGTGCTGTTTTAAGTCGCTGCACGTGTGGCAATTTGTTACAGCAGCAATGGGAAAAGAATTATCTAGGAACTTAGAAATAGGCCCTTCTCCAATATATTCATCTGTAAACCAAATTTGGGTATGGTTATGCTTAAATTATAACTACTATCTTGTATGTATTAAAACATTCTTATCAATGTAAATGTAATAGAAAATACCCTCCTTTAACTCAAATATGTCAATGAAAAACCATAATAATGCATATAAAATCAAGTGATGCATATAATCTAATTACGTTTAAGCAACAGAGTAGAAAAGGGTATTTAAATTGGCATAATGGTGACTTGAAGGCAAGCTGCAGTAATTTCAGCTGTTGCTTTTACTAATATTGTAAGTGAAGTTATGAAATATCTTGCACCAAAATACAGTTATATATTGCACCAGAATTACACCAGAAATAGTTATATATTGCAGTTATATAAATGCAGTTACATAATTACACCAGAAATACAGTTATATATTGCAGCAGAGTTAAGTAACTTGCTCAATGTCACACAGTTATTAAGTGGCAGAACTCTTGGCTCCATAAATGTTTGTTGAATAAATACATGGTGCCTTCAAGGTCCACTTAGCAAAAATTTGGATAGCAATGTGAGGGGGAGGCATAAGGCCTCAAACAGTCCAGGACAGATCTCTGATAAGGTAAAATCATTTGGGTTTGTCGTAAACTTCTGGGTCTCCTTGTCTGGATCCCCAGTATTAAGCCCCCTGGTTGTTTTTGTTTTGTTTTGTTTTCAGAATTTTCCCATTCCACTCTGATGCTTGATCTCATTCTTACAGGGCAGTGATGTATCCAGGTACCCGGCTCTGCATCTGACCCTGGGGTATCACCAGCTCTACTTGTTTCTGTTTGGCTATTGACACTCCTGTTAATGTTGCCTCAGGGCCTGGGTTGGCTATTCTTTTTTGGTGGTGCTGACTCCATGGTTATGGGACTTGTAGTGGTTTGGATCTGTGTCCCTGCCCAAATGTAATATAATCCCCAATGTTGAGGAGAAGCGTGGTGGGAGATGACTGGATCATCAGGGCGGTTTCTCATGGTTTAAACACCATCCACCTTGGCGACAGTGAGCTCTCTGCTCTCTGGTCATTTAAAAGCATGTGGCACCTCCCCTCGACCTTGCTTCTACTCTGGCCATGTGATGTGTGTGCTCCCTCTTTCCTTTCCACCATGATTGTACATTTCCTGAGTCCTCCCCAGAAGCAGAAGCCTCATGCTTCCTGTACAACATGCAGAACCCTGAGCCAATTAAACCTCTTTTTTTAAATAAATTACCCAGTCTCAGGTATTTCTTTACAGCAGTGCGAGAACTAATAGAGGACCCAATAATTTAACAAAACAACAACAACATAAAATCTTCCAGAAAACAAATGTGATTGGGAAACTGAACAAGAAACAAGTTTAGAGCCATAAAACTATTAAAGACATAAATAGGTGCTACTTACGCAGGTGGACTATCACCACAATACTTTCCAATTCTTCTAGCATCGTTGACTTCCCCGCCATTAAACACAGCCACATAATCATATCGGCAGTAGTTATCTCGCTCCACATCAAACTTCTCAAACTTTAATTCTATAAGCTTTAGAGAAAGCACAATAGAAGTGTCAAATATTAATAGCATTGTTGAATAACCTCAAATGGAATTCTTCCTCTCCCCAGATTTGGAGGATACTACGATTTTCCTTTGTAAAAAAAGTATGCATTAAGTGCTTTTTGTTGCATATTTCTTATTTAGTTAAAAAAAAAACTGTGGTATTCTTTTGCTTTTAATTGTAATCTTTCCAAAAGATCATCTCAAACTCAGATCAACTCTAGTTAGGATATTCAACTTAAGAACTCTGTTCACTTACAGCTACAAAAGTATGGGAACATTATGTAACACTAGCAACCTACTTTAAGACTATAATTGGTTTTGGAGATCTATTGTACAGCATGGTAACTATAGTTAATAATAACATATAATAAACTTCAAAATTGCTGAGAGTAAATTTTTTTTTTTTTTGAGACAGAGTTTCACTCTTGTTGCCCAGGCTGGAGTGCAGTGGTGCAATGTCAGCTCACTGCAACCTCTGCCTCCCGGGTTCAAGCAATTATCCTGCCTCAGCCTCCTGAGTAGCTGGAGTTTCAGGTGCCCGCCACCACACTCAGCTAATTTTTGTATTTTTAGTACAGACGGGATTTCACCATGTTGGCCAGTCTGCTCTCAAACTCCTGACCTCAAGTAATCCACCTGCCTTGGCCTCCCAAAGTGCTGGGATTACAGGCATGAGCCACCATGCCCAGCCGAGAGTAAATCCTAAATGTTAACACCACATTCCACACACAAACAAAATAATAACTATGTGAGGTGGATATGTTAATTACTTTGATTGTGGTAATCATTTCACAATGTATACATATATCAAAATATAATGTTGCACATGATAAATATATATGTTGCACATATAAATATAATTTTCACTTGTCAACTATACCTCAATAAAGCTGCAGAGAAAAAGAAAAAGAAAGAGAAAAACAAGATTGTAATTGGATAACTGGATGTGTGTTATAGTGGGAAAAGGGGCTACATACCTTAATAGAAGCTAATAGAAATAAAAAGTATTATCTAAGATGCTCCTTATACTACTGTATGTCAGGGAGTAGTAGTGTGTGTGAATATATGTGTAGGAGGGTGAGCTGAGTGGATAGAGTTGTTCCCCTTTTGAGGGAAGGAGACTGACATTTCTATCAGATGTAAAGAAGTCAAATTTTCAGGACCAGTTATTCAGGGAAGTGGAATTGATGGCAGTGTCTTCTTGAAGTATGTTTGAAATGTGTGATACCGTGCACGGCCTAATCAGGGTGTGGTTATTTTTGAAGAGGTTGCACAGAAGCACTGATCTACAAAGTCAGTGTTAGGTTTTTAGTATTTCTCAATTTTTTGCACTAGTACCAATAATAGTGTCCTAAATTATTCACGTGAATAGAAAATTTTGATTAAATAGGCAATCAATCATTCCCCATACAAGCAAATGTTTAAAAGAACATTTCCAACATGTGAATCAAAGGAAACCTCACTGGATTTATTATTACCTATGACAGCTGGTACCCAATCTTGCCGAGCAGCAAGTGGGCAAGAACCCTCCTTGCTACTTCAGGGAAGATAAAGGACATTAATTCCTATTAGCTAGAGAAGACTCAAACACAGTAATCCAGGTGAAGATGATAATAGCAACAGCATCACAGATGGACACAAAGGTAATTTTGGCTTTGACCATAATTTCCACACATCTTTGGACTGAACTACCTTTTAAAAAGTCAGTGCCAGTGATAGGTGAATAATGCTTATTCATACTTAAGATGGCTTTAAATTGTATTAAAATATTTCCTCTTTGGGTCCAGTGACTTCTTACCACTTACTAATAAAATGCTTTCCAGGTTATTAAAAAAATTGGCGAACTTTTTCTACTTAGAAATTAGTCACAAAGGCTGGGCGTGGTGGCTCACGCCTGTAATCCCAGCACTTTGGGAGGCCGAGGCAGGCAGATCATGAGGTCAGGAGATCGAGACCATTCTGGCCAACACGGTGAAACCCCATCTCCACTAAAAATACAAAAAATTAGCCAGGCATGGTGGCGGGTTCCTGTAGTCCCAACTACTCAGGAGGCTGAGGCAGGAGAATGGACCGAACCCGGGAGGTGGAAGTTGCAGTGAGCCGAAATCGCACCACTGCACTCCAGCCTAGGTGACAGAGCAAGACTCCGTCTCAAAAAAAAAAAAAAAAGAAATTAGTCACAAAAACTTTTGCAGAGAAGATTAAAAAAAGTAAAGAAGAAGATAAAGGAAAAGAACTGTGGTAACAAATGATGGTAAGGTAATTCTTTAATAGAAGAAAATTCCAATGAAATTCCTTCAATACAATAATTCCCTTGCATAGAAACTATTTAGGACTTAATTTTCCCATTATATTTTTCTCCTTTGAGAAACTGCCAGTGATTTCAAACACAGTGATTAAGAACTCAATTGACAGAAGCCAAAAATCACATTAAAATCAAATAAAAATCAAACTTAACATTTAAATGATCAAAGGGAAGAACAATGGAAAAGAGATGCTTAACTGTAATCTGCAAGTATAATTAAGTTGGAATTATTTGGTCAAATATATTTACAAATGTCACAGAGAAAATGATCAATATAATTTCAAGAATTACATAATGGTTTAAATGTTTCAGAAACACAATTTTTAAAATTACTTTATAAAACATTCAACAGACTTATAAAATCTTCCATTATTAAATAAATGGCCATATATTTCTTCTTAAAAATAAAACCAAGTTTTGGAATTATGATCACTGTTTATGTCTGTATATATGTGTATATGTTCAAATCACTAACTTGCATGGTATATTAGCTTAAATAATTTTCTATAAAAAAAGAAATACATGACAAATGGTATCTGTTCAAGCTATATGAAAGGTTAATTTAGAAAAGTTTTTTTAAAAACAGTATCATAATGTTTACCTCATAGTGTTTGGGTTAAAGTCTATAGTGTTTCTAATAGTAATAATTTTTATAAAGTTATCTTTAAAGGTCCACAAAGTAGATTTCATGTGTTTCTATGCTAAGTTCTTTCCTGCAATTAATATGTGAAACTGGTTCCCAGAAAGGGTAAAAAGTTGTATATGTAACCACAAATTAATAAATACTGGAAAAGTCGACCTTCTCTGTTGATTATTTCAGAACAATGAATGAAGCTTTTTGTGGGGAACCTGCACATATTTTATTTTAAATGACAACCAAAAACACCCTAAAGCAGACCAGCTTGTTCTTTGAAGAGATAATGTGGCTTGCTTTTGTTGGCTTTGTTGAGGCAAAGCATCCACACTTTTTTATTTAGTCACTAGAATAACTATTATCAGGACATGATGGGTTTGTGATGGGAGCAAATGGTAACCTGAAATGTCCATGGACCTGGGGATTTTTATCCTCCCACAGTTAGTCGCTGCTGCTTATAACATCCACTGCAGGGTTAAACAATCCTATGTGAGATCTGCTTACCATTTGTATTTTTAAAACTGTTTTGAAAATTGTCATTATATAGCAGGAAATTAAATCCATGAATTTGCAACTCAAAAAAATGCAAAGGCTAGGCCGGGCACGGTGGCTCACATCTGTAATCCCAGCATTTTGGGAGGCTAAGGCAGACGGATCTCCTGAGGCCGGGAGTTTGAGACCAGCCTGACCAACATGGAGAAACTCTGTCTCTACTAAAAAAATACAAAATTAGCCGGGCGTGGTGGCGCGTGCCTGTAATCTCAGCTACTCGTGAGGCTGAGGCAGGAGAATCGCTTGAACCCAGGAGGTGGAGGTTGCGGTGAGCTGAGATCGCACCATTGCACTCCAGACAGGGCGACAAGAGCGAAACTCTGTCTCAAAAAAAAAAAAAAATATCTGGGGTCTTCGCATGAAGAAATACCTGTGTCCAGGAACCTTCCTCTTCTTGTATCCCTTAGCTCTCGAATAGCCCCCACAACAGGAGGCTCTTGAGAGTTGGTGGGCCCCCCACACTGGGCAATTCACACATGCATGCTTTCTTCACACTTCCAGGGAATCTCACCTGATTCTTTGGGGCTACAATGTGCCACACACAAGTGACTCCTGCAGGGTAATCCCGGTCTGGCCAGTTGGGGGTTTTAAAAGAGCCGGAAGGTCTGTCAAGGAGTCCTCCACAATACTGATCCCCTTCAAGTATTAAACAAGGAAAAAAGCCCACAAGTTTATGTAGGTTACAGCAATACAACCATGTGGAGATTAGGAATGTGGGATCTTTGGTGAGAGTACAGTAAATAAAGGCAACAGCAGAAGCGCTTACATTTTCTCTTAAACATATGGTTACATACATAACCCCCCAACACACACAATGAATGATCTTTGTTACCTGACATAGCATAGCAACACGAGAGAGGGGAGAAGTGGACTCAGGGCCTCTTTTCTTTTTTTTTCCTTAGACAAGGAAGACAAAACATTTGAATATGCACTCACTCAGAAAGCTTGCAGGCTCAAAAAATCATAGAGATGTTAAGGCTCCTCAAGGCATTGGTATTTAGTAAACACCCAGGGACAAAATTTGAATTAGTTGATATAGACAGCTCTCATTACTAGAAAACTTCCCATGATATATATATAATATGTATATAATATATATATGTTTTAAGAATAAATTTTGTTTGTAAAAATAATATTTACAAATTTTCAGCAATACAGAAAGGCACAAGGAAGGAAGCAAAAATATACCCCCAAATCCCCAGTTTTAGCCACCAAAAACTCATCAAAATTAATAGGTGACAAATATCATTTCAGGCATCTGTACTCATAAGTTGCATATGTACCTGTAGGTTGGCAGAAATAATGTAAGAATTATTTTAATACGAAGTTCTAAATTTAATTTTACTTGAATGTAAATAACAAATAAAAACTGAACTGAAACTAAAATAATTATACTTCAATGGAATATTTCTTTGACACAGAATATATCCAACCATTCTTAAATCAAACTTCTAAATTTAAGATAATGTATTATAAAAATGGAGGTTGGAATAATTTCTAAATCTCCATTTAATGAAAAATTTCAAGTATATACAAAGTAAGTAGAATAATATAATGACCTCCTACATATCCATTACCCAGTTACAATAATAGTCATCATTCTATTATTCTATCTATATTGCCACCCAATCCCCACGACCTGCTTCATTGTTTTTATTATTATTATTTTACAGGTTTTGGGGAGAGAAATTCACATACTCTGAAATGCACAAATCTTAGCTGTACAAATCTGAAAAATGGATATACCTGTGTAAACCACACTCCTATGATGATATAGAATCCATTTCCCACTAAATTTGTGCATCTCTTCCCATCCTGCCAGTTCTCTACACTACTTTTCTGAAAAACTTCCCATTAGATGAGTTTAATTTTAGAGCTCCATATAAATTTGTTTACCCATTCTCCTGCTGATGGGTGGTTTCTAGTCTGGACTATTGTGAATGAAGCTGCTATGAACAGTTTTGTACACATTTGTTTGTACATGTATCTTCATTTCTCTTATATAAATACCCAGGACTGCAACTGCTGGGCCAAGAGTCGATGTAAATATTTAACTTCATAAAAAACTACTGGAACTTTTCTCCAAGTGGTTTTACACCTCTCTCGAGTATGAACACTTCGGTTGCTTTACATCTTTGCTACCACTTGGTGGTGTCAGTTTTTCTAGCCAACATGGTGGGTAAGTAATGGCATCTCACTGTAATTTTAATTTGCATTTCCCTGATGACTAATGAGAGATACTGAGTAGTTTTTCATGCACTTATTGGCCATTCATATTTTCCTCTGTGAAGTGTCCAAGTGTTTTGCCAATTTTTATACTTACTGGAATCTTTACCTTTTTATCGTTGAGTTGTATGAGTTCTTTGTATATTCTGAATACAAGTTCTTCACCAGACATTTTTGTGAATATTTTCTCCCCTTCTGTAGGCTATTTGTATTTGTAACCATGTCTTTTTATAAGTATTAGTTTTAATTTTAATGAAGTTTTGTATTTTTCCTTTTACTTTCAACCAACTTGGTCTTTGTATTTCAAGTGCTTTCTTGTAGACAACATATAGTTGGGTCTGGCTTTTCAATCCATTCTAACAATAACTGTCTTCTAATCAGAGTATTTAATAATTTACATTTAATATATTTATTGATCTTCTTGGATTTAATGTGCCATTTACTACTTTTTTCTATTTGCTTTACCTTTCTTTTATTCCATCTGTTTTTCCTTATAGCCTTCTTTGGGTTAGTTGGATAATTTTAGTATTCTATTTTAATCTTTTGGCTTTTAGTGATAACTCCTGCATTTTTAATGGGTTCTCTAGGGATTATAATATGCATGTTTAAGTTATCAAAATTTACTTAGAGTTAATATTGTACTTCACGTGTTGTATATGTATGTGCAACAGTGTAATTACATTTATGTGTCCATCCTTTGGTTGTCAAACATATTACATCATACACTATATATTCCACAACACAGTGCTAAGGTTTTTTTGTTTTGAACAGATACATGTAAAGAAATTAAGAGAAGAAAAGAAAATAACATATACCCTTTTATATTTACTATTTCCAATGACCTTCATTCCTTCTGTTACTTTCATTTTACAAGGTCATTTACCTCAACCTGAGGAATTCTCTTCAATATTTCTACCAGTGTAAGTATAAAAATGCCTTTCAGAGATTTTTAGTGTTTATCTGAAAATGTCTTCATTTTACTTACATTCTTGAAGGCTGGCTATAGAATAGAGGTTGACAGTTTTATTCCAGCGCTTTAAAAATACTGTGACAGGCCAGGGGCGGTGGCTCACACCTGTAATCCTAACACTTTGGGAGGCCGAGGTGGGCAGATCAACCTGAGGTCAGGAGTTCGAAACCAGCCTGGCCAACATGGTGAAACACCGTCTCTACTAAAAATAGAAAAATTAGCCAGGCATGGTGGCGCATGCCTGTAATCCCAGCTGCTTGAGAGGTTGAGGCACAAAAATCGCTTGAACCTGGGAGGTGGAGGTTGCAGTGGGCCGAGATAGCACCACTGCACTCCAGCCTGGTCAACAAGAGTGAAACTCAGTCTCAAAAAAAATACTATGACACTGCCTTCTGGCTTCCAGTGTTTCTGAGGAAATGGAAGCCATCATTCTTATCACTCTTCTTCTGTATGGAATTTAGTTTCATCTGATTGATTTCAAGATTTTCTCTGTCTTTAAATTTCTGTAATTTAATTATAATGTGCATGGGGGTGCTTCATTTTTATTTGTCCTGTGGAGTTTGTTGACCCTCTTGACTCTATTTTTCTTATTTTCATTATTTATTTTTTAGATGGAATCTCGCTCTGTTGCCCAGGTTGGAGGGCAGTGGCGCAATCTCGGCTCCCTGCAACCTCTGCCTGCAGGTTCAAGCGATTCTCCTGCCTCGGCCTCCCGAGTAGCTGGGATTACATGAGTGCACCACCATGCCTGGCTAATTTTTTTGTATTTTTAGCAGAGACGGGGTGTCACCATGTTGGCCAGGCTGGTCTTGAACTCCTGATCTCAGGTGATCTGCCTGCCTTGGCCTCCCAAAGTGCTGGGATTACAGGCATGAGCCACTACGCTCAGCCCCTCTTGACTCTGTGAGTTGATATTTTTCACTGTATTTGAGCAGAGTCAAGTCATAATATCTTTAAATATTTTTTCACTTTATTATCACTTTCTGGGACAAAAATTACAGATGTTAGACCACTTGATATTGTCTCACTGGTTTCTCGAGCTCTTTTTCTTCAATCTTTTTCCTCCTTTTTCTTCAGATTGAGTAATTTCTATTTAAGTTCACTGACTCTTTTTTTCTGCCATCTCCCATCTACCTGTGAGTACAATAGGTAAATTTTAAAATTTCAGATCCTGTTTCTTTTATCTCTAGAATTATTAATTTATTTTTTAATAGTTCCTGTTTCTCTTCTGAGATTCTCAATTTGTTTATTTATTATGCACATATTTCCCTTTATAAATCCTGAAACAAACATGTAATAGCAGCTTTAAAGTACTTGTTTGCTAATTGCAACATGTGAGTTACCTTGAGATCAGTTCTTATTGACTGCTTTTGTCCTTGAATAGGGACACACTTTTCCTGTTTCATTACATAACTACAGACTGGACATTATGCATGATACATTATACTCTAGATTCTGTTGTGTTCTGATAAAAATAATTTTGTTCTAGCAGGCATTTAACTTGGCTAGACTCAAACTTAAAGTCTGTTTCCCTGGCAGCAGGCAGCAGCTGTAATCTCTTTTCAGTTCTTTCATTTTTCAGCTGATGCTTTTGTGCCAGGCCAACTGGGCTCTCCTCCACATATGTAGAGTTTAGCTGTCAGACAAAGATTTCAGTAGATTTTATACGAATATTTTGTGCCTCAATTCTGTAACTCCCTGCCTGGATTTCCTCCCCAACATTCTGGCTGCTCTTTCAGCCCCAGATTCTGTCCTCTGACCTTTCAAGTAAAAATGTTGCACTACAGTCCAATCCAAAAGCAGATTATGGACTGCTCTTGGGTAAAAGGCTGAAAACATACAAATATTGCCCACTGCAGTGATCTTTCAAAAGTAGAGATTTCTACGCTTGGGAGCTCACTATATCTCATATATCTGTGTGTGTGTATATATATATTTGTTGTTGTTTGAGACAGGGTCTCAACAACACCCAGGCTGCAGCACAGTGGCATGATCACGGTCACTGCAGCAGTGACCTCCCTGGGCTCAGGTGATTCTCCTACCTCAGCCTCCCAAGTAGCTGGGACAACAGGTGTGTGCCACCACACCCAGATAATTTTTGTATTTTTTGTAGAGATGGGGTTTCACCATTTTGCCCAGGCTGGTCTTGAATTTCTGAGCTCAAGAGATCCACCTGCCCTTGGTCCCCCAGTGTTGGGATTACAGGCATGAGCCACCATGCCTGGGCTCCACTTTTATTTTTTAAAAGCTATTGTATAAGTACTCAAATAAAAGCAAGCACACATAGAAAGGTATGGGAACCACTGGCCATGGCTATTTCTGGAGAATGGACTATGGAGTGGTGAAGGGGTGTGTTTGCATATTTGCATGTGTGCTTATGTATGTAAGCTCCACATTTTTACTCTATGAATTTCTATACTTGATTTACAAGAATGCATGTGGACTTAAATTAAAAGGCTGATTTTTTGTATTGGTCTCATCATGGTTTGATGGCATTCACTAGCTCTTTGAGAACCACTCTTAAGCTTTAAAGGAGTAAATAAACATCAAGTGCCAAGAACAGTGAACCAACATTACTGTTGTTATTGCCATTATGTGGAAACAGTACCTCTTTCGTTTGGTTCAGCAGCGGAGAACATGGCCATGAAGCCATTGCCAGCTGTGTTGGCATCAGAAATCATCTGCACCATCATCTTGTTGCCACTGGACACAAGGGCTCCAGGCCGGAAAGTGCCACAGAAGCGGCCAATGCGCTGGCCATTGGCATGGCCATTGTACACATCCACAAAGTCATAGCGGCACAGGTTGTCACTCTCGAGGTCTATGAATCGGAAATTGAGAACGACTACTTTTCCTTCGGGAACCTGCCAAGAAAAGCGCCAATTAGAAAACTGTCATGAAAACAATATCTGAGGCTTTGACATCTAGTCACTTACTTAAGTGTGTAAAGTATAATATCCAAGATAATGCTTTTTCCTCTCTCATATCTGAACTAACCCAAGGGAAGTTTTCTAGCATATTGCATTCCTAAAAAATTTAAGTACTTATTTTCTTTTGACAAATTCTGCAATTCTCCAGGATTCACAATCTTATTCCTTAAGAACTTACCTCAACAAAGCTGCAAAATATTAGGTCAGTATTATTAATAGATGAGTCATTGCTTAGAATGAATACCAGTCCTGATTGGACCTTAGCATATATTTGCATATTCTAATACCTAGAGATATTGCTTAGCAAAGAAACATTTAAAAATATCATTTCTTGGCCAGGCACAGTGGCTCACATCTGTAATCCCAGCACTTTGGGAGGCCGAGGTGGGCGGATCACAAGGTCAGGAGATCGAGACCATCCTGGCTAACACAGTGAAACCCCGTCTCTACTAAAAATACAAAAGATTAGCCGGGTGTGGTGGGGGGCGCCTGTAGTCCCAGCTACTCGGGAGGCTGAGGCAGGAGAATGGCGTGAACCCGGGAGGCGGAGCTTGCAGTGAGCCGAGATCGCGCCACTGCACTCCAGCCTGGGTGACAGAGCGAGACTCCACCTCAAAAAAAAAAAAATCATTTCTTACAAATAATACAGTAGGACGCATTCAATGCCTGTGTATAGAATGTTTCTATGAAGTTCAAAATAGAGGATTTATTTGGCAATTGTGTAGTTAATTTACAGATAATTCATTTTGGGTCCTGAAACATCCAGATGAACTACCGATACTGACTAAATGAACTGAGTAATTGCTGAATCATCTCTTCTGAATGTCACTAAGTTTTTTGCTCATTTGTTTTCCAGGTGAAGACTTTATATGTCAGGAAGCCTTGAGACACAATGCGCTAATGAAGAAAAAGATAAGCTTTCATTTTATCATAATATTTTATTCATCATAATTTCCCCATAAAATTCTTAATGATGGTTCCTTCCTTATTCCCTGAGTAGGTAGAAAAAATGGCTATAAAAGCATTTGGTAGGATTCTCAGGTTACCAAAGCCCCATTTCTTTCCCAGTTCATACCACCTTTTAATTTCTTCATTCAAGTTGTTCAGTCATAAAGTCTTGATCATAATTGTTTTACTCCTTTAATCAGATGAGGTCTCCACTGAATAGTGGAGAATTCCATTCTGTAAAAACTTACATATAACAAAACTCAGTGATTAAAAAAATCAAACACACACAATCAAAAGTGGTTGGTTTATATTCATCTTAATTAACTATTTCAGACTCAAGGGTCAATAGATGCTTTGACATTAATACGGCTTCCCCATGTTGGTAAGTACAGTGCCATACGTTTTATTTTCCTATGGTAAGATGAAGTGTTTTCAGTGCTATTTGCTTTTTGTGTCAAACACATCTACACTTCATCGTAGAAATTATAATGGCGTAGTTCCCAAAAGGGACATGTTTGGATTTGCCATCGTTGCATTCTAATTCCTAGAAGCTTGTCTCAGTGGTGTGAATATCAGAGTTCCAAAGAACTTAGAACAGCTTAAGAAGCTAATAACAGAAAGAACAATTTAAATTTTAAACATTATCACCAAGATGTCTGTTGTAAAACTTCCTGTCTTTTGCTTTGTTTTTTGTTTTGCACACAACCTCTATTTGTACAATAATCAGAAAGTTATCAAAATATGATGCCACATCTGTAATCTTAAATATAAGCAGGCTCTCTATGAATCACCGAAAAAGTCCTAGCCATGAAAAGAATCTCAAACTAATTTGTTTTTTTCCTGCATGAATAGTGACTATTTGTATAAATGTATAGAGGGTAATTCAAAGCTACGAAACTTGATGAAGTCACTCCCAGAGTGAATGTGGATAGAAAAAGGAAGAGGTCTAAGTATAGAGGCCTGGAACACTCCAATGTCATCAAGTCTGTGAAGAGGTCAAACCACAATAGAGACTGAGTCAACAAGTAGGAGGCAACCAAAGTGTGTGGCGTCTGGAAGCCAGGCGAAGAGAGTATGTCAAGGAGGAATGAATGGGCAACTGAGTTAAGTGCTGCTGCTGAGAAAGACCAGTGGATTTAGCAACACAGAAGTTTAGCAACCAGAAGTCACTGGTAATGCTGACAAAGCTGTTCTGGTGGCACCATGGGGAGAAAACTGGATAAAAGGATCATGAGAAAATGGGGTGAGAGGAAATGGTGACAATAAATATAAACAAGCTTTTCAAGGAGTTTTGCTGTGAAGATGAACAGAATAATATGGGGGTAAGGAAGGGGATATGGGGTCTAAGCAGAGTTTTTGCAATGGGTGTTTCCTAAGGCATGTTTGCATGCTGATGGGAAGGATTCTGTAGAGAGGGCAAAACTGATGAAGCAAGAGAGAGGGAGGATTGCTTAACAGATGTCCTTGAGCAGGCAAAGGGGGATCTGATCTACAGAAGGAACAGCTGGTGGAGTTGGCCTTAGTAGGAGCAGGGACAGTTTTGCCCAATGACAGAAGGGAAGACAGATGTAGGTAGGTCAGTAAATGAGGTGGTGAAAGCATATATAGAATTTTTTTTCTGGATTGCTTTTCTTAGTAAAATAGAAAACAAGGTCATCAGCAGCAAATGTGGAAGAGAGAGGCACTACTGGGAATCTGATAACAGAAGAGAAAGTGAGGAAATGGATTAATGAAATGCAGCAGGAGTACCAGGACTGCTGGGGTCCACTTGAAGTAAATGAATTAAAATTAAGACCTCTCTGCATGGTGGCGATATTTGTTTTTGTTTGTTCGTGGTCTTCTTCCCCAGCCACATTCAGCTCCGTGGGCAAAGGTACAGGGCAGGTGGAGAGTTGGATATAAGCAGTAGGGGAGAGTGGTGAGGTTTGCCAAGGGAGGATATGGCAGGAGAGAAGGACAAGAGAGTTGAAGACATAGGCAAGGGAGTGACCATGATGATGTGCTGTGGAATCCAAACTGGGTTAGGATGGAAATCAGGACGCTGTGGGGTGAGGACAGTAACAACCAAGACTGTGGTGGAGTAAGGACAAAATAACAGTGGAAGTGGGAGGCTGAGGAACTATGGAGGATAAGTTATTTGGCGGAGAAGAGGTTAAAGACCTGAGAAGATCACCCATATAGATATTGAAATTACAGTTGATTAGGACAAGGAAGAGTGTTGAAGACAGTGACAGTGAACCAGGAGTTAAAATTTGCAAGAAGCGAGGAAGACTGTCCAGGAGGCTTTTAGATTATTTCATCAAGGAGAGGAATAGGGAGGTATAATCATGTTTCATTGGCAGGTTCTTGGTTCTCTGACACTACGTAGACAATTCTGTTGACTCTCTCCTGTAGAGAGGTGTTGAAATTAACTACAGGACTTGGATGCTCATTCCCAATAAAATAAATCATTTGTTCCCAAAAGTTTTGTACCTGTTCCCATGGCAATGAAAATTTGAGAATGAGACACAAATATGATCAGCAATAGAAACTGGGTTACATCATTGCAATTTTGAACACATGCTGACCCGAACAACCCCGACAAAGCTTCTTTTGAAAGAAGGATGCAGAGGTGATCTGTACCAGTGTAAGTCTCCTATAACCAGAGACAAATGTCATCTTGCACTGAAGGCCAGAGAGAAATTCTATTGCAAATGAGAAGCATACTGCTGTGAGCCTTTTCAGTATGACACAACATCCGTTCTTCATTTTTTATATGAGTGATCAAGATTGTCTGATGCCCTCTGATGCAAGCTTTGATAAGAGCTCCTGATTGTCATTATAAAGGACTTTAGAGAGCATATTCTCCGAAGATGGCCTTTCCACTTGGAGAATCTAGTCTGTATCCTTGAATTTTCTTTGTTAAGAATAGAAAAAAAATAAAAAAATAAAAAATACAGAAAGATACACAGAATAATATAACACCTGGATACCAACCACGAAATTGACTTTTGTTAACATTTTGTTAATAGATTTTTAAAGTCTCCTTTAATGAAGTAAATAAAACATTTCAGATAAAAATGAGATTTCCTTTGTCTTCATCCCAGGCCCCATTTCCTCCTCCTTCCTCAGAAGCAACCACTGTTACAAATTTAGTGGGTTTCCTTCCATGCTGATCAAAATGTGTGTGTGTGTGTGTGTGTGTGTGTATTTATATATATTTATGTATGTGTGTATATACATATACACACATAAGTATTTATGTATATGTGTATATAATATATATTTTAATATATATTATATATATGTAACCATGCAAAATGCACAGTGACTTTTTGTGTTGTTTTAAAAATTAACAAAAATGGTGCCAGGCTCATGCTTGTAATCTTAATACTTTGGGAGGCCGAGGCAGGAGGATTGCTTGAGTCCAGGAGTTAAAGACCAGCCTGGGCAACATAGGGAGATCGTGTCTCTACAAAAAATTTTAAAAATTAGCTGGATGTGGTGGTGCATGCCTGTAGTCCCAGCTACTTAGGAGGCTGACGTGTGAGGATTACTTGAGCCTGGGACATCAAAGCTCCAATGAGCCATGATCACACTGTACTCTAGCCTGGAGAATAGAGAGAGACCCTGTTTAAAAAAAAAAAAAAAAGGGAAAATGGGATAATGTTTACATATCACTCCACAACCTGGGCATCCTTGAATTTTCTGGCTGAGGAAGAAGAGAAGAAGGAAAAATAAAAATACATAGGACCTTCACAAGCTATTCCTTCTACCTGGAACATGTTCCCACTTCTGCCCTTCTCTCACTCATGCTTAGGGTCTCAGTTTCAAGGTCACTCCCTCCTGGAGACATGCCTAAACACCCCCAAACCCGAAGGTGGGCTCTGTCCAATTAGCAGTGCTCCCCTCAGGTCTGTGAGCATGGGATGGCTCAGCCCACTCACTGCATGTTATAAAGCTCAACCTCGAGGGGGCAAGGATCCTTCCTGCCTTGTTCACTGTTGCATCCCCAGGATCTGGCATGGCCCCAAGTTAAAGCTTAACATCAAAAATATTTGTTAAATGAATAATCCATTAGGTACTCAATGAATCACCGGCCTCCTTGCACAAATCACAGACAATATACCTACTGCTGGCTCCACCTTTTTCATTCTAATATTTCCTACCTTGCCTGGCAGCAGAGCTCCAAAAGGCCACTCTCTTTTCTAAGCCATTCTTTGCAAAAAGCAGATGCATATCTTTTTGGAAACTTTATATTTCAAATCTCCTGTAAATGCTAACACTTAATGCAGAAACTCAAGGTGCTTTTTTGGTGGCAAATAGATGAAGCTACTGTTTTGTGAGATTATATTGATTTGGGGATTCATTATCTGCCTGCAGAAAAACAATTCGACGTTTGTGTTTTTTCCTATCAACAGCAAAGTCCCGTGTGGGCCAAAGCGTAGAGCTTCCACAGTGACCTCAACTCACCCCACAGCTCCTGGGATGTCCTCACTGTCACAAGCAAACGTGCCAAAGCTCTCGATGCCGGGGCTCCTGCCAGAGGACAGAGGAACTGCATTTTAAGCTGATGGTTTGCATTTTTAGGATACTATGAGCAAAATGCAAACAGGAGGCCAGCTTCTTCTGTGTGGAGGAGTGCATTTCTGCAGAAATGGGAATGCTCCTTTGTGTCTGCAGCTTTTCCTCCCTAAACACATCATTTACTACTTTGATCAAAAAGAACTGTTTTTGCAGCACGTGATTTTTTTTTAAGCCATCATTCTAATCTTCTACGATTTCCCTCTTCCACAAACAAACCTTTGGGAACGTGCATTCTAAAATGCAGACCACAGTTGATCTACGTAAAGCTCGAGGCACAGTTGATCTACGTAAAGCTCGAGGTGACCACTCAGTGTCACCTCTCCCATGGACCTCCAAAGGTAGTCCAGAAAGATCTATAGACAAATTATGTAAAAATATTTGGCAGTCTTTCTAGAGGGGGATAAATCAGAAGCTTACAAGATCTTATTCATCTATATTCTGGGTATATTTCAATACTACTCTTGTAAAGGTAAATCTTATACATGTTTAAAAAATAAAACATATTTTGATTGTAGAAATAACGAGATGTTTTGAACATTTTCTTTTGTTTTTGGGGATTTCACTAAAAAAACTTTACCCCTGGATGTCTAGAAGGGGCGTGGAAACTCCCATCCACCTTGGGCCCAGCCTGAAGACACCAGTGGAGATAACCCCCGAAAACCACCCAAAACTTTCCCACTGCACTTAGAATAAAATCTTCACCTTAATTATAGTTCACACACTTAGTGAACATCAGGTGCCAGGTATTTTTCTATGCACTATATACGTATCATTTCATTTAATCCCTTACAGCAACCCTATGAAGTTGATATTATTATTGGCCCAACTTTATAGTTTACAGATGAAGAAACTGAGGCACAGAGAGGTTAAGACACTGCATGATATATCCCCTTATCTCTCATCTTTCTCCTTCAAGCAACAACTTGGCTGTCATGCCACTTTTCTGTTCAAGGAGCCCTCCGAGCTGGTTCCCACCTAAGGGCCTTTGCACAGCCTGGTCCTCTGCCTGGCACAGCCTTCTCCCTGATATACACGGGTCTCACTCCACCTCATCATCTAGGTCAGCTCAAGAGTCACTGTTTCAGAGAAGCCTATCCTGAGCACCCCTGGTCACTTAGATCACACAGCCCTCTTATTTCTTCACAGATTATTTATCATCTGTCTCACTATCAGAATGTAAGCTACAGAGAACAGTTGGTCTGTGGGTCTACAGTTTGTCCAATGCTTTGGCTACTATGAGTACTCAGAAAATATTCATTGAATAAATGACTGCGATCCTTATAATCTTAAAATAATAGTGCAGGCCATGACTCCTATTACTAGCACATACTTTTATATAAAAATGTAAACTCACAAGTACAGGGCAAGTATTATTAAGATCCTTACGGGGAGGAAGAAATGGCTGACAGCGGTTATGATGACTTGCCTAAGGCCACCCAGAAAGACAATGGCAGAACTCAGGTCACCAGACTTCCACCTTGCTGTGTTTTTCCATGACCTGACTGTGGCAGAGGCTGAGGAGATGCTCCCAAACCTTGTTTCTTCTCAGGTCACACATGGAGTCGACATTTCCCAGCCTCTCTTGCAGTTAAGTTGGGGCCATGAGTCTGGGTCCTGGTCAATGGAATGTAGATGAAAGTGATGCACCCATTACCTCCAGGCCTAGCCATAAGACACCCAGTGCAATCCTTTTGGAGTTCTCTTTTTGCTCTAAGGAGGGGATTCAGTAGAAGAAAAGTGGAGGTGTTGGAAGACAGCAGAGCCACACAGGAGAAGAGAGAGCTGCCCAGAACAGCCCTCCCACTGCACTGGACGGTGAAGGGAACAAGAAACAGCCATTTATTGGGTTAGGCCACTGAGACTGGGGAAGTTGTTTGTTAGAGCAGTTTTGCACTTTGTGTTAATTACCCTGATTAACAAATGGATAGTGACATTCACCAGGTGTCCTTACCCAGCACCTCTGTGGCAGGTAACTGTATAGACACCTTTGTTGTTTGGGGTTCCTACAGGCTCTCTAGGAATCAACAGTGTGACGTGGCCACCAAGCAAGCCAACACAGGCTGTGTGAATAGTAAGGGAGACATCAGCTTTGCCTAACTGTATACTGCTTGGAGTACCATGGGCTGAATTCAGGTCAAAGCACCTCACTTTCGAGTAGACGTAGATGATTTGGAGCAACCACAAAGGGGAGAAAATTCAGAATCATCGAGGCACATACTGTAATTTCCATGGCCTCTGCAAAAGTGTAACTAGGCCCTCGAGCCCCTGTTATCACCTCTGAGTTATCACCGCTGAGTCCTTTACCTGTGGCTGGTCAGTTGGGGTGAGAGGCAACCAGCAGCCACTAGTACTTCTTAAGCTGAATGAAGACTTGGCTACAAAACGAACAAGACAGGACTTCAGGTTATGCCTCTTGTGCAAATGCTGCCTAAGCATGAAGATGTTCGAAAGATCCCAGCTGCGAACAGGCCCTTCGGCATTGGGAGGGTGTTCAGACTGAAGTCTGCCAAGTGGAAAGGCAAATGGGAAAAACGTGAAGGGACAACAAAGCCGAACCCACAGAAGCAGGAAGGCTAAGGTAGATGCAGCAGGATGAGGAGACAGGCAATCGTGCCAAGAGCTGTCGCATTAGGTTTTGGCTGGGGAAAGAGATAACGTTGAAAACGAAGAGTATTCCTTTTCACAGACATTTGTCTTGCAGTTTTCCTTTGGCCAGTGATACCCTGAGATCCTACTGTGGACATAAGTGGTGGCAAATCTTCTGAGCAAGTTATACATTCCTCATCCATGTTCTTGAGAAAACTGGAAATTCACTACTCAGTTTTTCTCTAAACAGGAGCTTTTTTTTTTTTTTTTAGCCATTTGCTCCTGAAAGGGTTTACAGCAAAAATTTTTAAAAAGCATTACCAAATAATAAGATAAAGAGCTGTGGATACACACGGAGCAATAAATTTCAGAAACACTCTAGGCAAGAGCATCCAGGATATTCTATATACTCTATAGTAAGTAAGAGTCTCCATTTCCCAATCTATCGTATGTGTGCAATGAACCTGTACTTTCCCATGCTTCCTACTGAACCAGCTGGTGCGAGCCTGGTGCTTCGGGTGCCTTACCAGGTCTGGCATCAACCACAGCACTGGCACCTCCTGTGGCTGCGAGGAGCAGCAGCAGCAAATGCTTGGAGACTGGAAGGAGTAAATAGCACCTAGTGGCTGAAGCCCAAGCTGTTTCATGTGATCAGTGTGTGTCCTGCCTGCTGTCCTTGAAAGCTGTTAGTTGTGTCAGGAAAGGGTTTGGAAAGGAGAGACAGGTTATCACTGGTTGTCTTTCACATTTAGCCATGTGTTCAAGGAGAACTCCGGGCACTGCATACATGCATGATACACTTCTAGACAAGACCACGGCAAAAGATGGAAGTACTAAGTGAAGCTCTACCAAGCCCATCCTAGATTATTTTAAAGCAACTATTAAGAGTAATATTTCTAAAGTCCTTAAAATGACTATAAAAAAGGGAAAAAAGGTAATATTTCTTTTAAAACAATGAAAAAATCCATGACAAACTGTAAATCATATGTGATGCCCTGGATGACAGGTACACATCAGAACTGTCCAGGACAAATGTGGACACAGGGCCACCCTGGCCTTAGAACATCTAGGCCTCTCCTCTAATGTTTGAAGCTGCCTTGCTGAATCCCAACAACCACAGGTTGAATGAATGAACAGCTGTTGAAGGAATAAAAGAATGAAAGAATAACAGAGGAGCTTCCTATTACCTGCAGAATGAAGTCCAAACTCCTCAGAATCATAGGGTACTGGGCCCACCCCAGGCTAACATTCTGGCCTCATCTACCCCCCAGCCATTTGTGTCTTGGGTATCATTCTGTCCATCCTCAAACACACCTGGCCCCTTTCCTTTCCCACCTCTGTGAGGTCGTATGTAAATTCCCTGCCTGGAATATTCTTTCTTCCCTTCCCAGACTATTGACTTCCACTCCAATTTCAAAGTTGGGGCCAAATACACCTTCTCGAGGAACTCATCCTCTCCCATCCAATTCCTAGACCTGGGGGGATGTTATCTTCCCTCTTTCACCTCCCAGAGCCAGAGCCCACTGTTCCCTCTCCCCTTTGGTGCCTCCTCGGCATCCACAGGTCTCACAGGTGTCTGCAGTGTGCACCTGGCCTTGCAGCTGACTGTGAACCTTGCACAGACAGGAGTGTTCTAGTCATCTTTGTCTGAGTAATTGAACCCACATGCACCTGGCAGCCAGGCATCCAAAAAGCACAATGCAGGTGAAGATGGAGATGGAAAAAAAGTTTCCTATCTTCATATATTTTGGTCTCAGATCTGTGAATAGTTTCGGGATTTTCTTTGCTATTTATTTGTTTTGCAAATCAACAAGTATTAATCAACTACCAGCTGCTGGCACAGCAACATACACACACACATGCGCACACATATATGTGCGTGCGTGTGTGTGCGTGTGTATATCAAACTAGGATAAAACATAAACTCCAAGGGTTCATGTGACCCAGAAGCTGGCAGTGCCTCCCTGGGGTAAGTGGGGGGGTCCCACTAAGACATGTGAGAGATGGCACCAACAGTTTGTTCATATGCCCGTCCCAAGCAGTCTGCTTTGTTATATTCCCTCAGTCCATGTATACAGGATTTTGTGTGTGTGTGTATGTGTGTGTGTGTGTGTGTAAGAGAGAGACAGAGCGAGAGATAGGGTCTTGCCCTGTCACCCAGCCAATTTCTTTACACCTTTGAAAACTGAAACAAAGTACTTAAGTCATTTTAGGGCATTCTTTCAATTCTCCGGAAGTTGTCAACATAAATTAATCCAGAAGATAGACATGATAGGTGGAGATTCCTGGAGAAAAAGCATCCCCAGGCTAAACCACTAGTACATATTGTCTGGCAGATATTCTTAAAGGTAACAGAGATAAAAGCTGAGGGAGACCTTTCCCATTATAGCTAGGAGCCTTTTTGTCATACAACACCCATGTTTTCTTCTTTTTTTTTTTTTAGAGACAGAGTCTGACTCTGTCGCCCAGGCTAGAGTGCAGTGGCATGATCTCAGCTCATTGCAACCTCCTCCTCCTGGGTTCAAATGATTCTCCTGCCTCAGCCTCCCAAGTAGGTGGGACTACAGGTGCCCACTATCATGACCAGCTAATTTTTGTATTTTTAGTGGAGACGGGGTTTCACCATATTGGTCAGGCTGGTCTCGAACTCCTGACCTCAGGTGATCCACCCACCTCAGCTTCACAAAGTGCTGAGATTACAGGCATGAGCCAGCACACCTGGCCCATGTTTTCTTCTCAATGACACATGAATATATATATATATTTTCAAAAACATTTATAGGACAGAACTGACTTCTATGCAATAATCTAAGAAACAAATCTGAAATATTTTCAAGAAAATATCTCCATAATCTGGAATTTCATCTGATAAGTCTTTTATGGGTCAGGAACACAAAATTACACTAATTTTTTCTTTTCTTTCTTGTTTTTTTTTTTTGAGACGAAGTCTCTCTGTGTCATTCAGGCTGGAGTGTGGAGTACAGTGGCGTGATATCGGCTCACTGCAACCTCTGCCTCCCAGGTTCAAGCGATTCCCCTGCCTCAGCCTCCTGAGTAGCTGGGACTACAGGCACACGCCACCACACCTGGCTAATTTTTTGTATTTTTAGTAGAAACAGGGTTTCACCATGTTGGCCAGGGTGCTCTGATCCACCTGTCTTGGCCTCCCAAAGTGCTGGGATTACAGGCATGAGCCACTGCGCCCAGCTATACTGATATTTTATTAGGAATGAAACAAAAAGCCCTTCCCTTCTGGGATAAGAGAAATCAGAGTAAAGAAGAAAGCACATTTAAAACAGAACAGATGTATATGTGAGCATCCAATGTTCTCTTAAATGAGTAAAAGACAGGCTTTACATGGTAGCATTAAATTGCTACAAAAGAGAACAAATTGTTTTTAAATCCAATTATTATATTAAAAAGTATGTGCATAGTTTACAATATAAAAGTATGTCCATAGTTTTTAACAGCAATGGGAAATAAGTCCTTGCCCTCTTCCTGCCCCTGACAGCCACTCCTCAGAAGCAACCAGTGTAATTCTTTCAGACAGTTTGCGTGAAATTTATTTCCTTGTTGCTTAATATATTATATGCTTATGCTGCTACTTCTTGACTTAGCCCTTTTAAACTTCACCTCTTTGCTTCCTGTTATTCCCCCTATTCCTCTGTCAAAAATTCTGGTTAAATCCATATTCAAGATTTTCATGACTACAGCCACATGAATATTAAATTTTTCACTGCTGGGCTAATATTTTTTTTCATTTTTCCTAAAGCTAATAATTGCCTTTTTGTTGTTGTTGTTGTTGTTGTTGTTTTGTTTGATTGCAATGTCGCGATCTCGGCTCACTGCAACCTCTGCCTCCCAAGCTCAAGCTATTCTCCTGCCTCAGCCCCCCAAGTAGCTGGGATTACAGGCGCCCACCACCACGCCCAGCTAATTTTGTACTTTTACTAGAGACAAGGTTTCACCATGTTGGTCAGGCTGGTCTCAAACTCCTGACCTCAACTGATCCGCCTGTCTCGGCCTCCCAAAGTGCTAGGATTATAGGTGTGAGCCACCACTCCCGGCCCATGCCTTGTTCTTTAAGTTAGCTTAGTTTTCTATGTGCCTATCACTAAAACCCCTCTCAATACCGGCCAGGCACCAGTATTCTATCAAGCTCCATTCTCTTCTTGGAAACACCCATTCTGGAGCTCTCCTTCCTCCTGCCCACCCTCTATCCAGTCTGGACTGGTCACTCTCAAGGCCTGCAGCACAGCTGTGGGCTGGGACTTCACTTCTTCACCAATTCAGGAACCCCCATTCCCAGGGCTTCTAGGTCATTTTCCTTGCTTGTTTTATTCCCTCATTTTTCTGGAGATCATCCTCCTTTAGTTTTCTTACCAAAGGTGTACAGAGATTAAAAGTTTCAGATAGTACACCTCTGAAAATGTCTTTATTATTCTGTACTCAACACTTGTCTGCCAGTTTGGCAAGGTACAGAATTGTAGCTTTAAATGGTTTTCTCAGAACGCTAAAGGCTTTGCTCCACTGCCTTCTAGCTTCCAGCAATAGGCTGATGCTGTTCTTTCCCCTTCTATGTGACTGTCCTCCTCTGCAGAGAGTTGTAGGATTTTTGTGAGTAAATTTAACAAAGATGCACCTTGGTGTTTATCTTTCTTCATTCATTTGTGCTGAGTGTTATTTCTTTGATAACTCCCTCCTCTCCAAATTCCCTGTTCTTTCTTTTTAGAACTCTCGTTAGTCAGACTTGGACTTCCCTGACAGGATTCTCTAATTTTCTTATCTTTTCTCTTCAATACTCTACCTCTTATTTTGTTCTACCTGCTGAGTGTCAAGTTTAGCCCTGATACTAATTTTTTTATCTCTATTATCAAGTTTTAAATTTCCAACAGTGTTTTTCTTGTTGTTTCCTTTGTTTTTAGTATCCTGCTTTGATTTTATGTGCACAGTGTCTTTTCACATCTCCCTGAGGACGATAATGATTATTATTTTGACATTTTCTTCTGCTCTGCACTGTTTCTGTTGCCTTGGAGTTTTTGTTTCCCTCGGTTTGGGCTCTGCCTTTTCATGTAAGAGGCTTTCCTCAAATGTCTAGTAATCCCCAACTGGCTGTTCACATTCAGAACTGAGGTGAGGCTGACTGGAAGCTCTGTGGCAGGGCTTGTCACCAGTGTGATGGGGACGAGCTGGCTTTTGCCTTGGGCCTCCCAAATGTCAGTATCTGGATAGAGGTCCTTTCTCAAGGGCTGTTCATTTTCTCTAAGATTGTTCCATGCCTCGCCTGAGGTGTAAAGACCTTGCTGCAGCTTTCATCGGAGGAGCAGGGAAAGAGGTGGGGCCGGGGTCTCACCATTCTAGTACACAGACTGTAATTACCCTGTTTTCAGTGCCACACCTGGGCCTGACCTCTTCTGCTAGGCTTGCAGTTCTGAAGCCCAGAACCCCTGTGGTTCCCAGAGCATACTCCCTGCCAGGCTGGAGGGAGAAGGTGGGGAGGTAGAAGAGAGACAGCACCCTTGCTGCTGGAGGTGGAGGAGGGAACCTGTAGGGTTAACCGCTCTTACAGAGGCCTTCAAACAGAACTCCAACTTCTAACCTCATCTGCCCTCCTGCCTTCCAAGAAACCAGGTGCCTCCAGCTCCAGAGCCTTTCTAGAATTCTGTGGCACAAATCGGCTTGTTTCCTACTGACACCTCCCTTCTCCTCTGGCAGGGGAGTGTTCGTTCTCTCTCTTCTGTTAATTCAGTCACCACTGACCATCTGCTTTCTTATCTTCCAAAATCTTGTTGGTATCTCTCATGTACTATTAATTCTGTTCCAATTCCATTTTTCCTGTGAGTTTAAACTTTTCAATTCCCTTACTGTAATTTTGGTGGGAAGAGAAATACTGAAATAAATGCTTAAATACATAAATAAATGCTTAATTCATCAGGTTTCACGAGAAGCCACTGAGGTGATCTTTATTAGGACATAATAAGAATGATAGATGCTGTATTTGTAGGTTATCTAGAAGACAATGTCATGTATAACATTATAAAATAATGTATAAGAGTATATTTTTAAAATGGAACCCAGATCTGTTAAGCACCTATCAAATATCCAGAGAACTCCAAAGGACTGAAAGACAGCTATACTACCATCTGTAATGGCTTTATACTATTCTAATGTACACTTGCACCATCATTTATACAAGAAATCTCAAATTTTTCTAAATTTAGCATGTTTCCAAATTTTCATTAATATAAATAATGCTATTATAAACATAATTATAAAAATATTCTTGTGCTTAAGGGAATATTTTTATAGGACAAATTCCTAGAAATGGACCTGCTAAATCAAGGAGTTGGGCATTTTAGATGATTACAGAATATACCCCAAGAAAAGTTGTATTAGTTCCCATTTTTCACACCTTCTCCTACGCTGGATGCCTATCAATACTTATCAGTCTGGCAGGCAAAAAAAAAAAAAAAAAAAAAAAGACACCATTGTTGTTTTAATTTCACAGCAGGCATTTGCATGGGAAAGCTTGGTTCACTTAATGTGGCAGAGGCCAGATGTCTGACAGCAGGTAAAAAACAAAAAAACAAAAAACATTGAAGATAGCTTCAGGGTTTCAAGCCCTGCAGGTACCATCCACAATACAAAGGCAGTAAGGAGAGAAAGGTTTGATGTTGTTTTGCTTTAGAAAGAAGTAGGGCAGAGGGACAGAGGGTGTCATAAGTTTGCTTTTGAACATGTCAGGTTAAGATATTTGAGCTGAATGTTGCAATATCATAAGGCAGTTAGAATGATGGTTTCAGGGGAAAAACATTTCAAAAGGTCCAGTTCTCTCAGGAAAGAGGACATTTGATCAGATAGATGGGACATGGAAAAACTTTTACAAGAGAAAACAACGTCTGAGGCCACAGACGACTGTCTTACTCTAGCCAGATGGCTCACAAATGTGTAGCCTCAAATAGCGCGTAAGAGAGGAAGAGGGTGTGGGAAGGGCTCAGAGGTGCCAGAAGCAACAACCCGAGGGCACATCCTTGGGATGGTGGTTAGGTGCATCAACAGAGGAGGCACTTTCATTATTTCCACACCGTGTGCCCAAGCCTCCCAACAACCTAGCTAACTTTGCTTATAAATTCTTTTCAAACTAAATTCTTTTCCACTTAGACTCCACCAAACACAAAGCTTTTTAAAAAATGTAAATTAAATTAAAAACAAAACAAAAGTGGATAAACTAGCATGCTATTTAAGAAAAACCTCATGATTCCTGGAGAAGAGTTTAGTCAGCAGAAGAAAAGACAGTGAATCATTTTGCTCAGATGGTGTGGCATTTAAATTAAATGTTCTGTGACGACGACACATTTAAGAAAAAAAAAATCATAAAAACAAGACACTAGTAGACAAGGAAAAGAAGACTGGGGAGCGTCTCAGAAAGAACTTACTAGTCCAGACTGCGTGAAACTGGCACAGATGGCTTGAAAGTTATAGCAGGGTGGGGGTAATTACGTTCAAACATGCCTGGTACTTCCTGCATGGCGACCTGGTATACTGCAAAGCTTAGGGTTATTCATAAAATGAGAATACCCAAGTTTCACCAAGCACCTTTTCCTCAAAGCCCTCAGCTGTCTGAAGAGATGGCTGATGTTGATGAGAAGCACTTATGCTGTGGTTTTTCAATTCAAGGAGAAGCTGATTCTTAAAATTGAGAGTCTTCGAATGCCATATAGAGCAGTTCTGCTTTTATCATTTCTCACTTGGCCACAAGTTTCAGGCCAGGGTCCTGGTAGTTCCTTGATATTTCAGACCCAGTTCAGGTCAGAGTTTTTCAATCATAAAACACTTTTTTCCTTAAAAAAACAAAACAACACAACTTATCAAGGTATGATTTACAAACCATAATAACCCACTCATTTTAAAGTGTACATTTCAACGATTCTTAGAAAATGTATGGAGTTGTGCAACCATCACTACAATCCAATTTCAGAATATTTCCATCACTCCAAAAAGATTTCTCATGCCCATCTGCAGTCACTGCTCATTCCCACCCACAGCCTCAAGCAAGCACTGATCTACTTCCTGTCTCTATAGACTTGCCTTTTCTGGACATTCATATGAATGGAATCAAACAGTATGTGGTCTATTGCATCTGGCTTCTTTCACTTAGCATAGTGTCTCTGAGGTCCATGTAGCATGAATTAGTACTGCATACCTTTTATGGCTGAATAATATTCCATTGTATGAATATGCCACATATTTATCCATTTACCCTGTTGATGGGTATTTGAAATGTATCTACTTTTGGCTATTATTAACAATGCTTCCATAAACATCTTTGTACAAGTCTTTATGTGGATGTATTTTCATTTCTCCTGCATCTAAAAGTACAACTGCTTGGTCATATGGTAAATGTTTAACTTTAAAAGAAACTGTTTTCCAAAGTGGCTGTACCATTTTACATTCCTACCAGCAGTGTATGAGAGTTTCAACTTCTTTACATCCTCAACAACACTTGCTATTCTCTGTGTTTTTTTTTTTTGTTAAAGTCATCCTAATGGGTATGAAGTAGTAGCTTATTGTGGTTTTGATTGCATTTCTCTAATGACCAATGATGTTGAGCATCTCTTCATGTGCTTATTGACCATTTATACATCTTCTCTAGTGAAATGTCTATTCAAATCTTTTGCCTGTTTTTTTTTTAAATTGTCAACCCTAAAGTACTTTTAAAATACAAACAGAAAAGCATCAAAACTTAACTTGTAATAAAGATGAACATCTGAGTCACACTGCAAAATCTGGTTTCATACATCCATTTTACGCCAAGAGTGAGAGGCAAGGAACCCCTTACAAGCTTGTTTAATGAAGTTACCCCATACAAAATAAGTGAGTTGACAACAACATCTCTTGAAGAATGCATTGGCTAGGAACACTGGTTTCTCACTTTAATTTCTGGATCAGCCATAATTTCTACAGAATATAAAAAGAAACAACATCCTGTGAAGGATGGAGGGCCTCTCACTGCTTTTTAGAGGATAATATAAAAGAGTAAAAATTAAAACACAAGAAGTTTTAGAAATAACTACAAATACAGATATTATGTAGTCAGCAGGCTCATTATATAAATATGTCAACAAAATCAATGTATGGAGAACTTGGAATAATTTGTGTGACTGGATAGGAAGCAAGGAAATGTGGATATAGTCTTTTAATCTAAGGCTTATTTTTCTCTTTTTAAAAAAGTAGTTCACTTAATATGTTGTTAAGTATCACCATAATAACGATGTCTAAAAGACTCCCTGTAAGCAAGAGAAAAATAGTCCGGATAGGCAAACAGATCAATGGAACAGAAGAGAGTCCAGAAATAGACCCACACATATAATCTTTGGCAAAGGTGTCAATGCTCTTCAATAAGTGTGATGGTTGATTTGTATGTGTCAACTTACTGGGCTAAGGAATGTCAAGGTAGCTGATAAAACATGATTTCTGGGAGTGTGTATGAGGGTTTGCCTGGAAGAGACTAGCATTTGAATCAGTAGACTGAGTAAAGCAGATCCATTCTCAACAGTGTGGGTGCACGTCCTCCAATCTGTTGAGGGCCCAAGTAGAACAAAAAGGTGGAGGAAGGGCAAATTCTCTCTCTCTTCTTCCTTGAGCTGGGACATCCATTTTCTCCTGCCCTCGGATATCAGAACTCCTGGCTCTCAGGCCTTAGGACTCCAGGACTTACGCAGAGGCCCTCCTGGTTCTCAGGTCTCTGAACTTGGACTGATTTACACCACCAGTTTTCCTGGTTCACCAGCTTGCAGAAAGCAGATGGTGGGACTTCTCAGCCTCTATAATTGCATGAGCCAATTCCCATAATCAATCAATCAATAATAAATAAATAAAATATTTTGACTGTTTCTCTGGAGTATCTTGACTAATATAATGGGTACAAGAACAGTCTTTTCAACAAAAAATGTTGAAAAATATGAATCATAACCCCATCTCACACCATACATAAATTAACTTGAGATGAATCACAGACATAAATGTAAAAGCTAAAATTATAAGCTTCTACAAAAAACACAGATATATTACAGGAGTTATTAAGAAATTATTTTAGGCAGCTAGAATGGGTAAAAGAGTCTTCAGTAAGGCTTTTTCTTTTAATAAAAAAGCAGCCCCCAAAACATTTCTTTTCTAACAGAAAATGGCCTGAAAAACCAGACCTGCAAGCATTGACAAGCAAGCAGGCTTGCATATGTAAATGCAGGCAGCTAAGAACCAGGTCCACGCAACAGGGCAGTTCCCACTCCCTTTTCTTTGTTGCCGCGTGTGCAGGTAACATTGTGGCCAGACAGGTAGAAGCCATGTGTACAGGTATCATGGCAACCAGCCAGGTAGAAGCCACATTTGCATAATAAAAGGTTAGGGTGGGAGGGCCAGTTTTTTCAAGGGCTATGTGAATGACACGCCTGGTCAAACCAATCCCCTGGGCCCTATGCAAATCAGACACCGCCTCCTCGAGCCTCCCAGTATAACTGACTGTTTTCCACCATATGTGGCAGTTAGACCTCCCTCTGTAGAGGGAGCTGTTCTCTTCTTTCTTGCCTATTAAACTCTCTGCTCCTTAATCCACTCCACGAGTGTGTCCATGTTGCTAATTTTCTTGGTGCGAGATAAAGGACCCTGGGTGTTTCCCCAGACAAGACAGCCATATCAGAAGAATATCTTTGCAATCTTGGGTAGCAAGAAAGTAGTAACTGCAAGAGTTAAAAACTACTAAATTGGATTTCAAGTGTTTTAATTTCTGCTCATCAAAAGTAACTGTTAATGAGTAGATAAACCACAGATGGAAAAAAAATTTGCAATACATGTACCTGACAACCTTGTATTCGGAATAAAGAATTACAACTTCATGATAAAAGACAATCCAATAAAAAACAT
The DNA here is from genome assembly GCF_000001405.40 of Homo sapiens. Taxonomy (NCBI): domain Eukaryota; kingdom Metazoa; phylum Chordata; class Mammalia; order Primates; family Hominidae; genus Homo; species Homo sapiens. Next base: position 142,867,559 of record NC_000003.12, read on the forward strand.
GGACATAAGACTTAATGTACACTTCACAAAGACCAATATGCACATGAAAAAAGAGTTCAATCTTATTAGCCATCAGGGAAATGACAACTAAAATCACAACGTGATATGACTAGAATTTTGCCCACCAGAACAGCTAAAACTAGAAAGACTGATGATACCAAATATCAGAAGGTGGGGCAAACAGAACTTCTAACCACTGCCAATGGGAGTGCAAAATGGTTAACCCCTTTGGAAACTGGTCTGGCAGTTTCTCATATAGTAAAGCAGATACCTATATATATAAATAAATTAGAAATATCAGTGATTAGTTTGGTAGCTTTCCAAAGGAGCTAGGGCAGAATTGTGGAGGACTGTGACTTCGTCTTGGTTTCAGCTCAGAAAAGTATCTGAGATGTCTGAGAAAACTGAAGCAGAATGTAAAACTCAGAAATGAAATGGTTATAAACTCTTCCCAAATAAACATGTTACTTGAGGATAAGGCAAGGAACAGGAGGAAACAATGATAATTCTTTTGTTTCTCCCATAAAGGCCATTCAATTTTTAAAATAATCAAATATTTGTTAAATACCTACTATGTGTCAGGTCACGACGTGCAGGGCTCTAAGGAAAGGATAAAGGTAACTGTGGCTTCTGCTCTCAAGGAGAGCACTGTCTAGGACAGTGTTTCTCAAACTTTTGGCCTCCAAGGACCACTTAATAGTAATATACACAGTCCATTGTAAACCAAAAACAAAATTCTAAGCCCCCCAACCAACTGAATGGACCCCTCGTCTTGGCCAAGGGCATTCCAAAGCTAACCTGAAAAACTAGTTCAGCCATGATGGCAAGGGGTGTTAGATATAAATTCTAAATTTCTCTTCAAAGAATCAATATATCAGTATGTTCAATTCTTTACCTTCTACTTTTAAACTTAACTTCCTCGTAAAGCAACCTTTTGGGATTACCTGCTCCACCCTGACTCATTCTGATCACCTGCTCCACCCTGACTCATTCTGATCACCTGCTTCACCCTAACTCATTCAGATTACCTGCTACCTGCTCCGCCCTGACTCATTCTCCACCTTGCATAACCATTTTTTTCCCCTGCCAAAGCACTCACACCGTCACTCTCTTTAAATTAGCAGATCAGAATTAGTTTAGCCTGTGCGGTCTAACCCTAGCCAACAAGGGAACGAACGACACAGCAGCAGGGGCCACGTGCGTCAGGGATAAGAACCCCTTCCCCTCCCTTGTCAAGTGTGTGCTCACCATTGCTCCATCTGTAAGGGCGCACTATTCAATAGAAGTAACTTGCCTTGCTGAGAATTAAATGAAAATTTTATATTCGAATGCTATTTCTTTTGCGGCACCAAAACTTTATATATAATGGGGGTCAGACATGCCTCATTATACCCTCCTCCCTTTGGAATCCAGGCACAGGTGACCAGCATTAATATTAAAACAGAGACCTTGGCCGGGTGCGGTGGCTCACGCCTGTAATCCCAGCACTTTGGGAGGCTGAGGCAGGTGGATCACGAGGTCAGGAGATCGAGACCATACTGGCTAACACGGTGAAACCCCATCTCTACTAAAAATACAAAAAATTAGCCGGGCGTGGTGGCGGGCGCCTGTAGTCCCAGCTACTCGGGAGGCTGAGGCAGGAGAACGGTGTGAACCCGGGAGGTGGAGCTTGCAGTGAGCCGAGATCGCGCCACTACGCTCCAGCCTGGGCGACAGAGTGAGACTCTGTCTCAAAAAAAAAAACCAAAAAAAACAGAGACCTTAAGACTGACAAAACAGACTCTTTGTAGCAATAAGATATCAACATGACAGATAACAGGTCCGGAAAGAAATCAAAGTATTTTACCCCAAAATATATTTCTTTCATATATTTTGAAATGGCCTTGCAAAGCTGTCTGTTGGGGGAAAATCTACATTCTGTAGAAAATCTCCTTCCCTTTCCAGATCTTCTCCCTGATCCAGGAGAGAATTAAGAGTCTGGCACCTTTTGAAATCTGATAAAAAACACAGTCTATCCTCTCTGAAGCCTGTTATCTGGAGACTTCAACTGCATAATAAAAACCTTGGTCTCCACAACCCTTTATCTTAATCAGACACTTCTTTCTATTGATTCCAGGTCTTTAGATACTAATTTAACTCTTTCAGCCAACTGCCAAACAGAAAAATCTTTGAATCCACATATGGCCTAGAAGCCCCCACACTTCAAGTTTTCCCGCCTTTCTGGACCGAACCAATGTACACCTTACATGTAATGATTGATGCCTTATGTCTCCCTAAAATGCATAAAACCAAGCTGTGGCCCAACCAACTGGGGCACATGTTCTCAGGGCCTCCTGGGCCTGTGGCATGGGTCATAGTCCTATTTGGTTCAGAATAAATCTCTTCAAATATTTTACAGAGATTTACTCTTTTTGTCAACACCATCAATAGTAGGCCTGTTTTTAAAAAATTAAAATTTACCATGCTATCTTAAAATTAATACTACTTTCACATGAATGAGGGATAATTTTAACATATGTCAATCTGTTAGGTAATTATCACAAAGGCAGTCACTTTTTCGTTCTCTGTCTCTATAAGTTAGAAGATCCTAACTCAAAATAACAGGCTGTCAACGGTGGCAGCAAGTGCTTGCTAGCTTCATCAGATGGTTCTGGATAGTCAAATCAAATTAGGACCCAGAAGCAACAGAGTGATTCTTCATTACAAACTCCACTATTATGTAAAATGTTAGGTTGACGGATAGATCACACTCGAGATCTAAAAAGTGGACTGTTTAAATTTGGGCAAAAGCAATGAACGTGTCCCTGATTCTATCTCGGACAGCACTTAGCTCTAGAAAGTATTTTTCATGTTTTGCTGCAGCATCTGGGTAGGGTTTTGTGCAATAATAAATTACTGATTTCTCTGAAGAGTGAAGAAAAACATCAAGCGTTAGGAAGACTCCAAACTCTCAGCAACCAAGCCCTTTGACCACAGTTCAACCTCAACAGATTCTGACGCCTTATTTTCAATGTAAAATTGTGGCATTTTGGTTCGGAATAATAGGCTCAGGCTAGGAAAGAAACAGGATTTATTCCTGTGATACACCAGAGCAAGCCATTTGAAACAGAGTAAGTGTCTTTATTGCCATTATCAGTGAATGAGGCAATTTTTTTTTTTTTTTTTTTTACTATATACTGTTCTTCTTCTCAAAACCTAAGTCATGAGCAGCTTTATCTTCAGCAGCGAGCACACCTACACATAGTTGGATACAGCTACCCAGCTCCTTGAACTGCATGCTTTAAAGACATGGACTCACACCAGCTGCCATTTGATGTTTCCAATTTTTGTTACATCCTAAAGTACTGGTCCAAGAAGCAAACTGTTACCTGCTCCCTGTTCTCCCTGATGGTAAAGTCATATTTGGAACAGCAATCTGCTGTGACATCATCACCTGGGGTCTAATGTATAGCTGAGCTTAACATGTCAAAGACAGACCCCTGGCCTCCGCTGCCAAAGCCGCTCCACCTCTGTCTTCCCTGTACAGTTGATTGCATCTTCATCCTTCCAGTTTGCTCTGAGGTCATTCTTGACTCCTCTTTTTTCTCTTACACCCCTCGTCTTGTCCATTAATAATTTTTATTGGCTCTATTTTAAAATATATCCAGAAAACGGCCCATTCCCTTACCACCTCCATGGTTCCCATGCTGGCCCAAGCCCTCATTATCTCTCATCTGAATTACAACAAAAGGCTCCCAGCTGCTCTCCCTTCTTCCATTCTTGCACCCTATGATCTGTTCTCAGCACAGTATTCAGGGTGATCCTTTTAAATCACAGACACCTTATGGCACTCCTCTGCTTAAAATCCTGCAGTGTGTTTGAGTGGCTGTGGCTCTTAGATGGTTTCATTTTATGGGTCAACTTGGCTAGACTATAGGAAGTGCTTATTCAATCAACAGTAATCTAGGTGTTGCTGTGAAGGTGTTTTGTAGATGTGGTTAACATGTACAATCAGTTCACCTTAAGAGATTATCCTCGATAATGTGGGTGGCCCTCATCCAATCAGTTGGAAGGCCTTAAGAACAAAACTGAGGTTTCCCTGAGGAAGAAGAAATTCTGTCTCAAGACTACAGCGGTATCTTCTCACTGGAAGTTTTCAGCCTGCTGACTTGCACTACAAATTTCAGACTGGCTGCTCCCTAATCCCACAATCACATAAACGAATTCCTTGAAATAAAGCTCTTTATATGTGTATATAGCTGTGTGTATAGATATTCAATACACATATGTACTTGTATTAATATATACATACATATTTTTATATACATATACATAAACATTTATATATCTACATCTCCTATTGGTTCTACTTCTGGAGAACCCTGATACAGCCTCCCTGTGCCAAACATTGTCCATTTGCCCCTCCAGATCCACTCTCCTCCCATCTTCACCCTACTCTTCTTGGGTGGTTGACCTAAATGAATGCATCAACAATTGTCTTCCAGTTGCTTTTGGCCACGGGAAGCCCCTACAGGATACTGAAAACAGGGAGGAGAGTCCAGTCAGGGCATTTACTTTCCTGTCTCTTTCTCTGTGAGGTCACCTTGTGCTGACTCCTGGCTTCTAGTACCAACACCCTCCACACCTCCTTTGGGGACTAGAAGCAGTGACAGCCTGTCTGCCACTTTCTCTGTGTTACTGTACTATCCTTTGTAGCTTGCCTACTCTTCCTGGATAGTCCCTTTGTAAATAACCCCCCTTGAATCACTGTATTTTGACTGCGCTATTTTCTACGGGGGCCCTTACTGATAGGCTTTCCATTTCACTCACAATGGCCCACTGGGCTCTTCAGGATCTACCCCACTTCCTCCTCAACAACCTCAGCTTCTACAACCTCCTGCTTGTTCATCCCATAGGCCTCTTTGCTGCTCCTAGAACATCCCAGGCATGTAAAGCTTCTCAAGGGCAAGAGTCTCTGTTTGGCTCACTGATAATATCCCACGTGCCTAGAACAGTCCATGATAAGTAAATATTTGTTGTATAAATCGAATAAAATAATCTCATTGATCCCCATTCCAACATCCTTCCTTGTTGCATCCATAACAGGTGTTCCACCTTCTGTCCTCATATAGCTCACCAAATAACCCCTAAGGGAAAAAAAATCTTGCCTCCTGTTACATGGCTCCACATCACAAAGTGACAATGCCCGTTTCCCTCATATTTACTCCAGGGTGACTGAATACATATCTTGGGCAAGTGTGAAAATCACAATTTAGCCAGAGCCAAGTATCATCATCAAAAGGATAAGATTTACTATTAATTCATCCTCAGAATATATAAAGAATTTCCCCAAAAAAAGTGCTTTTATTTTCCCCCAAAAGATTTATGGTCTAAACGGAAAGAAATACTGAAAACTTAAATACATACCAAAGGTGATTTTATTTAATGTTATAAATGTTAGTTCAATATTCAATTCTATAAATGTTAGAATTATGATATAATCTCATCTCTATCATTCAACCTTATATTACTTACATTTTCATAAGCACATGTTGACTCTAAAAGAAAATGTTGGCTGGGCGCAGTGGCTCACACCTGTTATCCAAGCACTTTGGGAGGCTGAGGCAGCGGGATCACCCTGAGGTCAGGAGTTCAAGACCAGCTCGGCCAACATGGTGAAACCCCGTCTCTACTAAAAATAAAAAATTAGCCAAGTGTGGTGGCAGGTGCCTGTAATCCCAGCTATTCAGGAGGCTGAGGCAGGAAAATCACTTGAACCCGGGAGGCAGAGGTTGCAGTGAGACAAGATCGCACCATTGCACTCCAGCCCGGGCAACTAGAGTGAAACTCCATCTCAAAAAAAAAAAAAAAAGAAAAAAATTTTTTAAAGTTAACTACCTATATAATATACTCTCTTAATTCACATTAACTGTTAATCTATTTCCTTATTTGATGATTTGCAAGTTCAACCCAAAATGATTTTACACATATAATTAACAAAGTTAACACTAAAATTGCAGCATTATACTCTTTCATCTACAAGAAGCATAATACATATTTATATTTCAACTGACTAGCGGAATGTAAACAGAGAAAGCACATAGGAGCTTCAGTTAATGATGTATCTGGAATGTTCACCTATACTGGAAAGTGAGTATTCAGAAACCAACAATAAACCCAAACAGCCTGCTGCTTTGTTCATGTCACCGATGTTGGTACACTGACTGACTGATAGTCACTCAAGAGAATCATATGGTGAGAGATAATGACACACTCGGGGGGTGGAACGCAACTAGAGACATAGCAGGGGAGGACACAGGAAGAGAACATCTTTTTCAAATGTAGAATTCTACAGAGTACAAAAACTTAGAAGTCTCCTAATATGGTCTGGCTCTGGGTCCCCACCCAAATCTCATCTCAAATTGTAATCCTTACATGTTGCAGGAGGAGCCTGGTGGGAGGTGACTGGATCATGGGGGCGGTTCCCCCATGCTGTTCTCATGAAAGTGAATGAGTTCTCATGAGAGCTGATAGTTTGGTTTTATTTTATTTTATTTGAGACAGAGTCTCACTCTGTTGCCAGGCTGGAGTGCAGTGGCGCAATCTTGGCTCACTGCAACCTCCACCTCCCGGGTTCAAGCAATTCTCCTGCCTCAGCCTCTTGAGTAGTTGGGACTACAGGCACACGCCACCACACCCAGCTAATTTTTGTATTTTTAGTAGAGATGGGGTTTCACCATGTTAGCCAGGATGGTCTTGATCTTCCGACTTTGTGATCCGCCTGCCTTGGCCTCCCAAAGTGTTGGGATTAAAGGCGTGAGCCACCGCACCTGGCCGAGCTGATGGTTTTAAATGTGGCACACCCCCCTCACTCTCTGCACGATGTAAGACGTGCCTTGTTTCCCCTTCACCTTCCACCATGATTGTAAGTTTCCTGACACCTTCCCAGCCATGAAAAACCGTGAGTCAATTAAAACTCTTTTCTTTATAAATTACCCAGTCTCAGGTAGTTTTTTATAGCAGTGTGAAAATGAACTAATACATCTCCTTTTACCAGAAATCTTTGGAAACAAGTTGATACTTTTCTTCGGAGATTTATCATTTCTATGCTGTTCTGCCCAGAAGCAGGTGGATGGAGCTATGAATTGATTAATCAATTCATTCTTTCACTCACCTACTACTGTATGTGTCAACCACTATGTTAGCTACCAGGAAAAAGGCCTTGGCCTTAAGAGATTTATAGTTTAGTAGGGAAGGCAGATTAATAAACATGATTATAATACAGGGTGATAAGTGCTATAATAAAGATGTCCCCGAATGCTATGGGAACACAGAGGAAGTGGACATCAGGTGTGTACTAGGGTACACAGAGGTAGTTAGGAAGACTGTCTGATAATTCCCTTCTGACTTCATAATTCTGTTACTTCTAAGAAATACAGTTTTATTTGCAGATGTATGTAGTTGAGATTGATAGGGAATAATAAAATGATATATGCATTGCTAAGATTTATAGGAACAAATTTTCATATATCTAAGATTTATGGGGCATAAAATAAGTTCATTAAAATTATAATATCATAACAAAAACAAGCATATTGGGCATCTCCTGGAGTAGCTGCCTGGCTCCTAATGATCCCCTTGTTTAAAAAATATTTTAACCACAAATACACGTATCTTTAAACAAGGCGTAAGTTGTAACCACTAAAGCGCAATGGCTCAAGCTCCCAGCAGCTGATGACTGTGCCAGCATCCTCTTCAAAATGCCAGTTGTTTGGGAGCAACTCCAGGCGACATCTACATTGGCCTAGAAAGCAGTCTGGCTTCCTGGTAACAGTGTTCACCAGGTTTTTTCTCTTTTACTTCTGGAAAACAGTTTGGCGATTCCTCAAAACCTAAATTATCACATGATCCAGCAGTTCCACTCCTGACTACAAAATGCAAAGGAAGTGAAAGCACTGCATGGTTCAAAATACTCAAAATAGCCAAAAGGTAGAAGCACACCCAAGTGTCAATCAACAGATGAATGTATAAATGAAATGTCCTTGCTGATGGAAGTACTCTGAACAGACCGATGAAGAGGAAATCTCTGTCTATTCCAAGGGTGCTCCTTCTTGATGTTCTTAAGATTCCCCACAACAAAGGTTGCAGAGAGTTGTGAATGGAGATGATGAAAACAGTTTCCTCCCAACTCTGCACCACAGTGCAGAGTTCTGGCACCCAGAACCCAAGGCAACATTACTCATAAAAACAGACCCTTCAGCTCCCTCCTCCCCGCTTCACATCCCCAAAGCATCTCTCAAAAGTCAAAAACCAAAGAAACCAAACATAAAGAAGCAAACCAAACCTACCACCCTCACCACAGGAACTAACCTTAATCCATGAGCAAGGCCTTTCCATTCATAAACATCCAGGAGACATTTTGTGCTTTACTTATGATGGGCAAGAAGCCTCAGAGATACTGTCTGCTGCCACATAATAAATCATTGCACCCAAAGGAGTGGTGACCTCAGTTTCTCCAAGAACCATCAGTGGGTAGACTCTTTGCATCATCTAGGTTTCCACTCAAATGTCACCTCATCAGTGTCATTCTTACATCACCATCCTATTTTGTGGTTTCTCTCCTGCTTCTAGAATGTAAGCACCATTAGTGCAGGGACCTTCTCACTGTGTGCCCAGGATGTGAAACAGGCCATGGCACATAAGTGTTCAATAAGTATAATATTTCATGAAGAAATAATATTTTTTGAGTATTTACCATTTGCTAGGCACTGTTCTTAATGCTGTACACACAGTAATTTCAGTCCCAAAGCAATCCTATGAGGTAGGGAGTATCATTATCCACATTTTATAGATGAGGAAACTGAGGCACAGGGAGGTTAAGTAGCAAGCCCAAAGTCATACAGCTCGTAATTGTTACAGTAATCTCCTGCTGCACAACAAACCACCCCCAAATTTAGTGGCTTAAAATAATAATGTACTCTTATTTGTTATGGTTCTGTGGGTCACTGGTCTCAGCTGGATGGTTCTAGCTTGAATTCTCTCATGCATTTACTACCAGTTAGGAGCTTGGGCTTGAGTCATCTGAAGGCTCACTGGGCTAGCCCTTCAACATGACTTCACTCACATGGTTGGCACCTCAGCTGAGAAGACTGGAACTACTAGGAGCTTTCTGGGCCTCTCTCTCTCCACAAAGCCTCTCTACATGGCTATGTTGGGCATCCTCACAGCATGGTGGGCCTTATATGGCAGCTTCTTATGTTCTTGCCCCAGAAGTCATGCAATGTCACCTCTGCTCCATCCAATTTGTTCCAAAAGCAAGCCCAGATTCAATGCTGGGGGATGCCAGAAAAAGGCATGAATACCAGGAGGTGTGGTGATTGGGGAGGTCATCTTTGGAGACTCACCAGCACAACAGTGGAACTAGCATTTGAACCAGGCTGTCTGGCTCCAGAAATTACACTCTTAGAAAATACACTCTTAACCACCATATCATGTTGTGTCTCTATTAGGAATAAATGAATACAGTCTTTACTTAATTTATGTAATTAGTGGGGCCTATTCTGATGATTTGGGACTCCAAAGGTAAATTAAAGTCTCCATCTATAAACAGAGAAAATTATTTGCAATTTTTAACTGACAATCTTTTCTCTACTTTGAAAAGTCTTAACGGTTATGGAATGCCCTTGGTTGATGATGGGGTAGGCAGTGGCTGGTTGAAGTAGGGAGGGTTTGGAAGCAATTCTGTGGACAAAGTCCATGATCTTATGAAAGATCATATTTTAAATGAAGAAAGGACATAGTGAGTAGGAATGGGTATTTCCAATGGGAACTCCCCATGCTCCAAATGGATTACCAACCAGCTTGAAACAAGTTGGCTTGTAGACAAGTTCTGCACAAACACCACACTTCTATTCCTTATTACAGACCTGGAAGGGAGGTTAAAAAATAAATAAATAAAGCAACACTACCATTTATTGAGTGCCTGCTTGTGCCAAGCACTGTGCTAAGGGACTTTCATCTACTGCCTCCTTCAGTCTTCAGATTAACCTTACAAGGCATGTTTGACCATTATATCCAGGATACTAACTTTAGAAAGTCCCAGAAACTTAATCACATACCTAGTAAATTAAATGGCTGAACAGGGATTTGAACTATGTCAGTCTGACTCTCCAATGCCCATTCTTCTAGTAACTGAGCAGTATCACACGTACTACCCTGAACCATGGTCCCTGTCACCCTGTGCCACTGTTCATTGTTTCTGGGACATCTCCCCAATGAGTAAGAGCCTCCTTACCTCGCCCAGCCCCATTCAGGAATGTGATTTTTCAATTATTGCTGTTTCTGTGCCCAATCCAGCACCTGATCTCTGGTAGGTACTTTACAGTTTTAATGAATGAATGAATGACAATTTATTTGGAGGAGCTCAACTGTAGCCCAGGGATTTCAGAAGGTCTGTGTCTAGCAATCAAACCCTTATCATTCATTTCCAGGAGCATTTAGCAGGAGTAAAATTGCCCCTGGGTTCCCTGTGCTTTTCTTCTTGACAGTCTGGTCCATGTAACAGCCCATCTTTGATTAAATGGTCTCTCCCTCCCTTCACATTTTTGAAAACACTATTTTATTATATGCAGTACTCAGGAGCAGCTTGGGGGTGAGGTGGTAAAAGAGAGGTGATATTTAGTGGCAGGGCTTGTGCTTTGGGCAGTTATAATTCCAACTCCCCACTTCTCTGTGGGTGTTCCATTTATTTCGGGATGTTTATATTTGTTTCTTAAAGACTTGCCATACTGACTCTCGTGATCGACCAAATAATGTATCTGAGAAAAACACTTATTTTCTCCAAAGTTCCTAGACTAAGAAACTCAAGAGTCCCTCAAAGTGCTATTGCCACCGTTGATAAAGCTGTTAACTCATAAGGTGCAACTGTCTAAGTTGAGAGTGGGGATTACAGTTTTCGTAAGATTGAAGAACAATCCATACACTAACATTTCTACGTACAAGAAACATGGGAAAGCGACAGCACACAAAAGCACTCTCCTGACTCTAAGCAGAGCAATGTGGGAAAAGAAATCCCACTTTGGGAGACCAAGGCGGGCCGACTGACTTGAGGTCAGGAGTTTGAGATCAGTCAACATGACAAAACCCTATCTCTACTAAAAATACAAAAATTATCCAGGCGTGATGGTGGGTGCCTCTAGTCCCAGCTACTGGGTGGCTGAGGCAGGAGAATCTCTTGAATCCAGGAAGCGGAGGCTGCAGTGAGCTGAGATCACGCCACTGCACTCCAGACTGGGTGAAAAGTGAGACTTTGTCTCAAAAAAAAAAAACCCGAAAGAACTTCTTAGAATTAGGAGCCCTTTAAATGTTTCTCTGGTCTTCAGCATTAAGCAACCAATAAATGAGACTGTTCCCTTTTTTACTGTCAAAACCTGAGAGATTTTAAGGCATTTTCAAATTTATGGTACAATTCTTATTTGCCATAATTTCACATCATAAATTTAACTCTGGAGGTGGTCAAGGGATATAAAAGTAATTTAATCTGTCTTTTAAATAATCTTAAAAATCCTTTCTGAGTGTTTTAATTATACTAAATGCCTTCTTGATTTACACTACTTTAAAAAAAGTGTTATCTTTATGTTCTATTTTTATAGTGATGTTTCAGGAAAGAATGATTTTTGTTTGGTATGAATATGTTATTAAAGAGAATCCCTTTCAGAAAAAAAAAATACATGAAGACTTCATTTTCATGTTTGCTCATTTTCTTTTCTACTCATTAAACCTCTTCTAAGACATCTGCTTGAACACAGCACTAAAAATACAAGCAGTACAAATAAGTATATTTATAAAACATAAAGTTTTCAATCAATAAAAACACTTGATTTCCGTGTGAAAGAGCAAAGAAAAAGAAAACAAAAACAAGCAACAGAAGCCTTCAAAAGCAGGCAGAAAGCTAAACAAATTTAGAAAAACTGGACTGAGGCCCCAGTGGGAAAATGTCACCTACAGTGCTTGCTTATTTATTTAGGATTTATATTTGCCCTGCTTCCCAGAAAAATTTAAGGCAATAATGAAAACTTTTTAATTTTTCTGCTATCTTAATAACTGACATCTAATTGAACAGCTTATGTGCCATAAGAATTGTAAAGTTTTGGCCGGGCACGGTGGCTCACGCCTATAATCCCGGCACTTTGGGAGGCCGAGGAGGGCGGATCACGAGGTCAGGAGATCGAGACCATCCTGGCTAACACGGTGAAACCCCGCCTCTACTAAAAAATACAAAAAATTAGGCAGGCGTGGTGGGGGGGCGCCTGTAGTCCCAGCTACTGGGGAGGCTGAGGCAAGAGAATAGTGTGAACCCAGGAGGCAGAGCTTGCAGTGAGCCGAGATCATGCCACTGCACTCCAGCCTGGGCGACAGAGCGAGACTCCATCTCAAAAAAAAAAAAAAAAAAAAAGGAATTGTAAAGTTTCCAAATTATACTTTCTGGATTAAAAAATAAACAACCCCACCCCCCCAAAAAAAACCAAGCTATGGTGCTCTTATCCCATTCATATAGCCTTGGATATGCAAACATTTTCTGTTAGTTATACTCATTTTTACTATTCTTACATAAAAATAATACTAACTCAAGCATTGGGTTAAATTACTATTCAGGCAACTGAAATAATGAGCCTAGTGCAACCAATGTATACATATACATTAAAAAAAAAAAAAGCCCACAGTTAAGATTGAAATTTAAGTCTCTATATAATTCTAAATCCTACGTGCAGTTTAAAGCCAAGAAATATGTGTTTAAAGTCAAAATTCCATTCCCCTATCTGTCCTGCTGTGGTTATACCAGGCAAATAATAGTTACAGTAATTTTAGAACCCCTTGCCATACCCTTAGGTATAATTAAGTGACTTCAAAGTTGAGTTCCTGCCTAAATTCACTATTTGTTTTCTCAAATTATACACCCAGCACTGATCTTACTAGACTATCACTATGTCTCAATTTTCACAAACCCTTTGCTCACCACTGCTGACTTTCTTCTCATGAAGCCATATAAAAGTTATCGGGAAGACATAAATCCCAATCACATTTTTAATCTACTAGTTCCTTCAACTAAATAGGAATGCCATTTAAAATTGATCAGGCATCTGGAGGATGGATTAAGTATGATGACTTTAACATATGTAAGTTATAAAATTGCCCTCAAGGCAATGTTACAGGAATGGCTTCACGTAATTGTTTATTAGGCATCTTTGGAAATATCAAGGCACATGTAAAATAACCCTGGGAAGTCAAACAAATCCTTACAAAGGATACAGTAACAACTTATCCAGTCTTAGAGTAGCACACAAGTAAAACGGGTCATACTCTTTGCACGAAGCAATAATTATTTTTATCTTAACTAATCTTAAGATCTTCAATAATTTTTAAAAGTGAAAATAAGCTTTACTCCAAATTATCAACACTTAAAACTGCTTACAGTGGGCATTATAATAATTTACACACATAACTGTTACCAATTCTCTTGTCTAACTGCTCCCCACAAGATTATAAACTCCCTGAGGACAGAAATTATGCCTTGTCTTTCTACCCCCACAGTCCAGTGCAATGCCTACTACACAGGAAGTGCTCAAAAACTCTTGGTGAATATTTGATAAATAAGTGCATGAGAGTATAATGGTATCCCTGAGTCAGAAAGTTGTGTGCTACCCTTTGTATACCATTTACAAGTATGACATTAGTTAAGACACAAGTTCTTTAGACTTCAATTTCCCCATTTATGAAATGGTCATACTAAGGTCTGTCACCCCAACCCCAGAGAATCAGATGCAAATAAAATAATTCAATATATTTGAAGGTATACCAAAAACTATATATACTATTATTATTTTTAGTTCCATGATTTCTATCACAAGTATACAGTCATGCATTGTTTAATGATGGAGATATATTCTGAAAAATGCATCATTAGGTGACTGTTGTGCAAATATCACAGAGTGCATTTATACAAACCTAGATTGTATAATCCACCACACACCTAGGCTATATAGTATAGCCTATTGCTCCTAGGCTACGACACTGTACAGCATGTTCCTGTACTGAACACTGTAGGCAAATGTAAAACAATGGTAAATATTTGTGTATCTAAACACAGAAAAGGTACAATAAAAATATGGTAATATAATCTTATGGCACCACTGTCATATATGTGGTAGTCATTGACTGAAATATTGTTACGGGATATGTGACTGTATTTCACTCTAGCTGAACAGAAAAACAGATGTAATTATAAAGATGGTAATACTTGAGTTACCTGGAGAATCTGAAGATCTTTCTATGTAAGACAACTTACGCTTTTTTCTTCATGGAGTAGCTAAATAAGAAAAATTTTGCCACATACTTTTCACTTTAATGGGACTGCCTCTACCCATTGCCACATTCTCCTCCCATTTCTGTCAAAGGTCTGTGACTCTCTGGCCCTCCCACATCATCATCATCGTCGTCATCATCATCATCATCAGACAGGGTCTTGCTCTGTCACCCAGGCTGGAGTGCAGTGGCACAATCATAGCTCACTGCACCCTCTGACTCCTGGGCTCAAGAGATCCTCTCATCTCAGCCACCCAAGTAGCGAGGACTACAGATGCATACAACCACTCCTGGCTAATTTAAAAAAAAAAAAATTGCAGAGACAGGGTCTCTTTACGTTGTTCAGGCTGATCTTGAACTCTGATCTTGAACACCTTGCTGCAAGCGATCTTCCTCCTCGGCCTCCCAAAGTATTGGGATTACAGGTGTGAGCCACCAGGCCTGGCCTCTCCCATATTTTCTTCATAAAGGGATAAAAAGTTGTATTCTAGGTGGACCCCAAGACTAAATTTTTGCTCTATGTTTGCTGATTTTTCTCAGGCTAGATTTATGCTGAGAATAACTGAAACCTTAAATAATTGGCTAATTTCAGTACTTTTAAATTATAAATAATAAAAACCTAATGATTTTTAACAATAGGACCACATACATGGATTGCCTCATTTTATGTTTGTTTATCATTATTATTATACTTTAGAGAAGAGGTCTCACTCTGTCGCCCAGCCTGGAGTGCAACGGTGTAATCACAGCTCACTCCAGGAGCCTTGAACTCCTAGGCTCAAGCGATCCTTCTGCCTCTGCCTTCCAAAGTGCTGGGATTACAGGCATGAGCCACTGCACCTGGCCAGATCATCGCCTTTTAAAAACAGATTTGTAAATTATGCCCAGTTTTAAATCTAAGAACAGAATCAATTCCAGCGATCTCTGCATAACAATTGCTGTTTCAGTTAGATAACATAACAGCAGTTGCATTAGACATTCAGATGTGATATTTGGTTTTAAGTTTGGAAACCAATTTTAGGCAGGGCGCAGTAGCTCACGCCTGTAATCCCAGCACTTTGGGAGGCCGAGGCGGGTGGATCACGAGGTCAGGAGATCGAGACCATCCTGGCTAAGATGGTGAAACCCCATCTCTACTAAAAATACAAAAAATTAGCTGGGCATAGTGGTGGGCGCCTGTAGTCCCAGCTACTTGGGAGGCTGAGGCAGGAGAATGGCATGAACCTGGGAGGCGGAGCTTGCAGTGAGCGAGATTGCGCCACTGCACTCCAGCCTAGGCAACAGAGCGAGACTCCGTCTCAAAAAAAAAAAAAAAAAAAAAGGAAACCAATTTTAAACAAAAATTCCTATATACCTGTTCAAGGAGAGTTCCCAGAAGATTCTAGGCTTTAAGTTTCCTCTGGTTTGCAGTTACTATAAACAAAGCTTCAGCTGGTTTCACTCAGCCACCCATACCATATGCAGCCAAAGTCAAACTCTAAATAGAGTTGCTTTCACAAGGTCTTATTTTTGCTATTAATGTCTTTTTCTTTTTTTTTGAAATGGAGTCTCGCTCTTGTTGCCCAGGCTGGAGTGCAATGGCATGATCTCGGCTCACTGCAACCTCTGCCTCCCAGGCTCAAGTGATTCCTCTGCCTCAGCCTCCGAGTAGCTGGGATTACAGGCGCCCACCACCACACCCAGCTAATTTTTGTGTTTTTAGTAGAGACAGGGTTTCACCACGTTGGCCAGGCTGGTCTTGAACTCCTTACCTCAGGTGATCCACCTGCCTCAGCCTCCCAACGTATGTCTACTTTTCTTTAAAAAAAAAAAAAACACATATTTGTGTCGAATCATCAATATGTATCTCTAATTCCATTATGGGAATTATAAAATGAACAAGTTATGAATGAAAATATCAAGGAACAGAGGTATTGATGATTTGCCGAGTTTGCAATGAATTTATAATGAAGCTATTAACGGAATGGTGATCTTTATGCCAGGGGTGCCTGTGGAGCACAGAACGTAAGATGCCTGGTGGGCTTTGTCTCACTTCCCACTCAGGGCCTTGGGAACACATCCTAGCAGGTAGCTCCCCATGTGTTTATCACCTCTAAATTCGCCTATGTGTCTCCTGCACCCAGCACCATGCTTCATGGGCTCTTCTAAATGTGTCCTGCCTATGTTGCAGTGAAATACATCACACCAGCTGTGTTTTTGTTCACAGTGGTCCACTCTCCCCTACTTCTTTTATGGATCTCAGAGATTTTTTACTGTTGTCTCCTGCATACAATCTCAAACTGCAGAAGAACCACTGTAATAGAGGGGTCCAGGTGGTGGGATGTCAACTTTTGGAGTTTCATTTCTTGCTGCAGGGCTTAATACAGGTGGGAGTTATTGGTTCTGGTTCTTAAATAAATTAGGGTGACTTATGCCTCACCCCAACCCTATTGTTCTTCCAAGCCTGCTTAGAAGACCAGTCACTACTTTCCAAAGGATTATATATACCTTAGCTGTCAAATCACATTTAACTCATACCCACGTCCCCGTATTTGAGAATTAGGGGATTTTATGCAGATGCCTTTTAGGTTATAGTCCCCAGAATCAACTCCTACAGTAAACTAAGAAACTCTCAACCCCATCATGGATTACAAAATATTCAACTATTTCTTAACACCCAAATTCTCTAATTTAGTCTCTAAGCATACATTTTTGAGAACACATACAGTAAAAGTAAAAAACCTAAGACCTGTTAAGGCCATCAACTCTTGGTGATAAAGCTGAGTCAAGAGTCTTGAGTTCCAGTTACAGCTCCAACAACTACAAAGAACCAGTAGCAGCTTCCCTATTTGCAAAGCAGAAGTACAACTAAGCAGCACAGAGCACCTCTGTCCTCAACATTTTACGTGAGTAAAATTAAGCATAAAATTTTTCTATTAATAGCACAGCACTGTCCACAAGAAAAATTGTGATGACAGAAATACTATATTACATATTGTCCAGTAAGGCAGCCACTATCCACATGTGGCTATTGAGCACTTGAATGTGGCTAGTATGACTAAGAAACTAAATGTTTAACTTAATTTACATTTAAATAGCCAATACAGTGTGTTGGAACAATGCAGCTGTCTAAGAAATTGCTATAAAAATTTTAAAGTACTATAATGTAAGGACACATCTAAATTTCCAATCTGCAGGCTGTACTTTCGCATCAGAAAGTCCAACACGAAGGACTGGAAGTTTGGTGGTAACAACTAGGATTCACCTTTCTTAAAGCAAAAGTTAAAATCAGACATTTCCCATTCTTGCATTGATATGATAGAGTTTAATGAAAACCATTTAGCGGTGAAAGCTACCATGCTGGGACACATCTCCAGTTTGGACGAACAGAATGGGAGGCCAGTGAGTGAAAGCAAGATATTTCCCCCCAGCTACAGGAACTACAGTTTAAGGACCACTCTGAGGCTTTCCCATCTCCAGCGGCCTCTGTGATATTTTAATAAAAGTGATACTGAATCACTCAATGGGAACACTATTCTTGGTTTACTGACTGCAGGAACAGAAAAATGGGCTGGACCAACCAGCGTGGGAAAAACCTTTAATAGATGGCCTTGGACAAGGCCATAGTAGAGCACAGTCCTGTCTGGAATGGCTAAGCAGGGAGACAGAGCCTGGTGCATGTATCCTTCTAGCTGGTGCCACTATATCCTAACCGCAGGCAGAGCTGCTGAGAAAACACTGTGGGCAGAAGACTCCGCATTTCTTCATCTTCTCTGCTACCACCTTGTCTACTCCACCATCTTCCCTCTCCTGGATACCACAACAGCTTCCTAATTGGTCTCTCTGCCTCTACTCTTAACTCCCTACAGTTCATCTTCCACGCAGACACCAGATAAGCTCATTCCTCTGCTTAAGATCTTCCAGTGACTCCTACTCAAAACAAAATTCAAACTCTCCACCGTGGCCTACAGAGTCCTGTTTACCTTCTTCGCTTCTCTTCCCACTGTCCCCTTGCTCATTCCATTCCAGCCACTCCAACCTCCTTAATTTGTTCTTCAGACAAATCAAGCTTCTTCCCACTCAGGCACTGAGTTGAAGCATTTTACACTATCTCATTTTGTCTTCACAGTAATCCTAAGGTTTAAAGGAGGTAGATCCTGGACACACAGTTTATGGCGGTGAAACTGGAATTTGAATCCAGGGAAGTGACTGCTGAGCTCACAGGCTTTCCCTTCACAGGACATCCAGATGGAGCATCCATTTAACTTCCCCACTCCCACACAGGAAATCATGCCTCTCCTGAGGCAAACCGTTCCTTTATCAAGGAAAGCTTTCACTGGACGTGCCCCCCAACCCCAGTCAAAGTGTAAAGTCACATCAACCTGTCCGCAATACTCAGAACACATGGCCAACCATGAATTTCTACTTGGGCACATGACGCCTCTGAGCCATTGATTTTCTAGGGTCGTTTAAAACTTATGGCCATTTAATTACATTTAAAACACAATCACGACATGAAAATCAAGCTGCTTTTATTTTTGTTTCAGAGACTTATTTGACATTTATGTTAATAGTATTTCAAACTTATTTTCTATGACTTCTTTCCTGGCCACATGTGCTATAATAACATAATGAAATCTGTACCAGTTTGTGACATGGTTGGCATTTTACAAGAGGCCGTCAAGGCATGTAAGAGCTGAGTTTTATATTATGGAAGGGGACCTCTCATATCTGCCTGCAAAATGACCTCAGTGGGAATACCTTATTGCAAAGTAGGTTTTACTTTTACATAAAGTTGGGCTTCCCGACTGTCTGATCAAGTCAATTTCTATAATTGTTTCAGGCCTCAGCTTCCCCATCTATAAAATAGGGATGATAATAGATACTTTCTCATACAGTTGTTTTGAGGATTCTGGGTGATTATACTTGCTAACTACTTGGCATGGTAAATGCCTGGCACACAGTAACTGCTAGTTTACACATTCAGTGGGGGCTACTTTTTAAAAAATCTAAGTCCTCCAGTGGCACAATCTGACTGAAAGAAGCTCTCAGTGAACCAACGTATTCAATTACTAAACAACTTCCCAACAACGAAAAAGTGAAGAAGGTAACAGTCAATGCTATGCTGACTGGAAAGATGACTCACTCTAGTTGACTCTAAATCAGTTAAAAAATATATGGCTGTCTCTAAATCCAGCTTATCTTGACTCAGCATAATCTATGTTATTACTAATCAGCATGGACTTTTTATTGGCCCTTGGCTGCTATTTAGATTCCCACCCCCCCATTCTCTATTCTTAGACTGCCTTTAGAGGTGGTTTCAACCCAGGAACATTAAGTGGGCTTTTTTTATTTTTTTTCTTTTTCCTTTCCTAATGAGCATAGAGTAGTCAAAGCACTATCTTTGATCTTCCATTTCCCACTGGGAATTTATGAAGGCACGAGCAACAAAAAACTTATGAAGGTCATTACAACAGGCCTTTGACTGAAAACAGCTTTAATTATGAATCTATAAAACTCAACTGAGTCACACTGGGCTTTCAGAAACACATCTGCTCTGAGAATTTATTCCTTCAAGCATTATCTTGTGCCCTTTGTAATCACTAATGCAGGACACGACTAGATCTATTATATTAATAAAAATCTTCCCAATAGTTGGGGTAAATCCAACATTTCACTATTTCAGGCATTTGCCTCTTACTCAAATCCTAACACCAGAGGAAAAAGGCAGCAGCCTCACACTGTTGCCAACACCCACTTCCAGGAGAATACCTTTTTAAAAAATGCTTACTGTGATTTTCCAAGTACATTTGCTATTTGGAGGGTACACTCCAGGAAAACCTTCACTGCCAATAAATCCAGACTCTCCAGTAAGAATGCCACCACATGTGAAAACAGGTCTGGGAACATAAAAGAAGAAAAGATAATGTAATTTGAAACATGGTCTAACAATCTGATGTTACCTTCAGAAAGGTGTAGCCTATTAATATAAATAAAAGTTAATGTTGATTAATCAATGCTTGCACCATATAAGGGATCTGAAAATTTGCTAGCTCCTAGAATATTTAAATTATAGCCTGACAAAGCATTCAGTCCAGCGCCATCTGTCTCCATCATAATAACACAAGATTATATATATGTATAATCAAGTCCTCGGCATTGTGGCAAAGTCTTGTAGGAAAATGGTAAATACATCAATTTAACTGGGGGAGTGGGAGAGAAGGTAAGAGCCAGGCTGAATGAGAAGCATGGTTTTAAAGAAAGACAGGCAAGCAATTGGTTAATATAAAAAAAGTTTGTCGTTCCCATATTTGGAGAGATGCCCAGTTCTCCTCCCCCTTTCTGAAAATCACTCGCCATTGGCAGAGCTTCCCATCGAAAGGGAGGCTGATGTTGATGGAGGCTGAAGAGGTGATGCCAAAGTTGGCCACCGGGCAGGTCCCACAGCCCAGCTCCTGGGGCCTTCCAGAGGTTGGCGAAGAGTTAACTTTCCGGAGCGGCTCCCTAGGCGCCGCGCCGCTAGGGTTGTTCCCTAGTTTACGTCTCTGGGCAAAGCCTCTCGGGGAAGGAAAAAAAACAGCGGTAAACCAAAATCCACATATTTGGGCCCCAGTGCTTCCCTCTGGCCCCATAGACACGAGGAGAGGGGAGACACAAGTCAGATTAAGCCCCGCCACGTGGTGGCCAAGCCAGCTGCAGGGCCATCCGGCAGGCCGGGCTGGGGACCCAGGAGGGAGCCCCGCGAGCAAGGATGGGTCCCGAAGTCCCGGGCTTAGCCTACCCGAGGGTGGCGGACGCCTGCACCGCGCGGGAGCGCAGGGTCGAGCGCTGGGTCACCCAGGCGCGCCGAAGCGGGTTGAGTAAAGCAGCAGGCGAGGCTGCAGGGGTGGAGGAAGGGAAAGGAGAGAAAGGGAGCCCGGGCAGGGGTCGCGTTACCTCTCTGGGGACTGCTGCCGCGAGAGCTGGGTGGCGGCAGCCAGCAGCAGGCAGAGTGGCGCCCAGGCGTTCGCGCCCCTCATGGCAGCGTAGACGCTCGGGGTTTGCACCCCACGGCGCGCGCGCCGGCACACACGCCCCTCCGCACCCACCGCGCTCACACCGCCGCTCACACTGGCAGCAGCGCTGGCTCACACCGGCGCTCGGCTGCCCGCGCGCTCCCTCTCACGCGCGCACCGCCGCGGGGCGGCCCAGGTAGCCGGGGGATACGCGGCCGGCAGGGCGGAGGCACTTTTAAAGGCGATTATGGTGCCGTCTGACTCGACGCTTAGTTTCCCCTGAGGAGCTGCTCTGGCAGCCACAGGCCACTGCTGAATATCCCGTTTGTTCTCCGGCGGCAGGAGGGGCGGCTCCGAGGCCAGAGCCGCCCCCTCTCGTGGGGCGGGCGAACGTCTCCTCCCGGCACCCCGGGACCGACGGGTCCTCTCTCGTCCAGCCCTCAGGGACCCCGGGGAGAAGAGGAACCCCTTGCGGAGTGGCACCCCAGCGGCCCGGGCCCCGACGCCCAGAGACGATTCTCAGGGAGGGCTTCTGGTTTTGCTTTGGGGAATGTTTTTCCCAGTTGCTTTTAAATAAAAAGTAATAGCGCTTGCTGGCTGCTGGAAAGCCTGGGGGTCCTTCTTTGTCTCCTTCAAAACCCAGATCCAAGGAAAGAAAGGGAAAAGGGATTTTATTGTATTTTAACTTCTGTGCTTATTCTCCTCTCTCTCTCTCTAGATACTTTTCTTTTTTTTACTGGTATGACAATGACAAGGAAGACAGTCTCTGTGCCGGGATTTAAACACGGGTTTTCAGGCGAGCGATTTCTGTGTGAACTGTCATTAAATGTCAGATAATGAAGACGGAACCAAATCAGCAAATCTCACCATCCCATGTCATGTTCTGAAAATGGTGTTTCTCTGCTTGCATCTCTCTGTTCTTAGACCTTTCCAACAGCATCTTTCTGTGGTATTAACGGGTTAAAATTTACGGAGAATTCGTTTTTCTTAGACGAACAATTCTAGCCTTGTGGAATCAATACTCTCTTTTACTTAATTACAGAAATATAATTTTAAACATTTATTTTGTTAAGAGCTTCCCAATAACCAGGGATTAATAAAAGAATGACAGGAACAGACTAGATTCATAGAGATTTTTAATAATCACCAGCTATGGGAGATACAGCTTAACTTTGATGCCTCACGTTGTTCCTTCTAAATTGTTTTCACCTTTCTAAGCAAGAAAATTAAGTATTAAAGTAGTTCTTATCGAGACTTTATTTCTAATAATGAGCTGTTAAGAATCTAAACACGGGTGGGCGCGATGGCCCACGCCTGTAATCCCAGCACTTTTGGAGGCCGAGGCGGGCGGATCACGAGGTCAGGAGTTCGAAACCAGTCTGGCCAAGATGGTGAAACCCCGCCTCGACTAAAAATACAAAAAATTAGCCAGGTGTTGCGGTGTGCGTCTGTAATCCCGGGTACTCGGGAAGCTGAGGCAGAAGTATCGCGTGAACCCGGGAGGCGGAGGTTGCAGTGAGCCGAGATCACGCCATTGCACTCCAGCCCCGGGCGACAGAGTGAGACTCCATCTCAAAAAAGAAAAAAAAAAAAAAAAGAACCTAAACACTCCTGGCAAGGAAGTAAGTAAAACTGGCTACAGGAAATATTCTGACTTTTCATAGTGAGTGCACCCTGAAGCCTATACTAGGAACCAGAATATACGGACAGGACTTAGATTATCTTACCATTTTTTTAAAAAGTGAAGGCAAAAACATCATAAAGTACAACTTTCAAAACTTCTCTACAGGCACCACACCCTTTATGACATTAAAAAAAAGGGTGACAGAATTTGGCAAACTGCTTTATATCCTGAAACACTCTCAACCCAATAAAAATGTCTTTAAAACAGGGAAGAGGAGAATAAATGGTTGTTGATTTTGCACGCATTTCAAGAATATGCTATCTAATAGCATAAGTGTTTTTAGATAATTGTTTATTTGAAAGTCATAGTTTTAAATTATAAAGGGAAATATTGCTCAATTCACTTTCTGGTAATGATTTGCAGTCCTCGTAAACCAGAAAATACTTCATTCAGGACTAAGCTAAGTTTTCAAAATTTAAAATAAATAACAAAGTATTAAATGTGCCTAAATAGGAAACTATTTGAACTAAAATACACAGCCATTTCTTAATTTATAGATTGATGACTGTGTTCATATGCTCACTAAAGAGTTAGGATTTTAACACCAATCATTCTGTTGTTGACACTCATAAGACATTGATTTTACCATGTGATTTTAGAATTTACTAAAACCCATATTATTGGCTCTTAAAAACACATATTTGACTTGGAACTACAGTTCTGACCAAAATTATAAACCTTAAATGTCCTGAGAAGTTGATGTGTTAAAATTGAGAGACTTTTATTAGTTTGTTCTCACGCCGCTATGAAGAAATACCCGAGACTGGGTAATTTATAAAGAAAAGAAGTTTAATTGACTCACAGTTTCACATGGCTGGGGAGTCCTCAGGAAACTTATAATCATGGCAGAAGGCACCTCCTCACAGGGTGATAGGAGAAGGGGAAAAGCCCCTTACAAAACCATCAGCTCTCATGAGCATTCACTCACCACCAGGAGAACAGCATGGGGGAAACCATTCCCACGATTCAATTACCTCCACCTGGTCCCACCCTTGACACCTGGGGATTATTACAATTCAAGGTGAGATTTGGGTGGAGACACAGCCAAACCATATCAAGACTCAAGTGCACTTTGAAGGTATATGTAAGGTCCATCTCTGTGAGACCAGTTTCTGGACTTGTGTGATAACAGAATTAGTATAATGGACAAGGAGCTACCCCCACAGGCAGTAGAAAAGTGGAGAGAGAAAAAGAACAAAAGCCCTGTGGGTAGATTCTTTAAAACAAAAAGTGGAGTGGTGGGTGAACTGATCCTTATTATCCAGCCTCTGCTGTTACCAGGTTGCACAGAGAATCAGCATCATGGGAATATGAAAATATTCACCAATGAACTGACCACTTATAAAATTAGGCCCCACTCAAACATTCCTTGCTACACAATGCTAGTATCTAGCTGGGCCCAATATGTCAACATTGTCAGCTAATCTCTGATTCACTCATCAACCTTGTAAACGTCTGAAAATGTCGTGTAAATCCATTGCACATTTATTCCATAGTGCGGTACTCATCTTGTAAAAAATCCGGAATGTTCATAAGTTAGTTCACACTGGGCACGGTGGCTCAGGCCTGTAATCCCAGCACTTTGGGAGGCAGAGGTGGGCAGGTCACTTGAGCCCAGGAGTTCAAGATCAACCTGGCCAACATGGTGAAACCTTGTCTCTACCAAAAATACAAACGTTAATTGGGCGTGGTGATGGGCGCCTGTAATCCCAGCTACTCGGGAGGCTGAGACACAAGAATCGCTTGAACCCAGGAGGCAGAGGTTGCAGCGAGCCGAGATCACGGCACTGCACTCCACCCTGGGCGACAGAGTGGGATTCCATCTAAAAAAAAAAAAAATTCAGTGTTTTTTGATGTCTGTAAACACACATTAGGAACAAACGTAGACCTTCCTCTTTCCCCTGCCCCACCTCAACACACCTCTCTGCCAAGAATAAGATATTAGGAATTGTACTGGTCAGGTTTCTTAGCTACAAACAACTGAGTCCACTCAGAATTTCAAGCAGAGCAGAAAGTTCACATTATCATCAAAAGAATCATAGAAACAGTCTCAAAGCTCATTTTCCTGGAATAAGAGCCAAAACCTCGCCTCAGAAATGGCCAGTGAGAAATCTACTGCTATTATTGCCACCAAGACTAAGCACTAAATGCAGGTACTTGAACTTAATGCAGTCACCGCTGTTGTGAGCACTTCAGATACATTTCTGCCCTGGGAAATTCAACCTTACCACACTCCTGCCCCAAAGGCCAGACAGCCTATTGCCTCCTACAGAATAAGAGAATCACAGAACCTCTTTGCTCACGGTGATCTCTTGATCAAACTCTCATGCAAGCCTATATGATTGGTAGTGTCCATGTCACATGACTTGCAGTGTCTCAGCCACAAGGGAGGCTGGGAATTCAGCACTATTAGAAGATGAGGTTACATAATATAGAAATATCTCCAAATATTAAAAGGCTACTAAAACAAAATGGGCAGGCACAAGTGTGATTAATGTCCATGATAAGGATCTACAAAGTTCAATTAGCCTGTCTCCTTGCATCCCTTTGCTGAGGAAAGCAGCCCCAAGGAGGTCTTGATATATGAAGTTGCAGAGTTAATAGGATGTGTTGAATGAAACCAGTTCCACTCACCTGTCCACCTTGGACTGGGTCAGGCATTTTGTTTGAGTCAAAGGCAAGCACATGAAAGCGGGCCAAGCTGAACACAAGGAAATCAGCTGCTGCTTCTTGGTGTGGAATGAAACTTTGTTTAGTGGAGTCTCTCCATAATGAATCGTCATTATCATCATCATCTCAGACTTTTACTGAGCATTTATTATACACCTGGAACTGTGCTAAGTGCTTTACAAACAATATTTTGTATAATTCTCTAAACAAACTTACGGGGTAAGAACAAGTATCATCATTTTACAGGTGAAGATTCTGAGATTTATAATCCAAAATTTTTTTTTCTTTTAAGACAGGATCTTGCTCTATCGCCCAGGCTGGAGTGCACTGGTGTGATCATGGCTCGCTGCAGCTGGGACCTCCTGGGCTCAAGCAATCCTCCCACCTCAGCCTCCTGAGTAGCTGGGACTACAGGCATGTGCCACCATACCAGACTAATTTTTTTTTTCTTGAGAGGAAGTCTCACTCTGTCACCCAGGCTGGAGTGCAATGGCACAATCTCAGCTCACTGCAACCTCCGCCTCCCAGGTTCAAATGATTCTCCTGCCTCAGCCTCCCGAGTAGCTGGGATTACAGGCACCTGCCACCACGCCCAGCTAATTTTTGAATTTTCAGTAGAGATGGGGTTTCACCATGTTGGCCAGGCTGGTCCCAAACTCGTGACCTCAAGTGATCCACCTGCCTTGGCCTCCCAAACTGCTGGGATCACGGGCGTGAGCCACGGTGCCCAGCCCGGGCCAATTTTATTATTATTATTATTATTATTATTTTTTTTTTTTTGTAGAGACAAGAGTCTCACTATCTTGCCCAGGCTGGTCTTGAACTCCTGGGCTCAATTGATCCTCCTGACTCGGCTTCTCAGAGTGCTGGGATTACAAGTGTGAGTCAACATGCCTGGCCCTAAGACCTACAATATATAAATAAAAAGCTGGGGAAAAAAAAAAGCCGGGGGTTGGGCACAGTGGCTTATGCCTGTTATCCCATCACTTTGGGAGGCAGAGGTGGAAGGATCACTTGAGCCTAGGAGTTGGATTCCAGCCTGGGCAACACAGTGACACCCTGTCTCTACTAAAAAAAAAAAATTGTAATTAGCAGGGCATGGTGGTGTGCACCTGCAGTCCCAGCTACTTGGGAGGCTGAGATGGGAAGAACACCTGAGCCCAGGAGGTTGAGGCTGCAGTGAGTTACAATCCTGCCACTGCACTTCAGCCTGAGTGACAGAGCGAGATCCTGTCTCAAAAAAAGAAAAAAGAAAAAAAAGCTGGGATCTGAACCCAGGCTAACTGGAAAACTCAGGGTTTTCATCAGTACTGCATGAAAATCCATTAGAGCCTTTCTGGGAATTCAGGAATGCTCAGTACACATGGAGACGGCATGAACAGACATATGCTGTTTATCTACTCAGCATCCCTTCCTTGGGGAGCCACCCTTCCCTATGCCGTGTGCTTCTGTGAGCACTGATTCCATTCACTGCTTCTCCAGCCCCCAGTGGGACATGTGACCAGGGGCTGTCCAATCAGCGAGCTCTCCCTACTACTCTGGAGATGTTGCCTAAGAGGTTCTTTGCTTTTCTTTCTTCTGGAAGTAGCATGTAAGCAAATATATTCCTGGGAAAGAGGACCAAGCCTGAGGTGAATGCTTCAGAACAACAGGTCACCCCACTTCCACATGGCAATAAGCCTTTAAGAATTTGGAAAAGACTGTTGAGAGAACCCAGGGTTCTACCATGTCAAACAGAGACAACTTGGGTGTGAGAAGAGCTGTAAGGACAAGTGCTACAAAATATTACCTTGGCCGGGCACGGTGGCTCACGCCTGTAATCCAGCACTTTGGGAGGCCGAGGCCAGCAGGTCAGGAGTTCGAGACCAGCCTGACCGAACACGGAGAAACTCCGTGTCTACTAAAATACAAAATTAGCCGGGCATGGCGGTGCGTGCCTGTAATCCCAGCTACTCGGGAGGCTGAGGCAGGAGAATCACTTGAACCTGGGAGGCAGAGGTTGCGGTGAGACAAGATCGTGCCATTGCACTCCAGCCTGGGCAACAAGAGTGAAACTCCGTCTGAAAGAAAGAAAGGAAAGAAAGAAAGGAAAGAAGAAAGGAAAGAAAGAAAGGAAAGAAAGGAAAGAAAGGGAAAGAAAGAAAGAGAAAGGAAGGAAGGAAGGAAAGACCATATCTATCTATCTATCTATCTATCTCCTTGACAGTAAAAAAAAAAACAACAAAAAAAAAAACAACGTGTGGGCCATTGATGGTAATGAGGACCATGGAGTAAAAGCACTACTAACAACAGGCCGGGCGCGGTGGCTCAAGCCTGTAATCTCAGCACTTTGGGAGGCCGAGGCGGGTGGATCACGAGGTCAGGAAATCGAGACCATCCTGGCTAACACGATGAAACCCCATCTCTACTAAAAGATACAAAAAACTAGCCGGGCATGATGGCGGGCGCCTGTAGTCCCAGCTACTCGGGAGGCTGAGGCAAGAGAATGGCGTGAACCAGGGAGGCGGAGTTGCAGTGAGCCGAGATCGCGCCACTGCACTCCAGCTTGGGCCACTCCAGCTTGAGACTCCGTATCAAAAAAAAAAAAAAAAAAGAAGAAGTACTACTAACAAAGATACCAAATCAAACCAAAACTTCTTGGAATTGTTTTATTATGTTGACTTTTGGGGATGAACCTTTGCCTATAAAAGTGATTTGTATCAACTGCAGGTAATAGATATCTTTTTGTTTGTTAGGTGTAATCATCTTTTTTTTTTTTTTTTTTTTTTTTTTTTTTTTGAGACCGAGTGTCTCTCTGTCGCCCAGGCTGGAGTGCAGTGGCGCGATCTCGGCTCGCTGCAAGTTCCACCTCCCGGGTTCACACTATTCTCCTGCCTCAGCCTCCTGAGTAGCTGGGACTACAGGTGCCTGCCACCACGCCCAGCTAATTTTTTGAATTTTTAGTAGAGACGGGGTTTCACCGTGTTAGCCAGGATGGTCTTGATCTCCTGACCTTGTGATCCACTCGCCTCGGCCTCCCAAAGCGCTGGGATTACAGGCGTGAGCCACCATGCCCAGCTCATCATATTTAAAGAACCTCATCCAACAGATTGACTCCTTTAGCCAGTTGGATGCTTTTGTAGCTAATTCATCTGGCTTTCTCACCAGGACTCAATGTTACTCATAACCATGAGTCATGCTAAGATGGTAGTTGTCTGCAAGGCAGGCAATGAAATAGGGCCATCGGGGAAGTGCTGGGATGTTAAAAATGAGGAGAATGCCACCAAGAGTGGCTGCCTAACAAGGGGCCAGGAGTCTGGAGCAAGAAATATCAAAAACACCAGAGGATATCAGCCCAGATCCCTTTTATCCCAGACTGCCTTGGGGTCCCTGTGCTCTCCTCACTCACTGATTCTCAAAGCTTGGGGCAAGAGCTTGGCATCAGCGCCTGAACCCTAACCCACGCCAAGAAATGAAACTGACGCTCTCTCCAGTTTTGCTCTATGGTCTTCCGTCATCATTAAACCATCTCTTCTTTTTGTTTTCAAGTAAAAATTTCCTTAAGTATAAAGGAAATACCTGCTCCTTATATAAAATCTGGAAACTATTTAAAAAAGAGAAAAAAGAAAATGACCCTTAACTTTGCCACCCAAAGACAGTACTAGTGCCACTTTAGTCCCCTTTCTTTCCAATGTCTCTTCTATGATAAAAGTATTATCCAGGGATTTGAAGAGTTTATTTTAGTTCTAAGTTCTTCTGGGTCTTTGCTTTTGGAAAAGCCACCAATTAAAACAATCAATAATAATGATTTTAGTGTCAACATTACCGTAATAAGACACTGGCTTAGAATGAGAGGAATGATAGTGGATCTTTTTCTATCTTAGCTCCATTCACAAATAACTTCCTGTTTACTCATTGGTCTTCTAAAGTGCCATTTGGAGAATACCATTCTAATCATAGGCAGAGATAACAATCTACCTCAATTCAAATTGCTGTTTATTTGTTCCTCAAGGAAAAGGTTTACATTCATTACTCACTAAACAACTGAACTGGTTTGTTGTGTGTTACAAGATTGCTTAAGGGTTGTACTTCTGAAAAAGTAAGCTAACTACCTAACAGGCATTATCCAAATAAATGTTACATGCAAACAAAGTCTTTAGAACTATGAGACTGTGTAATTTATAGATTCTTTAAAGTTCTGAGTGTAACAGAGAACTAACTGCAAAATTTACATATATACACATACACCTGTGTATATTTACATGTTTGTATATATACACATGTATACACATGATCATGGCTATGAACACAGTCCTAAAACCATTATATTAATAAAACTAGTTTAATGTATGTGCCTTGAGTCTTGTCCTCAAATTCTGAAAACATTTTAAGTCCTATAAACGCTTTTAAAATAAACCCAACATAAGCTTTATTTTCCTAAGAAATAAGTAGAACCCTGAATATGTATTTTTTTTCCTGCTAAGATAGTTGCAAAAGATCTATATGGGAAAGCATCATTCTAAGTAAATTCTAAGTGAAGCCAAAATGCTTGAATATCAAAGTATATTTATTTTGGGTATTAAATGGTTATTAATTTTTAAAAACAGCAAGAGACTTACCCATTTGATTGAATTTGATAGGATTATAGCTCATCATCGAGACTAGAGCTTTTTCTCAGAGACACTGGAATTGATGCTTCTTAACAGGGACATATTTGCCAGATGCTAATGACAGGAGTATCCTGGCCCGCTGTGTAGGACTAATTGTACAAATAGGAAGTTGGAGCAACAGAAGCACTGTCTCTGCCTGGAGCTGGCAGTTGTCTCTGTTTTCTCAATTGGTAATGTTTCCATTGGCAGTATCTAGAGAATTTTTTGTTTGTTTCATTTTCCTTTTACCTTGGAGGTATATTTAGGTGTTGTTTATATGTACTGGGTATTCTGAGCAAAATAACAGGCATATAAATATATGTATAATGTACACATACACATTACTTCCCACGTATTAGCTTTTATGCATATTAGATATGGATACATGTATAAATGTGTGTATGCATCTGTGTGTGCATCTGTGCCTCTCCCAGACAATGCTGGAGACACACGCAAATTTTCACTCTTTGAAACTCCTTTCTCTAAATTCCAGACTGACCACCCTTTTCTCCCTACATATTTCCTTCTAATGCTATGGCTTTTTTTTTTTTTAACATTCACTGAGACTTCTTTAGATTTTTAAGTCCCAGCTAATCCAAAAATCATTCCTTTTCCCTCCCTCTCTCTGCTCCTCCCTCCCTCCCTTTCTTCCACAAGTTATCAAGAGCCTACTCTATGCCAAGTGCTGCACTAGGCACTGTAGATAACAGTGTTGGTTAGAAGAGACCTGGTTCTTGCCCTTACTGTTGAGAATGCTCTTTAAGGTTATTTCTTCAATTAGTCTCATTCATTTTGTATTGTGTTGATTTGGGTCTTCTGAAAAGCAGACACCAGTACAGAATTTGATTCTGCAAGAGATCAATGTGCAAGAGACGTATCAGGGGAAAGGTCTATGGAGGACAAAGGGAAGAAGAACCGTGAGTAGGTGGAGCCTGGAACTGCAATGCAGGTCTGACACCTGTGAGAGGAGTTAGGGAAAGAAGGGGGTTTGGGCTGGAAGTGCTTCAGATCATAGTGCAGCCCTGAGTAAAATATTGGCCAGGGCAATGAGGAGCTCTAGCAAAGATGGCCTGCTAGAGGAGACCTGTGTTGTGGAGGAGCCACCTGGCTCTGGTACCCCTGCCTTGTTCAGTCATTGGCTGGGCAGCCTGGCTAGAGTATGGCTTGGCATGTGTGATGCAGCAGATCCCAAGAGTGTGGCAGATGGAGGCTGCCAACTAATGACAGTCCTTTGGCAGATTCTGTCTTGGAGGAGATCTATGTGGTACACTCCCTTGGCTGTCATATGGTTGGATTTTAGGGTTTTATTCTCAGAGGCAACTTTATTTTCAAGTTCTCGGTATAGGTGGAAGTAGAGTGGGAGGGCTGCCCGCATGTAAAGACTACAGCTATCAAGAATTGAACTTTGTGACACTCACACAAGATTATGCTTGAGTGCTTACTGGTTTTATGAGGGAGGTCACTACATTGTGTTATTTCAATACTATATTGAAAGTGTATGTGGGATGTTATGGTCCTTCCTGGTATCACAAATATAGGGATATCTTTGGACTGCATTTCTCCTTTTCTTAAAACAAAACAAAACAAAACCCCTTACACTATTATTAACAACAAAAGACTTGTAGCAGAGGAAAATAAAGATCAAGTGTCTTAGTCTGTTTGGGCTGCTATAACAAAAATACCATATATTGAGTGTCTTAGGGACAATACACATCTCCCTCACAGTTCTAGAGGCTGGGAAGTTCCAGATCAAGGTGCTGGCAGATTCTGTGCCTGGTGAGGGCCTGTTCCTCACAGACAGCCCCTTCTCACCGAGTCCTCACATGGTGGAACAGGCAAGGCAGCTCTCTGGGGCCCCTATTTATTA
Organism: Homo sapiens; assembly: GCF_000001405.40. NCBI lineage: Eukaryota > Metazoa > Chordata > Mammalia > Primates > Hominidae > Homo > Homo sapiens. Next base: position 142,899,722 of record NC_000003.12, read on the forward strand.
TTATGTTTTTGAGACAGGGTCTCACTTTGTCACCCAGCCAGGAGCACAGTGTTGTGAACATTGCTCACTGCAGCCTCAACCTCCCAGGCCCATGCAATCCTCCCACCACAGCCCCACAAGTAGTTAGCTAGGAATACAGGCACACACCACTACTCCTGGCAATTTTTTTTTTTTTGTATTTTTTGTAGAGACAGGGTTTTGCCATGTTGCCCAGGGTGGTCTCAAACTCCTGAGCTAAAGTGATCCCCCTGCCTTGGCCTCCCAAACTGCTGAAATTACAGGCATGAGCCACTGTGCCTGGCCTGGGGCTTCTTTTATAAGGACATGAATTCTATTCATGAGGGCTCCACCCTCATTCCCTAATCACCGAAAGGACCCACCTCCTGATACCCTGAGGATTAGGATTTTCACATGTGAATTTTGGGGGGACATAAACATTCAGACTGCAGCACCAAGCAGGAAAAAATGAATTTAAAAAGAGAAACTACAAAACCATGTGATTATCTCCAGAGTAATTACCCAACTGCACTTGACTGAACCCTTCCTCCAAGTTGTCATCTCATCAAAGATAGTTCTTGCAGATCTGAAAACTTAAGTAGTTCAAAGTATCTTAACCAGAAACATACCAGGTAAATAACTCTCTATCTTCCAAATTATTACTACCAAACAAATTTTGTAATAGCAAAACCAACAATTAACTGAACTTTTCAGGGCATAAGGAAAATAAAGGAATCATTAAATGTTCAAGTGGGTAGTTATTTCAGATGAAGATCTGGTAGTTGGACTTTTTTTTTTTAATCTCTGCAAAAAAGCACTACAGTAACAAAATAAACTTTTTCTTGGCTTCCAAAAGAGGAACTATGAGAACATTAGACACAATAAGTAGCCAAGAAAGTGATCAGATCTTCCTAAATTGTTTTTTTCTTGAAGTTGAATCTCCACTTATCCAAAATACTAGCTCCATTACGTTCATTTTGAAACATAATAATGATTACCTTAATATTGTTCTAAGAAACAGTAAATTCCAACACTTAAGTATAACACAGCTAATTATCTAGATGCTGTCCAATACAGTAGCTATAGCATCTAGATAATTAGCTGTGTTATACTAAGTGTTGGAATTTACTGTTTCTTAGCTACAAGTGGCTATTCAATTTAAACTTACATTAATTAAAATAAGGTTTTAAAAAAATTAGTTCCTCAGTTGTGCTAGTCACATTTCAAATGTCCCAAGAGCCACAGGTACTGGACAATGCTGATCCAGAGGAAGGATTGGACTTCTAAGCTAAATTAGCTGGTATACTGGAGAGTCAAACAGCTTCTCACTTATAAATGGTTAAACAATAAGTTTGACCTTAGCAAATGCTTTTAACTTCTCTCTTTGCTATGAGAACTCCTTTCCCCCTTTCCTTTTTCCCTTGGTCCTTCCTTCCCTTTCTTGGTTTATTCTTTTGTTTTCTGGTGAGAAAACAAAAAAACTCCTAAACATTCACAACAGGATTAGCCTTCCCCTCTCACATTTGGGGTTTAAAGCCCAAAGGAAAAGACAGATCAGTTAGAGTTTCAAGACAGTGGCCGGGCATGCTGGCTCATGTCTGTAGTCCCAGCACTTTGGGAGGCTGAGGCAGGTGGATTGCTTGAGGCCAGGAGTTCGAGACCAGCCTGGCCAACACGGCGAAACCTGGTCTCTAATAAAAATACACAAATTAGCCGGGCATGGTGGCAGGCACCTGTAATCCCAGCTACTCGGGAGGCTGAGACACAAGAATCACTTGAACCCGGGAGGCGGAGGTTGTAGTGAGCTAAGAATGTGCCACTGCACTCCAGCCTGGGCAACGGAGCGAGAATTTGTCTCAAAAAAAAAGAAAAGAATAGAAAGAAAAAGAAAAAAGAAATAGTAATCAGCTAGGGATCCATACCCTTCCTCTTGGAAATGAGCTTTCACCTAGGTTAAATCCAATGTTTTAGAATTAAACAAGATCATATCATCTTAATTCTATGTTTTACTTATCCAAGTAAAAAAAAAAGACCTTAGAGCTACAAAACATGAAAAATATATTTGAAAGTTAAGAAAAATAGCTTTAATTATATTTTCAGAGGAGATTTTAAAAATCAATTACGTTTTCCTAAAGACATATTCCTAAAATTTTACAATATGTAAAAAATATGATCATTTTAAAGATTCAGAAATAATTTTATATTTAGTATGATCAAATGTCATGTCTACTAGTGACACTGATGCATAGTAATAGAATCTTACCCATCACACCAGATACTAATTTTAATCAAGTAATCTTTACGTGAGTAGAAACATTCATTCACAGCCGGGTGCGGTGGCTCACGCCTGTAATCCCAGCACTTTGGGAGGCCAAGGCAGGCGGATCACGAGGTCAGGAGATCGAGACCATACTGGCTAACATGGTGAAACCCCATCTCTACTAAAAATACAAAAAACTAGCCGGGCGTGGTGGCGGGCGCCTGTAGTCCCAGCTACTAGGGAGGCTGAGGCAGAAGAATGGCGTCAACCCGGAAGGCGGAGGTTGCAGTGAGCAGAGATCGCGCCACTGCACTCCAGCCTGGGCGACAGAGAGAGACTCCGTCTAAAAAAAAAAATTCATTCACTTTATCGATTGTGCAGCATATGTGAATCTTACAGTTATAGATCAAGATGTCTCAGAAATGGGACTTTCTTTATTCCTCTATAACTGAAACTAAACCATCTCTCAAGCCCCAGATAGCAGAAAATCTATTCTTGCCAAATGACTCTAAACTGAATAATTTCCAGATTCTTCTCAGTTTATTTTGGATAATAACTCAGGCAATTCAGTCATATCCTGGGTTGGTACACTTCCCTTCTCTTCTCTTTCTCCAAGGGGCGATCTCATTTATTCATTCATCAAATATTTATTGAGCTCCGCTTATGCACCAGGAACTATAGTAGTGGGGGTATAGCAGTAAAGAAGAAAAATTCTTGCTCTTGAGGAGTATATGTTCCAATGGGAAGATGAACAATAAGGAAGCAAACAAATACATGAAAAATATCTTCAGTGATAAACACTCTGTAGAGAATTAAAACAATGTGGTGTGATAAAGAAGCCTGGGTGAGCAGGGAGTCCTTACTGTGGTAGTATTTAGACTGAGAGCTGAACAATAAAAGAATAAGAAAGGGAAAAGAGCCCTTCAGGTGAAGGGAACAGCAAGCAAAAAGACTCAAGTCGACCGTGAGAAAGAGCTTGGATTGTAAAAAGTTTCTGAAGGCTTGCAAGGTCTCCAGCCACCAGCAAAAGGGACACTGCCTCTCCTCCCTGACCCTGAGCAAAGCACAAGGCTGCCTCAATAAGAGAGGGACCTGGGAAACTAGAAAATTCTAGGAAAAAAAATTCAACATTATCTTAGAGTTATACAAAAATAAAAAATCTTTGATAAGCTTGTGCATTTCTTATCTTTTATTTTCCATTCCTTGCCTTTCTTATTTTTGGGGTTTAGTAGAAAATAAAAAGGGTAGTAGGAAAGTCTAAATCGAGCTTGATAATAGCGTAATTTGAAGGAAGACACAAGAGGACCCTTTTTCTTGATGGGAACATTGTCTTTCAATTGAGCACCCAAAAAGACAACACATATCACAGAGTTGTTTGGGACCTCCTTTATGTTAATGTGATTTTTAAAAACGTGTCACAAATAAATGAACTAATGTATTCTTTATATTCTTTAAAAAGTTTTTATTCCTTGAGGATGTGTCATCTATCCATTCCATTTGTCCATCTGTCCGTTCATCCACCGTTGGGCAGATTTAATTGAACGTTCAAAGGTGAGCTCCTCTTCCAGTCAGTCTTCTGTGATTTCTTCAGCCCTCATTTATCTCTCTTCCCTCAGAATCTCTATAGCTCTTTCTTCACACTGCACAATTTAGCACCTTATGATGTGTTAATGTACATTATCCATTCTGATCATCACAAAGGTGGCAAGAATTAGACAGGGTAGATATGGCTATATTCCTATTTTAATAATGAGGAAGCCATGGCCCAGAGTATTGACATACATGAATATTCTGTTATTCTAGTAAATATGCATCTGCCTACTTTCTTACAAAGTTAAACATATACTTTTGACTTGGAGATCCCACTCCTAGGTAATTTGCCCAAGAGAAATAAAAACATATGTCCACACAAAGACTTGTACACAAATGCTGATTGTAGCTTTATTCATAACAGCTAAAAGCTGAAATAGCCCTCGTGTTTATCAATAGAATAGATAAACAAGCTGTGGTATATGTATACAATGGAAAACATTATACTGGCTGGGCTAGGTGGTTTATGCCTGTAATCCCAGCACTTTGGGAGGCCGAGGCTGGTGGATCACTTGAGGCTGGGAGTTTGAGACCAACCTCGCCAACATGGTGAAACCCCATCTCTAGAGAAAATACAAAAATTAGCCAGGCATGGTGGCTGCACCTGTAATCCCATCCTAGCTACTTGGGAAGCTGAGGCAGGAGAATTGCTTGAACCCAGGAGGCGGATGTTGCAGTGAGCTGAGATTGTGCCACTGCACTCAAGCCTGGGCAACAGAGCAAGATCCCCAACTTAAAAAAAAAACCAACAACAAACAAACATATATATACATATATAACTGAGGTGGCCCTACCTGTGGCCTGGCCTTGGTAAACACTGGGACAGAGGGGTGAGTTGGTGGTAGAGCAGGAGAGGAGAGAAGGAGGCAGGGACTATGTCTGGGTCTGTGGGTAAGCCAGGGCTCCCTGAGAGTTGGGGAGCCTCTCAAGACTGCAGCACTTGCTGGCTTCCTTCAGAGGCTGAGGCTCTCCAGTGGAAAGGAAGTGAAAATTTTCCCAAAGTGTGGACTCCAGAGAAGATGGCTGCTTACAAGTGAGATGACAGAAATCGGTCCTTCTGGAGAATCTGACTTGGTGCTGGTCACTTGGAGCCCTATGGTGTTGAGCTGCTCCAGATTCCTGGTGACAGCAAGACTGGTGCTGAGACGAAGGTTTGTTGTCAACGCTCCCTTCTTGTAAGAACAGTGCCCAGATTGTCCTTTTGGACTCTTAGAGCAAGTTGTCCTGGTGAGGACAGCTCCACCCATCTCTAAGTGGGAGCGATGACTCAGGCCACAGTTAATCAGAGCTTCACCCTGCCTAGCCACAGGGATTTCTTCAGGGGCATATGACTGCCACCTCCCCAGAGCCACTGGGATGCTGTGAGACATTTTCTGAAACAGTGGCATGTGGTAGTATTCTTTCCTCTAAAGCCGAGACTTGAGACGATACAGGGTCAAATCTGCTGTCGCCATCTTGAGAGCACTGGGGCCACCGCAGAGGAAATGGATAAGAGACAGAGAGAAACCAGCCATGCCTAACAGGTCTACTCTTGGGCGTTTTGTTGTTGTTGTTGTTTTCTCACTCAGTTCCCCAACAAGTTTACTTCTTGCTTAAACCCACTGGGGTCGGATTTTCTGTTACATGAGGCTGAAGTTGGCAAGTTCCTGTTACTGCCTCTATCTGGAATTCCCCTATGTGGTCACATCCCCATCTACTGGCAAAGACCTTCATCTCTTTCAAGACTCACTTTAAGCACCGACCACCTGTATGCCTTTCCTACCCGCTGCCTCTCATGGCACTGATTCCTCCTTTATTTTCCCCCATTGTACTCTGTACACACTTTTATCATAGCACCTAAATTATTTGAAACCCCTTGTTTCTATGGGTATGGGTTTCTGTCTATAAGATCATCAATCTGTTGAAGGTAGGGGCTATTTGTGGGCTTTGTGTCTTCAGAGTCTAGCCCAGTGTCTGACACATGGTAGGTTTATGACTAGTATTTGTTGCATGAATGAATGAATGGATGAGGCAAGAGCCTGCCCCTAAGTTTTGTTAATAAAAGATATTCACATCTCAGCAGGTAAACACAGTGAGGCCTTGAAGAACTTGGAATGGATAATGGAAGGAACCAATCTACTTGTCAGTTGGTCTGTCTCAATGTCCTTGGGCATCACTCAACACTGGGACTCCCAGGCCAGGAGAATGATTCATGCTTAGGAGCAGAAAGTTCAGAGCTGTTTAAATGCTACCTGTACCCAGCACTGATTTTTGTAGCAACTATTGCCGAACTGCTCCCAGGTAGGGAGCTCAGTGGCTGGCTCTGGACAACCAGAGGCATAAAACTGAGGAAATGAAATGGGAGCTGATGAAGCAGTTTCTAAGCATTTAATACATTCTTTTTGATCATTTGAATTTGTTTCTTATAGGCATTTTTTTCTCTCCATTAATATGAGAAACTGTGTAGGGTTGTAAATATGACCAATAGTGTTTCAGTAGACAGCATGGTCAGGCGTGAGCAGGGCACGAGAGGGTTCCCCACACACACACTAGGAATGTCAGGTGACCACCAGGTGATAGTCAGGCAGTTTTGTTAACTGTCTCTCTAAAATAATAATTGGTCACAGCCAGTGCCAGGAGAAGGCAGTCTCCTAAAAGAAAACACCTGAAACTGGTTATCAGCAGCTTCCCGATGAGATCTCAGGAGTTGAGTGAGGGGGCTCAGGCATGCTCATTAGGAGACAAAATGGCAAAGTCTAACTGGCATATGACCTTCTTCTAGGAATGCTAGACTGGTAAGGGGAGAGCTCCTCAAGTGAGCATGCATACAACTCCAGTAAACATACTGGGTGTGGCCCCTCCCAAGCGTGTCACGTGCGGGCAGCATGCAGGCTGCCCACCCCAAGGGAAGACTCAGGGGATAAGTAACGCAAGACCCCGGAAGTATGCCGACATATAAAACCCCAAATCAAGAAGTCAAACGGTGCACTTGATCTCTCAAGTTGCCTGCTTGGCCCTCTTCCGAGTGTACTCTTCTTCCTTTCATTCCTGCTCTAAAGCTTTTTAATAAACTTTCACTCCTGCTCTAAAACTTGACTCTGTCTCTCCTTCCACCATATGCCCCTCAGTCGAATTCTTTCTTCTGAGGAGAATTGAGGTTGCTGCAGACCTGTACAGATAGGGATACGCTGCCAGAACAAAATTAGATTAATACATGTAAACAGAAAATGTTTGAAGCACCACATAATTTTCTAAAATTGTCTTTAAGACAATTGCAGTAAATAGGCCTTCTTAACTGTCATGTTTTCGTTTACTGATGTTACTGGAAGAGGTCTTGACTGAAAGTTGTCCAGGTTCTTGGCATTTTGAAGAAAGAATTGGACAAAATGCACGGCAAAGCAAGGAAACAATGAGGCAATGAAAGCAGAGAGTTATTGCAAATGAAAGTACACTCCACAGTGTGGGAGTGGGCCTGAGCAGCAGCTCAAGGGCCCCAGATACAGAATCTTCTGGGGTCCAAATACCCCCTAGAGGTTTTCCACTGGCCACTTGGTGTTCACCCCATGTAAATGAAGTGGTGGCCTGCAATCAGTCTGGAAAGCAACCAATCAGAGGTTAAAGTGAAGTTACAAAGTTACACTTCTGTGCAAACCAAGGCTTGACCCGCAATCAGTCTGATTGGACAGTAACCAATCAGAAGCTGAAGTGAAGTTCTAAAGTTACACTCCTGGCCAGGCGCGGTGGCTCACGCCTGTAATCCCAGTACTTTGGGAGGCCAAGGAGGGCAGATCATCTGAGGTTGGGAGTTCGAGACCAGCCTGACCGACATGGAGAAACCCCACCTCTACTAAAAATACAAAAAAAAAATTGGCCAGGCGTGGTGGCGCATGCCTGTAATCCCAGCTACTGGGGAGGCTGAGGCAGGAGAATCACTTGAACCCGGGAGGTGGAGGTTGCAGTGAGCTATGGCGCCATTGCACTCCAGCCTGGGTGACAGAGCGAGACTCTGTCTCAAAAAAAAAAAAAGTTACACTCCTATGCAAACGTTTTCAATTTTCCATCCGCTGCCAGGAAAGGTGGGGTTTTGCAAAGGGAGTAGCCTCTGGTCCTTTTGGTACTTAGATGTGGAAAGTTGGGGCTTTCCTTTCGATTTAGTTCTAGGAAGTCAGGGTGAATCAGCCTTAGTTACCTGCCTCCAGACCCTATTCTCCTGCCTCGCTGATCTTGTTGGCTTTCCCTGTTTCCCAAATTAGAAGGTGGCCAACTCCAAACTCTATTATCTATTAGCTAGAAGACTGGGCAAAGTCATTCAACATAACAAGGTTATAATTTTAGCACCTCTTCAGTGAGACAATAAAACCATCGTCCCTACTTACATCTCATAGTTATAATGGGAGTAAATGAAAAGAGAAAAGGGAAATGAAAATTAGCTTGCATGCCTTCACATTCCCAGTCTTTTTCTGCTTGTTTCATAGATTGCATCTGTCAGGATACTCTTCGTTGAGAGTGACAGAGAAAAATAACACAAACACCCTTAAGCAAAACCAAGATGCATTGGCTCTCATAACTGAAAAATCTAAAGGCAGATCTAGACTCAGATGGTATCACTGGAATCCAACCACTCTCTCTCTCACCTCTGTTCTCCATGCTAGCTCAATTTGCAAACATTACTGTCCCACAAGGTTACAAGATGCCTGCAGCAGCAGCAGACCTCATTTGAATCTATTATCAAAGAAGTAATTATCCTTTTCCTAGAATTCCCAGCAAAACCACATTGAGTTTTATTGGCTTTGTTTGAATCATGTACTCATCCCTGAACAAATCATTGTGACCAAATGAAAAGATATTCTTTCTAATTGGCTAGGCTTGTATAACATGCCATACATCAAGTCAAGGGTGGAGTCAACTGCACCGTAATTTTATGAACTGAGACAGGTAGAGCTTCTGATCCTCCTGAGGAAAATCATGCCATAGTTACCAGGTAGACGAATGGAGGCTGAGTGACAACAGATGCCCATTACCCAGATGCAGCTCTTAATACCTCAGGCCACAAGGCGGGTGGTAGTGGCAGGAGGCAGATGGGAGGGACAAACAGGTTTACAAAAGCATACAAACTAGAATTCTTCTGGCTTTATCCCCACCTGCTGTGTGGAAACCCCAGCCCCTCAGCTTCCTCCCAAATTGTCCTGGGTGTTCCTAGAGGCTCTCCTAATGAGGAGTTTCATGTGCACTTATAAAATAGTTCTTTGGGATAACACTCAGCACCTGTAACCCCTCTCTTCCTTTGCTATGGTCTCCTGCGAATTTTCTGTGGCTGCCAAGACCAAGATGCTCACAGTACCAGTGCTGCTGCTACTGTCTCAAATGTTCCAGAAGCAGCAGAGACACTGTGTATATTGTTGAAAGGAATAAACCCTTCAAAAAATGGTGTCTCTTCCCACTTCTCCAAGTGCCTTGAGGACGGTACCCTCACTCTCATTTCTGCCACCCACTCCCTCTTACTTGATAGATGGAGGCCAGGAGTTGTGTGCCCAGCCAATGGGTAAGCCAAGAGATGGGGCTAGGAGACCATTATTTGTGATTGTAAAATCAAGGGTATGGAGCCGTACAGCCAAGGGCAATTCCTGGATGTAGTGCCCTGCTCAAACCCCAGCTCAGAGCCCAAGTACAGGAAGTGAATGAGGGGAGTAGATGGTTGAGGAGCACCAAGGTGGAGAGATGGACTTGAGCTTGAGTTAATTGCCTGATTAGTATCACATAGCTTCTCTCCCAGAGCTGCTGGTGGGTAGGCTAGAATTCCGAGAGGGGCTATGCTTATTGACTTGGCCACAGATATTTTAGTTAAAAACAGGCTTGTGAGTTGTTACCTACTTTTTCTTGCTGCCCTCTTGCACTGTGAGTTCCAGAGGCTGGGCTGGCCATGAGTCAACGTGATAGACTACTGAGAACCATGCCTCTCCTTCAGTGCTAGCTTTTATTGTCGTTGGACCAGGCCCAGTGTCCCAACTCTTTCTCCCCTAGGTGGGTATTTCCCTGGGGCTCATTTCTTCTTCATGGAAACACATGCCTGGGAAGGATGGTAGCAGTGAAGCTGACCACCCTGCTGGTCCTCCAGGCAGTGTTTAAACACTGAAGAATGGACATTATAAATGCTAACATCATCTAATACCAACTGAGATCTTGCTATGTGGCAGGCAGAATTTTAAGGACTATATATGTATTGTCTCATTCTCTCTTTATTGTGAGTTAGGAGCTATTATTAGCCATAGTTTAGAGATGAGATCATTGAGGCAAAGAAAGGTTTAGTGAATGTCACCCTACCTTGTCAGATATTTGTCTATGTCAATCACTGATATATTTCCAGTGCTCAACACTGGAACTCTCAGTGCCTGACTTTCTATATGTTATTCTACTTTATTTTACAGAGACAGGATCTCACTCTGTTGCCCAGGGTGGTCTTGAACTCCTGGCCTCAACCCATCCTTCCATCTCAGCCTCCCGGAGTGCTGGGATTACAGGCATGAACCACTGCACCTGACCTCAGTGCCTAACTTATAGCAGTTATTCAGTAAATGTTTATTGAATTGATGGAAGGTTGAGTGGGTCCTGTGGTGGGCCTCCCTGATCTTGCATTCAGGACCAAGGCACTCATTCCCTCAGCTGCTAAAGGCTCTTAGCTGGCATCTGTCCAGGAATTTCCCACAGAACATGTTTACAACCCTTTCCCAAGGACAACACCCAATGACTGGTCTATGCTGGAGATAAAGGATACGTCCCAATTTTGGAGGACTCTGAAAAGGCCACCCCAGTTCCAGCTGAGGATGGAATTAGTAGAGGCATCTGTTGCATCTGCATAGGAGTTCAGCCTCTCCCTCTGCCTGGCCCTGCTTCCCTCACTTCTTTATGGGTGTCATTACTGACTACACCCCTCCGTGAACCACTTGCCCATGAGTCTCCATCTCAAAGTCTGTTTCCAGGGAAACTGACCCAAGGCAGTTGGAATGTGTTATTCACACAGCCTTGTGGCTCCCACCTCAACAATACTCTGTATAGACTGGCTCTTTCTCTGAAGCCATTTAAGGCAACATGGTAGCTGCTTGCTCCCAAATACAGTGTTGTGAAAACCTATGCTGTCCTCTCTGAAACCAGGAAGTTCAAGAAGATGCCACCTCTTAACCCTGCTGTTCTCACTAAAGCTGGACTCCTTGTTCAGCCCTGCAGCTGGGAATGGCTCTCGCCATCATGCCCCAGTGCAGATCCCTGCCCTATGCCACAGCAATAAGTCAAGACACAAACAATGATGCTTCTTTCCCATGGAACTCTCTCAGGAGCTCCACCCCTGCTTTGCGGCACTTCTATATGCCCTCCCCCGGCAACACTCTCAGGCCATGCCAGTGGCCAAGGCTTCAGTGACCAGTACCAGTGTTCCCCCAGTGAAGTAATGGCACCCTGGCCATTGGTTCAGTCTTTGCCTACCTGTGAGGTGAATTTCCTCAGAGCTCTCTTGTTCTTTCTTCCCATCTGCCTGTTGTCAGGCCACATTCTGTATACTTTTGAACCACAGAATGGGTCTACTTCCTCCCCTCTGCTCCTTTGTAATTTTCCTGACTCTCCACTCCCCTTATCTCTCCCCAAGAACCACCAAGCTCTGCAAATAGTACTGAATTTGTTGAAGCCAGGAAGGAGGAGAGGTGTAGGAGAAGACAAGATCTGTTTGCAGAGACAAGACTCAGACAACATCTTCTCATCAACTTGATGAACCTGGCTTCTTTACTTCGTCATCTATGATATGGGGATGCTTCATTACTTTGTTAAGATAATTCAGTAAGGGAATGCATGCAAAGCACTTGGTATTGTGCCCAGCATGGAGTGAATGTGCCATAAGTGGCATTTGTGCCAGTTACCAGACTTTGGTTTCTTAGCTCCAAACCCACCCTTCTGTGCTTTGTGAACTGGGACTCTGCAGATCCCATTGCTGTTTTACCAGTTGTTCCCTGTCGGGCTTTGTCAATAGGGAAACCAGAGGGAGTCTGTGAGGCTGGAGGAAGGGAAGGGGACTGGCTCTTCCCTATGGACGTGTAGCTACTTCCTGTTCCCATGAGTATCACATCAGCAGCTTCTGGATCCAGTTTGCAGTTTTTCCCTCACTTGCAGGACCAGTCTCATTGCACACCACCCCCAGCCCCCACCACAACCCCTAGAAATGTCAACACAAACCTGTTGGTGCCCCAAATGTCCTATGTTGCTCTTCCAGCTTGTTCCCCCTCCCCCCATCTTCAGGAATGGTAGCTGTTTCTCTTATTATCTTTTCAGTTACCTAGTGAACAACTGGTGTGGCTTCTGTCTCCTGATTGGACTCTGATGAATACAACATAGTTTTTCTATTTTATGAATGAGAAAACAAAGGCTCATGTAGGTTAATGAACTCTCCAAGGCCACAGAGTTGGGAGGTAGCTCTTTAGGATTTGAACTGAGGTCTACCTGATGCCAGAACTGGTGCCTTTTGTAATTTAGAACACAGCTGAGATAAGCCATGTTGCTCTCACTCCAGGACACTGTCACCTTTTCATTCCTTCTTTGGCCTCACCCAGTGCAATATGTGAGGATGTTCTCCACCCTCTACCCTGGGCCTGGAACTACGGATGAAGCACAGCTGCGGCATGGTTGAAAATGTGGCATTAAATGCCGCTGCCTCTGAAGCTAGCTTCCTCTCTAAGATCCTGTATTTAAGAAGATGATTCTAACCAACTTTTGAAATGTTCAGTAAGTAAAAAGGAATAAATCGTAAATCAGTTATGAAACTCTCAGATGCTAGTGAATCTAAGAGGATTCACTAAGGGTTATAAAATTATCTTGACAGAAACAGATTCCCTAGGCCTGACCCAGAATTCTGTGAAGAGAAGAAAAACCCTCAAAACAGTGCTATTTTGACTTCACTTTTATTTTAAAAGAAGTTTCATGGAGTACTTTTTGATGGAAGGCAGGTGGTCAGAGAGAAGAAAGGGAGTCAGGCCAGAAGAGAAATCTTTCGTATCAAGCAAGGATGGACTACTCATCTTTTAAAGACAAGAAGCCGGCGTTCTAATAGACTAGTCGGGGAAAGGCACAATGACATTACTGGGAATCTGGCCAAAGCAGGGACTATTAATGGATGTTTCTGACTTTGTTCGGAATATTCCTGGAACTCAATGTCTTTATAAAGCCATACAGATATAATTTTTTTCTAATATGAAGAACACCACAGTCCATTAACAGAAATTGATCTATATTTTAATTTAACTTAATTAGAAATAGTATCCCAAAGAAAAACAAGTGAGTTGTCAAATAATCATTGTCAAGAAAGAATGAGTAATGTTATTAGACAAATGGAAAAAGCCGTTCTGTTTATGAAAACAGAAAATACAGTCCAAGTCCTGGATCATTACCTAGGAATGAGGGCAGAGTTCTCATTCCAGGCTGTGATAAGTTGCAATGCTTGATATTTTTCTGCTGGGAAAAACAGAATGAAGTAAACCAAAAAGTCATTTTTATAAATTTGAAGAACTAAGGCACCTAATTTTGTGTTACTAAGAAAGAATGTCCCTAGGAAAATCACTTATAAATAAAATTTTTGTAAGAAATAGATTCTCAGAATAATGCCAGAGACTTGAACATTCAGAATTTATTAAATATTAAGTGTTGCCAAGTAAAAGCCAAGAAAGGTAAATATTTCCCCTATCTAGCTGCTTCTCTCTATTATTCCAACATTTCACGTTTTCGTCGACTATATTCTACCTGGCTATTTCTAGGAGGTTCCTGTTTTTTATGCTGTTTACTCATTACTGAATGTAAAGAAAGAAAAACGACAGAATCCACTGATTTTTCTGCCCATCTGATAGCTTCCTAAAGTAACATATTTTATAAGCTTTTGCATGACTATTACTAAGAGCACTGTTAGAGTATTTCCTAAGATTATTATTTTTTTCATTCTTCAGTCAGCAATGAAAGTCATGGCAGTGTGGTGTTCTGGATAAGATCACACTCTTCAATAGCCGACATACCTGTGTTTGGAGACTTGGTTCAACCATTCACTAGCTGCATGACCTTGGGGAGATTACTTAACTTCTCCAAGCCTTAATTTCCTCATCTGTAAAATGGGGTAATGAAAGTAGCCACCTTATTGGACTGAAGAGTAAATCAAATTATCTACTTGGCACACAGTATGTGTGTGTCATTCCATGGGGGAGTTACTATTTAATAAGAATGCAGGGGCCCAGAACAGGATTGGAGTGAGGGTTACCTCTTGCTAAGGCATCAGCTGTGTATGATAAAGAAACACACCCATGATCCATGATAATTGATACTTTAGAAATTTTATTGTATATGTTTAAGGTGTACAACATGATGTTTTGCTATACATATACATCATGAAATGGTTACTGTAGTCAAGAATATAAACATATCCATCATCTCACATAACTACCCATATTTTATGTGTGTGGCAAGATCACCTACATTTGCTCTTTTAGCAAAAATTTTAAATACAATACAATATTATTAACTATAGTCCTCACTTGCATATTACATCCCCAGACTTGTTTAGCCTACATATCTGCTACTTTCTATCCTTTGACCTATATCAAAGGATAGAAATCCCCCGTTGCCTCCTCCCTCAGCCCTTAGCCCTCCCTTGTATCTCTGGGTATTTGAATTTTTTAAAAAATAGATTTTATTATACCCTAAATATTGACTTTTTAAATTGACACTTTTATTCATTCACTTATTTATTCACATTTATTGATCCCTTACTGCATAAGAAGAGCTTACAAAATGTTAGGTAAGCTACAACCCACATCCCCAAGAAACTAAAAGTGAAATAAGGGCATGTGAGTAAGATCCAAATAACTTAGATACAGAAGATAAGGAGGGACATTAGAGTGGGACAAACAATGAGTGCTAGAGATTCTCAGCATGGAGAGTTGTGAGGTTCCTAAAGCCAGAGAAGGTCAGTGCAGGTGGGAGGGTTATACCAGCGCTTAGCAATGGCCATTTCAGGTGGAGGAAACAGCATCAACCCGGAAATGGAGACAGTGAAGTCTGTAGTTTATGTGGGGAACAGTGATTAACCTGTTTGGCTGAAGCAAGGGGCCAGGAGAGTGGAGAATAGAAGGAAATTGTCTTAGTTCGTTTGGACTGCTGTAACAAAATACTTCAGACTGGATAGATTATAAACAACAGAAATTGATTTCTGCCAGTTCTGGAGGCTGGGAAGTTCAGCAACAAAGTGCTGGGAGGCTCAGTGTCTGGTGAGGACCTACGTACTGGTTCACAGATGTCTTCTCACTGTGTCCTTACCGGGTAGAAGGGGCAAAAGGGACTTCCTTTATAAGGGCACTAATCCCATTCATGAGGGCTGTACCCTCATGACCTAATTACTTTCCAAAGACCCTATCTCCTAATATCACCATTTTGGAGATTAGGATTTCAACATAGGAATTTTGGGGGAACAACAAACATTCAGACCATAGCAGAAATGAAGCTGGTTAGAGTTAAACTTTGGAGGGCCTTGAATAGCAATAGACTGGAGAGTTTTGTTGGCTTTGCTTTTGTTTTTTTGTGTGTTTTTGTTTTGTTTTTAATTTTTATTTTTGAGACAAGGTCTCACTCTATTGCCCAGGCTGAAGGGCAGTGGTGGAATCATGGCTCACTGCAGCCTCAACCTCCTCGTCTCAAGTGATTCTTCCACCTCAGCCTCCCGATTAGCTGGGACTACAGGCAGGCACCACTACATCTGGCTAATTTTTCATATTTTTTTGTAGACATGCAGTTTCGCCATGTTGCCCAGGCTGGTCTCAAACTCCTGGGCTCAAATGATCCACCTGCCTCGGCCTCCCAAAGTGCTGATATTATAGGTGTGAGCCACCATGCCTGGTGTATTAGTCCATTCTCACGCTGCTATGAAGAAATACCCGAGACTGGATAATTTATAAAGAAAAGAGGTTTAATTAACTTACAGTTACACATAGTTGGGGAGGCCTCAAGAAACTCACAATCTTGGAGGAAGGCACCTCTTCGTAGGGTGGCTTGAGAGAAAATGAGCGCCAGCAGGAGAAATGCCAGGCACTTATCAAACCATCAGATCTCATGAGAACTCACTCACTATCACAAGACCAGCATGGGGGAAACCACCCCCATGATTCAATTACCTCCCACCAGGTCCCTCCCACAACACGTAGGGATTATGGGGATTACAATTCAAGATGAGATTTGGGTGGGGACACAGCCAAACCACATCACCTGGTCTGCTTTGTTTTTATATACGTGTTGCTATGGAGCCACTGGTAGCATCCAAATGAGCTCATGTCTCTTTTGCCTGCTGCCTGCCCCCGCAGCTGCTTCTACCTTTCTCTTCTCCTTTCAGCTATACTTCTTGAAAATCTTGCCTAAATGTTTTTTTCTGAAATTCAGATGCTTCTACATCCACAGCAACCTGGCTTCCATTCCATCATTCTACTTGGATCTGGCTCATCAAGCCCATTGATGATCTTATTGCCACTTTGCAGTCCATACCATGTTGACACATTGACCCTCTCTCCTTATTTCATCCAGCATCTCTGGCTGCTCTTTCTCATTCCTTGGCAGGCTTGTCTTCCTCTGCCCATCCTTAACTATCAACATGCCTTGGGGATCTAACCACATTCCTCCTCCCTTTTCCTCATCTCTCCCTGAGGGATCTAGTGGTTCCTCTTCAGCTCTATATCACTACTTCCATGCTGAGGACACCCAGATCCTCATCTGCGGCCCTGTCCTCTCTCCTGGGCTTCTGAGCCATATTTCCACCTCTGCTTGGATGTCCCCCAGGCACCTGAACCCCAGTGTGTACAACTGAACTCATTGTGGGCCCCCATCCTGTGGTCTCTATCTTAATAAATTGCCAGCCATTGTCTAAGCCAGAAATCAAACGTCATTCAAGCCTCTACTCTCCTTCATTCCCAGCCACCAAGGCTTATTGCCTGTGCCTGTTTCTTGAAATCATCTACCTCTCTTCATCCTCATTGTCGTTGTCTTATATTCTCTGCTAGCCCTAAGTAGTCTTCCTTACAGGCAGTCTTGCCTTTTCCTCTCCATCTATTTTTACACTGTAACCCAGCCACTGTTGTTGTTTTTAAATGCAAATATGATCATATCATCTCCTTACTTAAAACCTTCAGTAGTCCCCATTACTCATAGGGGTGAGTTGCAGACTCATGATGGCTTACAGGCTTTACAGGATCCAGCCCTGAAATGACAAGGAAGTTTTATCCTAAGATTGCTTAGTGGTTTCCTATTCCCTCAGGATGGAGGCCAAACATAGGGGCTCACAAGACCTTTCATTCCCTGGCTTCTGCCTGGAATGCTTATCCAGTTCACATCTGGATTCTCACCCATGTGCACTCTGCCCTCTAGTCATCCTGAATCTCTTCCAGGTCCTCGAACGTGCCACACAGCTTCCTCTGTCCCCAGCCCAAGCACATGCTACCCCCTCTGCTCCCTCTGTATGGGACATTTGTCTTCCCTTCTACAACTGATATGTCCTGTTTATTTACACATTTAATTTAATTTAATTTATTTATTTATTTTGAGATGGCATCTTGCTCTGTCTCCCAGGCTGGAATGCAATGGCCCAATCTCGGGTCACCGCAACCTCCGCCTCCTGGGTTCAAGCGATTTTCCTGCCTTCGCCTCCCAAGTAGCTGGGATTACAGGCGCCTGCCACCATGCCTAGCTAATTTTTGTATGTTTTAGTAGAGATGGGGTTTCGCCATGTTGGCCAGGCTAGTCTCAAACTCCTGACTTCAGGTGATCCACCCTCCTCAGCCTCCAAAGTGCTGGGATTACAGGTGTGAGCCACCGCACCCGGCCAGAGCAGCCTTTTCAGATTGGCTTTTATCACTTAGTAATATGCATTTAAGTTTCCTTCGTGTATTTTCATGGTTTGATTGCTCATTTCTTTTTGGTACTAAATAATGTTTTGTTATCTGGAAGTACCACAGTTTACCTATCCACTCACTTACTGAAGGTCTTCTTGGAGCTTCCAAGTTTTGCCTATTATGAATAAAGCTTCCATAAATCTTCACGTATAGGTTTTCGTGGGGACCTAAGTTTTCAACTCCTTTGGGTAAAAACCAAGGAGTGTTATTGCTGGATCAAAGGGTATGGTTAGTTTTGTAAGAAACTGACAAATTGCCTTCCAATTATATTCCCACCAGCAATGAGTGAGAGTTCATGTTGCCTCACATCCTTTCCAGCATTTGATGTTGTGAGTGGTTGGATTTTGGCTATTCTAACAGGTGAGTGGTGGTGTCTCATGGTTTTGATTTTCATTTCCTTGATGACATATGATGTGGAGTATCGTTTTGTATTCTAACATGCCATCCACATGTCTTCTTTGGTGAGGCATATGTTAAGGTCTTTGGTTCATTTTTTTAAATTGGGTTTTTAATTTTCTTATTGTTGAGTTTTAAGAGCTTTTTGTACATTTTGGATAACAGTCCTTTATCAGAGACGTCTTTTGGAAATATTTTCTTCCAGTGTGTCACTTGTCTTATTCTCTTGTCGTTGTCTTTTGGAGAGCAGGAAAATTTTATTTTAATGAAGTCCAGCTTATCAATTGTTTCTCTCATAGATGGTGCCTTTTGTTTCATATCTAAAAAGTCAGTGCTAAACCCAAGGTCATCCAAATTTTCTCTTACATTTTATTCCAGGAGTTTCAAAGCTTTGTGTTTTACATTTAGGCCTGTGACCCATTTTGAGTTTATTTTCATGAAGGGTATAAGCTCTGTGTCTAAATTCACTTTCTGGCATGTCAATGTCCAGTTGTTCCAGCAACATTTCCTGAAAAGACTATCTTTCTCTATTGTATTGCCTTTGCTCCTTTGTCAAAGATCAGTTGAGTATATTTATGTGAGTCGATTTGTGGGCTCTCTATTCTACTCCACTGGTCTATTTGTCTGTTCTTTCACCAACACACATTCTCTTGATTACTGTAGCTTTATAGTAAGTCTTAAAGTTGAATAAAGTCAGTCCTCCAATTTTGTTCTTTTCCTTTAATACTGGGTTGGCTATTTTGTGTCTTTTGCCTTTAGAATCAGTTTGTTGATATCCACAGAATATTTTGCTAGAATTTTGATTGTCATTGCATTAAATCTATAAATCAAATTGGGAAGAACTGATATCTTGACAATATTGAGTCATTCTATTCATAAACATGAAATATCTCTCCATTTATTTAGTTATTGTTTTACTTCTTTAATCAGAGTTTTGTAGTTTTTCTCATTTTGTTAGATTTATACCTAAGTATTTCATATTTGGGGGCACTAATGTAAATGGTATTGTGTTTTCAATTTCAAATTTTACTTGTTCATTGTTTACATAGGAAGGTGACTGACTTTTGTATATTAACTTTTTATCCTTAAACCTTTCTATAATCCCTTACTAGTTCTAGGAGGGTTTTCTTTGTCAGTTCTTTTGAATTTTCTACACAGGCAATCATGTTATCTGTCACAGTTTTATTTCCTCCTTCCTAATCTGTATACATTTTATATCGTATTCTTATCTTACTGCATTAGCTAGGACTTCCAGTATGATGTTAAGCACAGACATGAGAAGGGATATTCTTGCCTACTTCCTGAACTTAGTAGGAATGTATCAAGTTCCTCACAATTAAGTATGATGTTAGCTGTGTGTTTTTTGTAGACAATCTTTATTAAGTTAAGGAAATTCCCTTTCTAGTCCTAGTTTGCTGAAGCTTTTACCATAAGTGGGTGTTAGATTTTGTTAAATGCTTTTACGCATCAATTTATATGATTTTGTAATTTTTAAATTTGGCCTGTTGATGTGATGGATTACAATCCCATTTATGCCTAGTAGTCCATTATTGGAATGCTAAGCATGTGGGAGTTATTTTTATCTTACTGCTCAAGGTCATCTCCAAGGTCTGATTGCAAAATTTAAAAAATTGTAACCTCAGGTATAAATGGGTTAATTGATTTTCAAATGTTGAACCAGCCTTGCCTGCCTGGATAAATTCTACTTGGTTGTGGTGTGTAAGTCTTTTTATACTTTGTTGGATTCAATTTGCAAATATTTTGTTGAGGATTTTTTGCAACTGTGTTTATGAGAGATATTGGTCTACAGTTTTCATTTCTTTTTTTTTTTTTTTTTTTTTTTTTTTTTTTTTTTTTTTTGAGATGGAGTCTTGCTCTGTCGCCCAGGCTGGAGTGCAGTGGCATGATCTCGGCTCACTGCAAACTCCGCCTCCCGGGTTCAAGCAATTCTCCTGTCTCAGCCTCCCGAGTAGCTGGGATTACAGGTGCACCCTACGATGCCCAGCTAATTTTTGTTTTTTTAGTAGAGAAGGGGTTTCTCCATGTTGGCCAGGCTGGTCTTGAACTCCTGACCTCAGGTGATCCGCCAGCCTCAGCCTCCCAAAGTGCTGGAATTACAGGCATGAGCCACTGTGCCCGGCCTATAGTTTTCATTTCTTATGATATCTTTGTCTGGTTTTGGTATTAGGATAATGTTGGCCTCAAGGAATAAGTTCCGAAGTATTCCCTCTGCTCTGTCTCCTGAAAGAATTTTAAAAGAATTAGTGTGATTTGTTCCTTAAGTGTTTGATAGAATTCACCAGTAAACCCATCTAGGCCTGATGGTTTCTGTTTTGGAAGTTTACTAATTTTTGCTTTAATTTCTTAACAGGTATAGTTCTATTCAGATTGTCTATTTCTTCTTGTGTGATTTTTGGCATATTGTGTCTTTCAAGGAATTGGTTCATCTCATCTAGGTTATCAAATTTATAAACATAGAGTTGTTCATAGTATTTTTAAAATTCTTCTAATGTCCATGGAAGCTGTAGTGATGCCCTCTTTTAATTCCTGATATTAGTAATTTGTGTCCTCTTTCTCTTTCTCTTAGACTGGCTAGAGACTTATCAATTTTATTGATCTTTGCATAGAACTGGCTTTTGGTTTCATTGATTTTCTCTACTGATTTCCTACTTTCAATTTCATTGATTTCTTCTCTAATTTGTGGTTTTTTTTTTTTTTTTTTTTGAGATGGAGTCTCGCTCTGTCGCAAAGGCTGGAGTGCATCTTGGCTCACTGCAAGCTCTGCCTCCCAGGTTCATGCCATTCTCCTGCCTCAGCCTCCTGAGTAGCTGGGACTACAGGCACCTGCCACCACGCCTGGCAATTTTTTTGTATTTTTAGTAGAGATGGGGTTTCACCATGTTAGCCAGGATGGTCTCAATCTCCTGACCTTGTGATCTGCACGCCTAGGCCTCCCAAAGTGCTGGGATTACAGGTGTGAGCCACTGAGCCCTGCTCTTCTCTAATTTTTATTATTCTTTTTCTTCTGCTTATTTTGGATTTTATTTATTCCCCCTTTTTAGTTTCCTAAGGTAGAAGCTAAGATGATTGCTTTCAAGTCTTTCTTCTTTTCTAATATAAGCATCCAATGCAATAAATTTCTCTTAGGCGCTGCCTTTGCAACTTCTCACAAATTTTGATTTGATAAGTTGTATTTTTCATTTTCATTTAATTCAAAATATCTTAAAATGTCCCATGAGATTTCTTTTTCTTTTTTTCTTTTTTTTTTTTTTTTAGACAGAGTTTCACTCTTGTGACGCAGGCTGGGGTGCAATGGCACAATGGCCTCCTAGGTTCAAGTTGTTCTCCTGCCTCAGCCTCCCAAGTAGTTGGGATTACAGGCATGCACTACCAAGCCTGGCTAATTTTTGTATTTTTAGTAGAGATGGAGTTTTGCCATGTTGGCCATGCTGCTCTCGAACTCCTGACTTCAGTTGATTTATCTACCTTGGCCTCCCAAAGTGCTGGTATTACAGGCATGAACCACGGCGCCCAGCCCAAGATTTCTTTTTTTGATCCATGTGTTATTTACAAATATGTTGTTTAATCTCTCAAGTATTTTGAGACTTTACAGCTATCTTTCTGTTTTCCAGGTTAATTCTGTTGTGATACTGAGAACAGACATTGTATGATTTCTATTCTTTTTTTTTTTTTGAGACAGAGTCTCACTCTGTCGCCCAGGCTGGAGTACAGTGGCACGATCTTGGTTCACTGCAACCTCCACCTCCCGAGTTCAAGCGGTTCTCCTGCCTCAGCCTCCCAAGTAACTGGGACTATAGGCGCCCACCACCACGCCCAGCTCCTTTTGTATTTTTAGTAGAGACGGGGTTTCACATGTTGGCCAGGCTGGTCTCAAACTCCTGACCTCAAGTGATCTGCTTGCCTCGGCCTCCCAAACTGTTGCAATTACAGGTGTGAGCCACCGTGCCCAGCCTTATGATTTCTATTCTTTTAAATTTGTTGTGGTGTGTTTTATGGCCCAGAATGTGGTCTATCCATGTGAATGTTCCATAGGAGCTTAAGAAGATTGTGTGTTCTGCTATTGCTGGATGAAGTAGTCTCTAAGTGTTCATTATATCCAGTTGATTGATAGTGTTGTTGAGTTCAATTATGTCTGTACTGATTTGCTGCCTCCTGGATCTGCCCATTTCTTATAAAAGGGTGTTAAAGTCTCCAATTATAATAGTGGATTCACCTATTACTCCTTGCAGTTCCATCAGTTTTTCCTCATGGATTTTAATGCTCTGTTGTTAGGTGCATGTACATTAAAGATTATTGTATCTTCTTGGAGAATTGACCCCTTTATCATAATGTAATGTCTCTTTTTTTTTTTTTGAGACAGGGTCTTGCTCTGTCACCCAGGCTGGAGTGCAGTGGCATGATCACGGCTCACTGCAACCTCTGCCCCCTCAGGCTCAAGTGATCCTCCCACCCCAGCCTCCTGAGTGACTGTGACCACAGGCGCACACCACCATGCCCAGCTAATTTTTTTGTATTTTTTAGTAGAGATGGGGTTTCACCATGTTGCCCAGGCTGGTCTCTTACTCCTGAGCTCAAGTGATCCACTCACCTTAGCCTCCCAAAGTGCTGGGATTACAGGTGTGAGCCACCATGCCTGGTCTGTAATGCCTCTCTTTATCCCTGACACCTTTCCTTGCTCAGAAGTCTGCTTTGTCTAAAATTATTATAGCTGCTTCTGCTTTCTTTTGATTAGATGATATATTATTCTCCATCTATTTACTTTTAACCTGTATGTGTATTTTATTTAAAGTGGGTTTATTGTAGATAACATACAGTTTGTTCTTGTTTTTTTGGTTCATTCTGACAATGTCTGTTTTTAATTTTTTTTAAAGTATGTAGTTAAGAGATAGGGCCTCATTCTGTTGCTCAGTCTGGGTTGCAGTGGCACAATTACAGCTCACTGTAGCCTCAAACTCCTGAGCTCAAGTTATTCTTCTGCCTCAGCCTTCTGAATAACTAGGACTACAGGCATGTACCATGATGCTTGGCTAATTTAAAAAAAAAATTTGTACAGATGGGATCTCACTATGTTGTTTAGGCTGATCTCAAACTCTTGGCCTCAAGCAATCCTCCTGCCTCAGCCTCCCAAAGTTCTTGGATTCCAGGCATGAGCCATTATGCCCTTCCTTTCTGTCTTTTAAATGGTGCTCTTAGGCCATTGATGTTCAAAGAGATTGTTGATATAGTTAGATTAATATCTATGATGTTTGTTATTGTTTTTTATTTGTTGCCCTTGTTCTTTCTTTCTATGTTTGTTTTCTACTCTTATTCTGACTCTTGTGGTTTAATTGAGAATTTTATGATTTCATTTTTTTCTTCTTAGCAAATTAGTTGTACTTTTTAAAAACCTCTTTTAGTGGTTGCCCTAAATTTGCAATATCCATTTATAAATAATGCAAGTCTACTTACAAACAGTACTATATTGCTGCACAGATACTATGATATCTTATAACAAAATAATCCCAATTCTTCCCTCATATCCCTTGTAAAATTGCTGTCATTCATTTCAGTTGTGTATAAACATATATAAGAAAATATATATGAAAAAATATATGCATATGTAAGCATACATAGTCTAATACAGTGTGGCTATCATTATTTTGAGTAAACCGTTATTTGTTAGATCAATTAAAAATAAGGAAAATAAAAGTTTTAATTTTACCTTTACTAATTCCTCCTTTAATGTTCTTTCTTTCTTTACGTAGATTTGAGTTTCTGACTATATCATTTTCCTTCCTTCTAAAGAACTTCTTTGGCAACAAATTTCCTCAATGTTTGTTTGTCTGAGAAAGTGTTTATTTCTCCTTATTTTTGGAGGATAATTTTGCATAGTACAGAATGCTAGGTTGGTGCATTTTTTTTCTTTCAACAATTTATATATTTAATTCCACTTTCTTCTTACTTACATGATTTCTGAGGAGAAGTCAGATGTAATTCTTACCTTTGCTCTTCTATAGGAAGGGTGTTTTTTCTCTGGCTTCTTGTAGAATTTTCTCTTTATGTTGAGTTTCTGTACTTTGAAAGTGACATACCTAGGTGTAGTTTTTCTGGCATTTATCATGCTTGGTGTTCTCTAAGATGCCTAGATTTGTGGTTTGGTGTCTGACATTAATTTTGGGAAATTCTTAGTCCTTATCATATCAAATATTTATTCTGTTCCTTTCTCTCTTTCTTTTCCTTCTGATAGTCCCATTACACATATGTTATACCATTTGTAATTGTTTCAGAGTTCTTAGAGATTCTGGGGTTTTTTTTAAGTCGTTTTTTCTCTGTGCTTATCAGTTTGGGAGGTTTTTACTGAGATATCCTTATGCTCAGAGATTCTTTTCTCAGCCATGCTCATTCTACTAATAAGCCCATCAAAGGCATTTTTCATTTCTTTATTATTGTTATTATTTGAGTCAGGTTCTCACTTTGTCACCCAGGCTAGAGTGCAGTGGGGCAAACATGGCTCACTGCAACCTCGACCTCCCAGCTTCAAGTGATCCTCCTGCCTTAGCCTCTCAAGTAGCTCGGACAACAGGCATGCCACCATGCCCTGCTAATTTTTGTATTTTTTGTAGAAATGGGGTTTTGCCATGTTGCCCAAACTGGTCTTGAACTCCTGGACTCATGATCTGCCCGCTTTGGCCTCCCAAAGTGCTGGGATTACAGGCATGAGCCACCATGCCCAGCCTACATTTTTCAATTCTATTGCAATGTTTTTGATCTGTAGCATTTCTTTTTGGTTCTTTCTTAGAATTTCCATTTCTCTGCTTACCTTGCCCATCTGTTCTTGCATGCTGTCCTCTTTATCCATTAAAGCTGAGCACATTAATCATAGTGGTTTTAAATTTCTGGTTTGATAATTTCAACATCTTTGCCATATCTGAATCTGGTTCTGATACTTGTTCTGTCTCTTCAAACTGTGGGTTTTTTTTTCTTTTTTGTATGTCTTGTTTTTGTTTTTGTTTTTCTTTTTTGGATAGCAGGAATGATACGTGTCCTGGGTAAAAGGAACTGCTGTCAACAGGCCTTTAGTTAGGTGGTGGTAAGATCTGTGGGGAGAGGAAGTGTTCTCCTCAGTCTTTCAGTGAGCCCATTACTCTGGATTGTGAACTTCATGTGCCTCTAGGTCCCTTCCCCCACCTCACCTTAGGTGGGACAGGATGGCTGGAATGGACTTGAGTTGGATATTTAACCCCAGCAGGTCAGGCTCTGGTTACATAGTTTCTCCTGAGGACAGACCTTGTTAAGAACATAATGCTCTAGCATATTTCAAAATGGCTCCTTTTCCCCTCCCACTGCTGGAAGCAGGAGGGGATTTTTTTCCCTAATATTCACTGTGAGACCTGGTAGTGCTCCTGGAGGTAAAACCCACAAAAGTGTGGGGACCTCTCTATGATTCAGTTCCCCTGGATTTTTATCTCTCAGACTTGTTCACACTTGTCTGAGAACTGGCTCCAGCAATTCACAGTTACAAGTTCAGACTTTTCTGTGCCAGCACTGGTTCCCATGGAGGTTTCTGCTCTTGAAGTTGTGATTCTCTGTATTTGCCTGTTGGTCTTCCCAATTTTGGGGGAAGCAATTTGTCCTGTGCCATCACTTCTCTTATAGAGCTAAGAAGAGTTGTTGATTTTTCACTGCTTTTTTTTTTTTTTTTTTGAGACAAGAATATCGCTCTGTCACCCAGGCTGGAGTGCAATGGTGCAATCTCGGCTCTCTACAACCTCCACCTCCCAGGCTCAAGCAATTCTCATGCCTCAGCCTCCCGAGTAGCTGGGACCACAGGTGTGCACCACCATGCCTGGCTAATTTGGTTTTTCAGTTTGTTCAGCTTTTTACTCATTAGGACAGAGTGGCAACTTCCAAATTTCTTACATGCTGAACCAGAAACTGTTTTGTTAGTTTTTTAGGATTCACTTTAAGTCTTTTCCTCCAGGGAGACTTCCCCAACTTTCAGGTCTGCATTAGGGACCCCTATGATGTGCTCCTGTAGATGCTTTTTGTTTCCCATAGCTTTTATACATATTGTGATTGTCAATTCACTTGTCAGATTCCCCCGTTAGACTGTTGGCTCTGTGTGGAAAGGACGGTTTGCCTTACTCATTCCTGTATTCTCAGCACCATCCATCAATGCCTGACATATAATAGGTATTGAATAAATATGTGTTGGGTGAATAAATGAATGAATGGAAGAGCTTATTCTCTGTAATTACAAATAAATTAGAAGCAGCTGTTAAATATAATTCATTCATTCAATCAATCACTATTTACTAAAAGCCTATCATGTGCCAGGCACTAGGTTAAGAAACTGATGATGAAAAAGCCACATAAATATGGAAACATGTTTGTAACACAATCTAATGAAAAAAAACCAGAATACATGTATGTACACCATAATTTAAACTCTTTAAAATATGTAGGAGGCAGGCTGGTATTGCACAGTGGTTTTAAGATTTTCTATTTTTAGTTAAAGTCTCTTTCTTCAAATGAAATCTTAGAAGGACAATGTATAAAACATAAAAAGCAAGATTTTCTGCTTGATGCGGGGGCAGAGGCCAGAGCCTGCCTACCCTTTTCCTAGTCTGCTCTCCTGTCTGTCCTCTGTGCTACTGCCACCTTCCCAAGCCAGAAGTAAGCCACTGTGGCACCTTCACAGAGGATTATTTGAAAATTCCCAAAATAGACTTCTGGTTAAACATTGCAGTTTAAAAACCTGTGTTTTTCTTTCATCTCTTTCAAAATGCTACTAAAATGACAGCAAAGAAGCCAAAAAGGCCCAAGTCCACAAGACAGAAAGAATAGGTGAAAAGTCCATGTCATCTCATTTTTGGAGATGGACATGGACAGGGGCTGAAACTGCAGTACCAGCAGATGGGGAGCTTAAGAAGGAAGCTAGTTCATGGCACAGCACCCGTAAAGTCCCCAGAATTGGAGGCACCAGATTCTTCTGAAAGAAAAGGTAAGAGGCGGAGCTGAAAACAGGAGGTTTATGGAAAGTCCTTGGAGAAAGCAGTCAGACCTCTGGATTCCTTCCTCATCTTTCAGCAGCCTCTCTCTTGTCCTGGCAGAAACCAGGTTTACTCTCTTGGGAAACTCAACCACAGGAGGATCTGGGGACACAGACCGGCGAAGGATGGTAGAGATGCATCACTGAACTAGGAGAATTAAATGATTGGCTTAGGGTTGGGAATGCGACCTCAACTGGATCAGTTGAGGCCATCCTTGGCATTTTTAAATTCTGAAGCTGGAAGTGTGGGGAGGATAGTGTGTGTATTCTGCAGGTGTTGAGGTCCTTGTTCTAGTCCTTGAGATTCCTGGCTCCGACTGTTTCCTGTAACTCTTTAATTCTATGAAACACCCAGTATTCTTCTATTTTATTCTGCTCAGGCTGCATTAACAAAGTATTACAGACTGGGTGGCTAAAAATGGGAATTTAATTCCTTGTGACTTTGGAGACTAGAAATCTGAGATCCAGGTGTCATGGAGGTTGGTTTCACTCTGGAAACTCTCTTCTTGCTTGCATATAGGCCTCCTCTCTGTGCCTTCACTTGGCCTTCCCTCTGTGTGTGTCTTTGTCCTAATCTCACTTTCTTACAGGGACACCAGTTAGATTAGATTGGGATCCATCCGAATGACCTCAATTTACCCTGATTACCTCTTTAAAGGCCCTATGCCAAATATGGTTATATTTGGAGGTTCTGGGAGTTAGGACTTCAACACATGAATTGTGGGGGGACAAAATTCAGCCCACAATGCCTTCTACTATTGCCAGCAAATAAATAGCTTTTGAGATAACTTAAGAGATTTTAAATTTAGTTTCTGGTGCTTGCACGCAAAGAGTTCTGACTTATACTATTCACTTGCCTCTTGGATATTGCCTTTTGTCCATTATAGTTGTCATTAACTGTTATTTAAATCCGCATTACCATTCACCTTTTCCTATGTTTCTGTTCCTTAAGATGGGAGGTAGATCATAGTTTGCATAGCCCATGGAGTCAGATGACCAAAGTTGTAAAGTTCTGTTTGCTGGCTGCCTGATCTTGGTGAAGTTCTCTGTGCCTCAATTTCCTTATCTGTAAACTGGGGATGGTGATAATAACAGATATTCACAGAGTTGTTGTGAAGATTAAACGTCTTAATGAATGTAAAGCACTTAGACCAACCTGGCTTATGGCGAGTGTTACATAAGTTCATGCTATCATTTATTCATTCAGTAGTCTCTATAGGGAATAGCCATGTGCCATGGATGTGGTAGATACTTAGTAAATATTCATTCTCTCTTGTTAATGTATGTGTTATAATAAGTGATTCTCAAAGTTATCTTCAAATTCTTATTACTCTGTATATTGTTATCTGCCAGTGTAATGATATCTAAAGCACATATCTTAAATACTTTAAACAATCTGATATAACAAACAAAGATAGAGCCATTTTCTTCTACATTGGAAGCTGTGCTGTGTAGGATGAGAGACTGGGGTGGAAGTAGGGATTGCAGGCTTCTGGTCCTGGCTATACCCTCACACTGTGAGACTCTGAACAAGCCTATACTCTCTGGGCTCTGCCTCCTTTATTTACACACCAAGGCTGGACTATGTAAGCTTTAGGCTCTTTAATGTTTTATATCACTTATCTTTGAAAGGCCATCTTAGGTGAGCTGCTCAGAGTCTTTAAAAGCTACATTTCCCCCTCCTTTCTTACTTTAAATATAATGGTAATTAAAATGTTTCGGAATTATATATTAGATGCATTTCGGGCATCAGTTACAAGAATGAGAAAGAAATTATTAACAGTTGGCAAAGATTAGTATCAGTTATAGTATCTTGTTATAAGTTTAGAATTTTATTTTCTAATGAGTAACCTCTCCTCCACCACACAAAAAACTAGTGTGCTAACAAAAGAATTAAAAAATGGGATTTTATTTGATTGGATTTTAACTTCTTGGCCATTCTTAATATTTTTGGAATAGGCTTTTGAGTCCTGACCTTCTAAGTCAATTTGTTAGTCTGCATCTGTAGTGTCTCTGGCACGGCTGGGAAGTGGTGGGGGGCGGGGGGTGGGTGGGTGCAAGAAAAGTAAAATATATGATGTTCACTCTTGACCAGCCTATTTTGTGCTGTGAACACCCACACTTGCACACAATACTCAGACATATTAACACATTTGCATGCACTCTCCAATATGTGCAAAGTAACATCACATTCCTTCTTTCATTCAACAAAAATGTGTTGATTGCTCACTCTGTTCCTGGGGATCTGTGTGAACCAAGACAAAGTTGACACTGTAGTTAGATATACCTCTCTGAATAAAAGAGTAAGTTTAAGGTAGAGTGAGGGTTAATTCTCTGTTTATAAGCCTCATGGGTGAATTCACACCGAGCAGCAGAGGGCAGTGTTCTCAGACAGGGCAGCTCTCCTGAGGATCTGCAAGGAAGCAGGGCGTGCCTTGTGTGACTGGTGTTGTCGAGCAGATCATTTTTTAACACCCCACTACTCCATACAGCATTATTTTTGGTAATAATAATGAAATGAATAAAAAGAAAAATGGACTGAGAGAGATTTTTATTTTATTGAACTTCGTATATGTAATCATTCCAATAAAAATGAAAAATAAAATAATAAAATACATTTTATAGTATCAAAAAAGGGGAAAGTAGTGGACTAATACTTTTAATTACATTAATGTTTTTCAAACAAAAAAGAAAATACACATACCTACATACTAGACTGCCATAAAAATGAATAACATTACAGTGCAATAGTAATTACATAAGAAAAAGAACAATAAAAAAGACATCAATTTCAATTTTTAAAGATATTATTCAAAGGTGTGAAATATTGCACATGTGAAATAAACTTGCAGTTACCAAAAAAAATTACACCTTGTGGTTTACGCTGCATTATTATTTTAAATTTTAATTATAAATAAAAACTCCAAGTGAGTTTTCATGAGAGCACTAAATTGAATGAGAGAGAATTGAGGTAGCCCAAGTTCTGTCACAATCACTCTACTGCCATTGCTTATTCCAGATCTAGTGTTTAAATGCAGAAGCAGATAGTCCCACATGGGTTGGAGCATGAAGTGTACCCAAAGCAAGCACAAATATGAATGATTCTGAACCATCTGGAACTTAACTCTCAAACAAGAGTGTGTAGATAAGTCCATTTATGTCAAGTCTTCTCTGAGTTAACTCCCACACAGGAGTTATTACTAAAGGAGAAAATGTGTTTCTTAAGAGATAAGCAATAACATTGCTGATTTTATGTATTACAAAATTGAATAATAACCACAGAAATTTTTTCGACTGCAGACCAACAAAAGATTTAGCGGGGACGGGGAGAGCATTTGACCATTGTGTAGAATTGCCAATGTGTGAATATAGTAAAAGCAAATCAGCTTTTAGTCCATTTAATTATTGTTTTAAAATTCTCTATAGAAAATGTGTCTCCTTATTGCCTGAGACTACTCCTATTACTACTGTTGGTTTACCAATGCCATTGGCAATTGGAAACAACGATATAGGGACTGGACTGTAAATTAAAGCCATATGTATTTAACACTAGCAGGCCCAGCTCTACATGGGAACCTCATGAAGCCCCAGTTGACATTCTGGATCTTGCAGCAGAGTGAAGAGTCTGTTCAAAGCTGCTTTGCATAGGTTCTGAAATGGCTGCATAAGCTGGTTAATAGATAACCAGTCATTTTATAAAATAAGAGGTAGGGTGTGCATGTTTATGTGAGGGTGTGTGCATGTGTACACGTGGGGTAAAGTCAAGAAAGGTGATGAAAAGCACTAAGAATAACCGTAAGATGAATTTGTGCCCTCTCCTGGAAACAATGGGAAATTTTGGGTTTAAAAGTAACATGGATTTAAATAGCCTCTCCAAGTTTAAAATACCTCAAAGCGTTTAATTCTTCTTTTAGTTTCCCTGTGAGTTTGCTGAGATGTCTATTACCAGTTCAACAATGAGGCAATTGTGATAGGGATACTCAATGGTACTTTCCCCCAGGATGAATGTATGGATCAATAGATGAGTTCTAGACATATTTATAAGAAAAGAACCAAACTTAGTGACAAGCAACCATTTAAAGCTACTATTTAGAAGTGTTCACTGATAGAGATTGTACTTACAGATATTCACCAAAGAAAAATCTCCTGCATGTGCACCAGGAGACATGTTATGAAAATGTTCTGACAGTTTGAGGTTATTGATCCTCAGCTATGGTTTTCTGCTCAATGCTACTAATGACCCTCCAAAAAGATCACCTTCTTTTGAGTGCAGAGAGGTGGTTTTGGTCTTTGTTGTGGAGAAGCTCTTGGAACTTTCTCACTGCAGAAACCATGCTGTTGTCGTGTTCCTTCTGCTTAGCCAGCTGGGCCTATTGCCCGCTGCTCCAGGTGTCCAGGTCTTCCAAGGCACAGCTCAGGATCACACTACCTCATGCCTTACACCGCTGGCTTCTTCCCTCCTACCCTGGGCCCTCCTTGTCACCAGGTGCAAGACACAACAGGACCACTGGGGGCACGCTGGCTTGATAGGGCCTCGAGACGTCAGGCTGCAGGCAGAAAGGAAATGTCCCTGGCTTGTGCATGCTCACTGACTCACCTTGTGTTTTGAGACTCATACAAAGGGCCAGGTAACAATGCTAGAAGCTAATACCCAGTGAAACAAAAAAAAAATTTGTTTTTGTTTTTGTTTTTTTGAGACAGAATCTCACTCTGTCACCTAGGCTGGAGTGCAGAGGCAGGATCTCGGCTCACTGCAACCTCTGCCTCCCAGGTTCAGATTCTTGTGCCTCAGCATCCCAAGTAGCTGGGATTACAGGCGCCACCATCACGCCCAGCTAATTTTTGTATTTTTAGTAGAGATGGGGTTTCGCTGTGTTGGCCAGGCTGGTCTCCAACTCCTGGCCTCAAGTGATCTGCCCACCTCGGCCTCCCAAAGTGCTGGGATTACAGGTGTGAGCCACCACGCCCAGCCCCAGTGAGGCAAATTTTAACTACTGAGAGGCAGATGATAGGCAATAACCCATGGATAAATTCTTGCTCTTCTTCTCTCCCAAAGGATTCCTCTGAGAAATGTTTCCATGTGGGCCTCTCTGGAAACTTCCAGGTGACAGAGCAACCAATAGTGCTTTCTATGAAGCAAGGCCAGCTCAATAATAAGACATCTTCTCTTTACTTTCCTGCCTTCCTGTCTCATTGGCCTGCCCCTGTTCACTCCTGCTCCCTTGGGTTTGCATCCCTCTAGTGAAGCTTTAGAATGTAAATTTTGCCTCAGACTATAATTTCTAGGAAACCTAGACTCAGACAAAGAATATTTACTGCAGTAAAATTGTCACAATGCTCATTGTTTTATGATCACAAAATAAGTAATTAAACTATCAGTACAAAGAAAAAGAAGAAAAAATAGACAAAAAAGTACTTTCAAAACCGGAAACTAGAATTAAAGCAAACACAGACTCAGTGCAAAGAATAGATTTCACTTCCATTCTTTCTCTGCTGCTTATTTGCAAGCTGTCTTGTACACATTATATTTTAAATGTACAATATTGTGAAAAAATTGAGCTCCCTAAGAAATACTTAAATATATGGATGCCAATGATTAGTCTACAAAAGAAAAGTAATATTCAGAAGAGTAGTAGTTGTTTCAGATATAACTTTAATGTATTTCATTATAGAAAATTGGCTTGAGTTTCAGAAGTTCGGTTAAGAGATCTGGAGTCAGGCTGACCTGGGATGAAAAGCCCAGCTCTAGCCATCACGTAGAAGTTACCAAGTCTCTTTAGGCTTCAGTTTTTCTCCTCTTTTAGATAAAGATGGGATAGTACATAAGTCATAGGGTTATTATAGGTTTTAAATGAGATAATTTAGTATCTGATCCCCAGTGCTCAATAAACATTATTATTATGACCCATAATAGTGCCAGTGAGGAAAACTAATTCTTTGTGAGCAATAATTGGTGTTGAGCAAAGCTGTATTAATGCTAGTTATCTTGGGAAAGATCAATTCTAGTTGGAACTTTTGCAACAGAAAACAGGATGTGATTTTTTCATCATTTTAAGAATGTGGTGTGTGTGTGTGTGTTTGTGTGTGTGTGTGTGTGAACTCATTCAACCCATTTTATGGAGCACCTACCTTGGGCCCAACAATTTTTCTAGGCACAAGGTTAGATGCGAGTCAAGGTAGAGTAGGTCCCTGTCCTCAAGGATTTTCTGTTCATGAAAAACAGCTTATTATTGTTCTTTTTTTGTTTTCTTTTGCAAAAGGAGCAATTCAGCACTTGTCATGCAGATAAGAGGTCAACACCCCAGGACGGAGTGAAAACCTAAGGTTTGTATTTTTGATACACAAAGTGCTCTTTTGGAGGAAACCAAAAAATGTCGAGTTTCTGGCAAGGTATGGAAACAGGACAGAAGGAGACCAGAGTCGAAGCACCAGAGGGCATAGATGTGGAAAGTGGTCCTAGTTAGGAGCTGTTGCCCAGGAAATGTTGAGGGCACAAGCTGTAAGCAGGACCACAGTGAAGACAGCTAGTGTCAAAAGCCCTGCCAAGCCAGTCCTTCACAAGGGCTGTCCAGCCTTTAGCATGGGGGACTCAGCATGGCAGGCCTGTACCTAGTAAAATTTCTGTCTTCCCAGTGGTGACAATCGGCTCCTTCCGCACCTGTAAGAGCAAATTTGGTTCTGCCACTGTCTGATTGCCTGGTGCTCACAGTTCACTTCCCTGTCAAGCCAGGTCATCCTAATACCAGAGAGGACTTCACTTCTCCCTAGCAATGACCAATTCTGTGAAACTGATTACTCCAAACTGTATGTATAGACTTAGCAATGAGGAAAGGCTTTGCCAGATCATCTTTTAAAACTAAACCTCAACTTCGATGTGCTCTCTGTGCTCCAACCACACCTGTCTTTTTCCTTGTTCCTCAATGGTGTCATGTTTCTGTTACAGGGTCTTAGCATAAGCTATTTCTTCTGCCTGGAGGGCGCATCCCCCAACCATCACATGACTGGCCACATTGCTCAGACTTTAGCCTAGATGTCACCTCTTCAGAGAAGCCTTCTCTGACCACCTTATTTAATGTTGATCACTCCACCTGCAGCCCAAACACCAGCTAATAAATTCCCTCCTACTCCTCCATCGTTTCTTTAATTTTTATGCCTCATGTGAAAAGTATCGAGTCAATCACATACTTCAGTTCATGGTATAATATTATTACATTTCTTTCGTGGATATTTTCCCCATTCATCCCTGGTTTCCATTTCCGTTACCTCTCCTTTCACATATTCATTCACTATAAGGCATTACATATATATCCTTGTCTAAAAATGTAATATTGTCAAATGTAAGTTATTATTTGGTATATCATATGTTTCACAAATAGTATTGTGCAATAGACCTTGCTCTAGTTATTATGTTTTGTATTCACCAGTGTGTTCTAAAGACCCATCTGTATCTGTTATATATGTAGGTACACTTGGTTCATTGCTTCTAACTGATCCTTGGTATCCCGTAGTGTGCATTCATCCCTGCTCTGGATACAGTCAGCTCCCAAATTCCATAAACAACTCCTTTGTAAGTAACCTCCTTTTGACAGGGGGTAGAATTGCTCAGGGTCCAGATGCTCCCATTATTATCTGTTCCTCACCCTGGCCAGGCTGTGGCACTGCCCTGATATTATCCCATCACCTCCGTGTAGCAGATATTTTGTCTCAAGGTGGTTCCAGGCCAGGCGATTATCTGCCAAGGACAGTGGTTAGAGAGAGGAAACAGCCTGCAACTCTGCCTGCACCATGTCCTAACAGTGACTTTCTCTGCTCAGCCTATGGTTTACCCACAGCAGGTCACAGCCACCCTTTCTCTCTGCCCAGTGGTTTCTTATGGTTTTTACCTAGATTTACGTCGACTTGCAGATCAGTACACTCCTCTCCTGCTTCTGAGGCAACATCAGGGTTGGAATTTGTGGAGTTCCTTATAGTCTTCATAATGCTAATCACTACCTGAAATTATCATCTTTTTAATTGGTTTACTTGCTTATTGTCTGTCTCCCTCACTGTAAGACTGTAAATGCCACATGAGCAAGGACCTTATCTGAACACCTTCCTAGGTTTGGGGATATCCCACCACATGCATACCACTGAGGGGCAGAGATGCCTTCCAGTGTAGAAACAGCTAGGACCATATAGTCACAGCCCCAGGCAGCTTCACAGCTAAGGCACGGGCATTCCTTCTCTATTTGGCCATCAGACCGACCTGTGAATCCCAAGTTGGAGAAATGAAGTCACCAAGGCAGTGGAGAATTCAGTGGTCGGGGCAGCTGTAGTGGCAGCAGTAGTGCCTGTGGCAACAGTTTCAGGAGTAGCAGTTGGTATCCTGCCTCCAAAGACAGAATGTAGGTCCACCAGCAGCACCGCCTTTACCAGACTGGTACTAGGACCTAATTTTGGAAGTGGTTCTTCCTATCGAGACTTTGGGCTACCTAATATCCTTTCAACAAATTTGTTATTTCCTAAATCAGTCAGAATCAACTTTTAGTGTGTAAACTGAGAACCCTCAGTAGAACTATTAGCCACAATGTCCGCTTTTATTGTCTAAGTCCATTTGAGCTGAACTTTCTGTAACTTGAAGACAGAAGCTCCCTAACTCAGGGGTCCTCAACTCCCAGGCCACACAGCAGGAGGTCAGCAGTGGGCTGGCTAGCAGGGGAGGCTTCATCTGTATTTACAGCCGCTTCCCATCACTCGCATCACCGCCTGAGCTCTGCTTCCTTCAGATCAGCAGTGGCATTACATTCTCATAGGAGTGGGAACCCTATTGTGAACTGTGCTTGTGAAGGATCTAGGTTGTGTGCTCCTTATGAGAATCAATGCCTGATGATCTGTCACTGTCTCCCATCACCCACAGATGGGACTGTCTAGTTGCAGGAAAACAAGTTCAGGGTTCCCACTGATTCTACATTATGGTGAGTTGTATAACTATTTCATTATATATTACGATGTAATAATAATAAGAGTAAAGTGCACAATAAACGTGATGTGCTTGAATCATCCCCAAACCATCCCCCACCCTTATCCTGTCCATGGAAAAATTGTCTTCCACGAAACCAGTCCCTGGTGCCAGAAAGATTGGGACAACTGCCCTAACTGATGTAAGAGTATGGGCAATAAGTGTTTTCAGTGCACTGAGTGATTAAAGATTGTTGGGGCAGGGTGTGTGCAAGTTGAACTTAGCTCAGTGCATCCACTGGCAAGGAGGTGGTAGCAGGAAATAGGCATGTGGTGACTTCAGTAACAGAGACGACTGCAGGGCTGACCTAAGCTTAGTAGCCTGGCTTCTCCGGGAGCTGAGGGTGAGCATCATGCCTGCTCCATCTCCCTCTTTGTTGTGGATAAGGCAGGTAGGAAGAATGACGGATTGCCTTACCCTTTCTAATTGTTGTGTGCTCTCCATACCCCACCCAATCCTACTTCAACATTGTCACCTAAGGATTCACAAACCCACCCTTGTGCGAATCCAGCCGTCTGTGTTCTAGACTGGCAAGGACCATATCTGATTCTGAGATGCTCAGGAAGGTGTGCTCCCAATTGGCCCTTGTCCAGACTAGTTTACTTGCTGAGTATCCCCAGGGCACAGGAACAATCATTTGGGGTTGCGGCTTTGTTCATAGGGTCATCAAGACAGGAGGATATGAGGCAGAATCACCACACAAGGTAAGAGTACATTTAGAAATTCTCTTGAGTAAATAATACTGGCTTTATCACTATGCTTATTTCTGTGTTTCTACTTGCTCTCAGATTTTGGCTTGGTTATTTCTTACTATCTTGTTAGCTCTTTGATGCCTCTAGTTTTGTTTTTATTTTTGATATTGTTGTTTTCTTTTCTTTTTTTTTTGAGATGGAGTCTCGCTCTGTCACCCAGGCTGGAGGCCAGTGTCACAATCTCAGCTCACTGCAGCCTCCGCCTCCCGGGTTCAAGTGATTCTCTTGCCTCAGCCTCCCGAGTAGCTGGGATTACAGGTGCCCACAACCATGCCAGGCTAATTTTTGTATTTTTAGTAGAGACAGGGTTTCATCACGTTGGCCAGGCTGGTCTCAAACTCCTGACCTCAGGTGATCCACCTGCCTCGGCCTCCCAAAGTGCTGGGATTATGGGTGTGAGCCACTGCGTCCAGCCATTGTTGTTTTTTTTTCTGATTTAGCCACATTTTTTGTTATTTTCAGTGGGAGAATGGTCCAAAATATCTTGGTTGCCATATTGTCAGAAATGGAAATCTTCTATTGATTTTTAAATTTCATCATTCTTATTTTTCATTCTTATTTAATTCTTCATTTAATTGGTTCTTTAAATCTCTTTGACATTTTAAGATAATTTCTCATTTCCTGCCTGTATTTTCAAGGTTGTTTGATATTTCTCTAAAATTGTTAAACATAGTATTTTGTATTTTGTATATAAGTCCAATATCGAAAACACCCATCCTGCCACTACAAGAAAAGTTTTGCCCAAGAATGAACCAACGTAGAGAAAAACAGAGCTAAGACAAACCAAGGCTAACTGCTGATTTAAGTCCCTAGATCCAGCTATTCTTGAAGCCTTCTCAGTTACACAAACCAATAATACTTACTTTTTTTACTTAAACTATTTTCTGTTTCCATTACTTACAACCAAAATAGTCCTGATTAATACATAGAATAATGTGAATTTTTATTTTTATTCTGATTTTTATTCTGACTTTATAAAAAAGAACTTTTACAATTATCCATTATGCTTGGATAAATGCGTGTGTAAATATTTGTTTGGGGTGGAGGATGTACACTGAAATGTTAACATTAGATTTCTGCGGAGGATGAGTTGGAAGGAATGAAGGAGACATTAATATCTTTTTCTGGCAGGGCACGGTGGCTCACACCTGTAATCCCAGCATTTTGGAAGGTGGAGGTGGGCGGATCACCTGAGGTCGGGAGTTCGAGACCAGCCTGACCAACATGGAGAAACCCCGTCTCTATTAAAACATACAAAAATTAGCTGGGTGCGGTGGCAGGCGCCTGTAATCCCAGCTACTTGGGAGGCTGAGGCAGGAGAATCGCTTGAACCTGGGAGGCGGAGGTTGCAGTGAGCTGAGATCGCGCCATTGCACTCTAGCCTGGGCAACAAGAGTGAAACTCCGTCTCAAAAAAAAAGAAAAAAATCTTTTTCTTTGTCACCTATGCAATGTTTGACCTGCAAGTGCTTGTATCTTTTGTAATTGTTTAAATCCCTCAAAATTTTAAATGAGTATTGAATATATTTTGTGTTTTTCCAAATATAAGATTCTATAAAGAAGAGAATGATGTAAGTGACCCGGGGGCAATGGGGGGAGCTTAAATTTGAAACTAGAAAAAATTTTGAACAAAATAATCATAATTGTTAGCTGATGAAAAACTAGAAAATATTTTCTGAGTAAATTCTTGATTTCAGAAATTAACTATAATTTATATTGCTCTTAATATCTTACCCTTGAATATAAATGATTAATGCCCTTTAAAATGTCCTTTTTTCTAGCTAACCTGATGTACATATGACATTAATCCAATAGACTTAGGAATAAGATACAGGGGGTTTTCCTGAATGATTCGAGTATATCCCCATTCATATTAAGAAAACAAAGTATTGGCCAAGCGTGGTGGCTCACGCCTGTAATCCCGGCACTTTGGAAGGCCGAGGCCAGTGGATCACCTGAGGTAAGGATCACTAAGACCAGCCTGTCCAATATGGTGAAACCCCGTCTCTACTAAAAATACAAAACTAGCCGAGTGTGGTGGTGGGCACCTGTAATGCCAGCTACTCGGGAGGCCTAGGCAGGAGAATCGCTTGAACCCAGGAGGCAGAGGTTGCAGTGAGCCGAGACTGCGCCATTGCACTCCAGCCTGGGCAAAAGGAGCAAAACTCTAAGTGTCTGAACTGCCTAAATGATCTCATAATTTCATGAAAACATAATTTAGATACATAGGTGTACAATATTTACATTTGCATTATTTAGTAAGATGGGCTTTTTCCCCTGCTGGAGGCTGCGGAATGAGATTAATGGGAACACTGGTGACAGAGTGCAGGGGAAAACACACACTGCCAACTCTTGCCTTGGAGTGGCATTTCTCAGTCTTAACCTCGCAGTATATTCCAAACCCATAAAAGGTCATTTGCCTTCTCTCGCAAGCCTTTAATTCACTTGAGAGATGGGCTTAGACAAAGATAAAGCCCCTGTGAATTGGTAGCCTCGCTTTGGGAAAAGACTTACACAGTAACTAAGGTATTGGATAAACAGACTCTAACAATTTACTTACAGATCTCATAACTATGATTATTGTATTGATCATTTATTCATACACATAATAGCTGCCTTGAATTTCCTTTCAACAGAAAAAGGATCAGTTTCAATATAATTAAAAGTTGGAAATTATTTCCTTAAATTTGGGTATATCAGATTATTAGCTTGTTTTGTTTTTGTAAATCCATGTTTATAGGTAGAAATGGTCATGTCTTTGTGTAATTTATAGAAAAAAGGTATTTTAGCAGAATAGCATTTTTAATATACCGTGTATTAAATATTATCCATTAAATCCTTCAAAATGAAAATTTTGACAAATGATAGTTAAAGAAGTAAACAACACACCCTGAAAAGGCACAGTAATATGTAAATAATTTTTATCTTATAACATCCATTCTATAAGAGAGCATAATTAATTTTATTGATTTACAGTACAGTCAACATTCTTGTAATGTAAAATTTAGCAGGTAGCTTAGACATTAAATTTTAAACTCAGAATCATCATCAATCTTTTATTTAGATCTGATAAGCTTCTGGGGTTGCTCCACAGTGGAATCTTAATATGGTTCTCTCACATAGAATAATTCACCTTCGGAATATTATGTCCTCTTTTCCAAATATGTAAACAAATGTATTACTTATTGTAGTGGAAATAACATACAATTACATTTTTTTCCACTTTTCATTGCAGTAAGGATTATGTTACTTTGACTAACAGCTTATACTTTTTTCTCAGCTTTATTAACTCCAGTCAAGTCCTTAATTTTCATGAATAGAACTGAAAATGCTGTTCTTTTAATCTTCTGAGTTGAATTCTGGGTCATGCAAAGATTAAGTGAAGTGACTCCAAACCTAAAATCCTATAATTACGGAATGTCTGTTTAGATTGGTGCTTGGTCTTCTTTTTCCCTCTTCTAGATTGGGAAGAGAGCTTTCTGAACTGCAAATTAGGAAGGCCTTGGCTTGTTTGTCTGTGGTAAAGCAAACAGATTTGAAGAGGACATCTATTTAGCTACC
This sequence comes from Homo sapiens, assembly GCF_000001405.40. NCBI lineage: Eukaryota > Metazoa > Chordata > Mammalia > Primates > Hominidae > Homo > Homo sapiens. The sequence goes on from NC_000003.12 coordinate 142,940,255, forward strand.
ATTTGTTTTGTTTAATCTGAGATTAGGCCTAGGTTTGCAAAAGAAATCTACTAAATTTAGAGTAAACAGAATTCTTTAAGGCAGCATTGCTTGATGGTATTTTCTTCTTATAGCCTCTTCTGAGTGGTTTGTGATTAAGGGATAAAAAAGTGACTATTTTAAGCTCTGAAAAATGTGAGTACACAGTTTTGGAGGAAATAGAAGGTAAATTGATCAAATAATTTACTAGGGAACCTCAAAATGGTAGCATATGATCTTTAAATGATTTTTTTTTAAACTTGTAATAATTCCTTTGAAGATCTACTGGCTGTTTTTAACCACTGACCATCACCTAAGGGAAGACCATGTGACTCGTTACTATAATGGCCTGCATAAAAAACAAAAACAAAACAAAAAAACCCTCAGGGAAGAGAAGACTTACAACTATGACCTCATTTCTAATTGGACTGTGGTGAAAAAGAAACTAGTCATAGCTGAAACTAGGGGCCAGGAGGGCTGCTTGCCTCTCCTGGGCAACCTGTAGTTGGCGAAACTTTAACTCTACGTATAAAGAGACCATTTTTTACAGCGAGTTTGGGGTAAATTGTGTAAAGTCTCAAAGGGACCTAATACAGGACATTTCCTACATTCCGAATTTGACACTTTAAGGAAGACTGCGATAGGTAATGTGACCTTCCACCTTAGAGATAGTATCATTCATTAATGAAGGGTATTTAGTTTTGTTTTTATAACTCCAATAAATTTAAGAAATGTCTTGGTGGTCCTTGAAAGTGGAAAAACATATTTATATGCCATATTTTTCTTCCTGCTGCTCTGTCTTCTTGGAGAGCCTGCCTGGAGCAACCAGGTAAGTTGAAAGGAGTAAGGACTTGGGGCCAGGCAGCCAGACAGACGTGCGTTCACATTTCAGCATTCACATTCATGAATTCAGTAGTTCAGTAGTTCACTAGTTCAGTCAGAGACTGGATGAGTGTGAGCGTGAAACTTATGCTCCCTGTTTCCCCAGATGTTAAGTGAAATCAATAATAATTACATTGAGGAGATGTGAAAATAATGAAGTAACATATGCAGAGTGCCTAGTTCATAGTAGATGCTTGAAAATGATGCTGTCCTTCCTCTTTCCCTTCTGTCTGCCATCCTTCAGATGGACTCAACGACTCTCTTACCGTCCAGCTCTCAAGTCCCTTCTCTTGTGAAAATGGAAAAGTTGAACTACAGTTGAGATATTATTCCCAGGTGTTCTTTGGAACACAGGGGATTTCTCCAAAAGGCACAGAACAAATTGCCTCCAAACAGCCAAGATTCCAGCAGAAGCTGGAGTAGCAGACTACTTGGATCTTCAAAGTACCTGGCCCTGAGTCAGTTAAGGAAGATCTTTTCTTCTCTTTTGTACAATCCTATGATGAGAGCTGCAAAGTGAACTGACTAAGAGCTTCTGCCTTGATCATTGACCTCCCAATCCTAATAATATGTTCACTGGCCAAACTTCCTAATCGATTTGTCTTTTGGATATAACGTTCCTCCTACTGTTTGCCTGATTGAGAAATCTGCTACAGAACATGACCGGTTAGCATTCCCACCAACCCCAGTGCTACACTGACTGTCTTTCGATGGACTTTGCTCCTTGCTGCCTCTCTGAGGTCCCAGACCTTCAGAGTGACCTTCACAGCTCTGCCTAACTTTCTGTCATACTTCTATCAAGAGAGACAGCTAAATCAATATTTTTAATGTGCTTTGCTGTCGGAATTCGATGATCTGTCACAGTTCTTGCCCAATACACCCCATCATTATTGTTAAAATGTTTTTAGCTTTGTTTGTAGAATTGCTTTAACTGGTTTCATCTCTGGGAGCTACACTTTGAAATATAACTTTAGCAACATTTTACTATACTTTTTCACAACCCAGAGCAGTACTATTTTATGCTTAGTGGTTAAACTAATTCCATAAATCTTTTGCAACTATCCTCTATTCTTTTTCTTGTAATTTTTACCTGGGAAGGTTTTTACTGATAATCATCCTATCCTGAGTCATCCCACAAACCAATCTGTCTCACTAATCATTGCTTCTAACCTACAGACTAAGCATAACTTCTGCTAAATGATCTTTGATAAGATGCTATGACTCTATAAAGTCTTTGATATTCATGTCTAAATTTAATCACTTGTAGATTTTCATAGAATCAATCTTTCACTTCTACAATTGGGAGTATTTATAAGTTGTTTATCTTAAACAGTTCCTCTATCACGCTTTTCACGTTAAATAAAGCAATCCCTTCAAATCAATTTTCTGTCATGTCTAAGATGTTATTATTTCATGGTATGGGTCAGGGGTCTACAGACTTTTTCTGTTAAGACCTAGATAGTAAATATTTTAAGCATTTCAGACCATACAATCTCTGTTGCAACTACTCAGTTCTGCCATTGTAGCACTAAAGCAGCTATAGACAATACATAAATGAGTGAGCATGGCTGTGAGCCAATACAACTTTATTTATGAATGCTGAAATTTGAATGTCAAGTAATTTCATGTGTCATAAAGTATTACTCTTCTTTTTTTTTAACCATTTAAAAATGTAAAAACTATTCTTAGTGTGTGGGCTGTACAAAAGCCGGCAGAGAGCCAGATTTGCCTGGGAGTTATAGTTTTCTGACTACAGTATACTTTATGGCCAGGAGCAGATTCAGGTTTTGTGGGGACTGAGCTCTTTACAATTAGGGGGCCCTCTTTAAGAAAAGGAATGCAAGACCAGGCATGGTGGCTCACGCCTGTAATCCCAGCACTTTGGGAGGCCAAGGTGGGTGGATCACAAGGTCAGGAGATCGAGACCATCCTGGCAAAACAGGGTGAAACCCCATCTCTACTAAAAATACAAAAAAATTAGCTGGGCATGGTGGCGGGCACCTGTAGTCCCAGCTCCTCAGGAGGCTGAGGCAGGAGAATGGCATGAATCTGGGAGGCTGAGCTTGCAGTGAGCCGAGATAGTGCCACTGCACTCCAGTCTGGGTGACAGAGCGAGACTCTGTCTCAAAAAAAAAAAGAAAAGAAAAGAAAAGAAAAGGAATACAAAATTACAAATATAAAATTAGATACGGTGCTTTGGAAGAGACCCATGCAAATGAAAGGCCCTGAAAATTGAGCCTCTTTGGCATCCTGGTGAATCTACTTCTAGTAACACTTGGACAATCTTGCTGCAAGGGTTCCCTGAACTGGCTGATCTTTGGAGTCACCTAACTACAGGTTCCAAAGCCCCAACAGGTTGCCTGAATTAGAATCTCTGAGGATAGAGCCTGGCAATCAGCCGTCTTGTAAAGCTCCCTAGGTAATTGTACTGTGAACCCAGGCTTGGCAACCACTATTTTAGTAACCATTTTATAACATCAAACAAATTCATTTGAACTGGTATCACAAACACACTCATTGCCTTAGTTGTGTTGCTTACCCAGAAATAGGTTTTAACTATTGTTATTGACCCATAGCCTGAATGTTTACTTATCAAGAATACCCTATTGTTCAATGACCTCAACAGAGAATATATAGATAACTTATGCTAGGCCATCTATCCCCTTTCTTTTTAATAAGAGTCAACACATATATAATAAGTTGGGTCTTCACCATTTGGGCTCATTTTAATATTTTTATGTATTAAATTTTATTTTAAAAACTATTGGTAATTTTTAAAAATCTTAAATCTTTGAGTTGGCATACAATTCAGACAATCTATAAAGTAAATAAATGGCTGTTGAAGAACATCTGACACTCATGATACCACAGTTGGGAGAGTCAAGTTTATAAACCTAGACATAAAGGTAGCAGTTGAGTCACTTGTTATTGCCTGATTAATCATCAAATGTATAGAAGACTCTTTTCATATCCCCTTATTATGCAACCTTTGTACTGTTCAAATTTAATATTATTCCCACAATGCTGAGATATCTTCTTGGTCAAAATTGAGTAGTTCTGTCTATAGAGTAGGTAGCATCTATTTTTGGCAAGATAAATGTGAAACAATGTTACTTTTAGTAAACAAATGCCTTGTCATTGCCAGCAATAAAGCTCTAGTGTCAACCAAAAGTTTCATTTTAAGGGTTGAGGAAAACCTATCCCAACTTTTTCAAATTACCTTTTTTAATAAGGACTTGAGAATTTCATATCCCAGAAAACATGCAAATATCAATTCTTCTAATTTTGTTCACTTATCGGAAGGCAAAACTACTTACTTTCCTGACTCAGAAGCACAAACAGAAAGTAAAGAATACTTCCTGATACATTGATTTTAACTGTTACTGGGGCAGTATTGACATAAATAGAAAATGAAGCTGCTTTTTTCATTGTTTGGAGGTTTCGTTTTTAGAAACTAGGGCAATATTATATCAAACTTGTTTCCTCCAACAAGGACTCCCACGTCTAGTAATGTATTCGTTTGTTCATTCATTAATTCATGCAAATATTAAATAAGTGCCTATAATGTGCCACATACTGTGCTGGGTGCTGAGGATCTCACTCTGCAGCCTGAGAACTTAGGTTCTAACAAGGAAAGGGAAACAATAAGCAACGGAATTTCACGTGGTGATATATGGTGTGTAGAAAGTAAAACAGGGTGAAGCCAGGTGAATGTACATGTATGTGGGCATGAAGGGGACAGAGGCAACTGCAGCTGTTTTTTTCTTCTTTCTGTTTTAGAGATAGGGGTCTCACTATATCCCCAGCCTGGTTCAAATTCTTGGGCTCAAGGCCTCTAGTAGCTGGGACTACAGGAAGGAGCCACAGCTCCTGGAGAAGGGGAAGGGGAACCTACTTTAGATAAGTGGTCAAAGGTGGTGGTGACATTTGAGTTGAGATCCAAACGGTGGAAAGGAGCTGGGCATTCATATGAAATGGGAGAGTTCTCTGATCCACCTGCAGGATGTGCAGCAGGGTTGTGGCTCGCCTGTTTGGTTACTGTCACTGCTCAAACCCCTGACAGGAATGGCAGCATGCAGACGGGCAGGTGCAGGAGCCAGGGCAAGTGCTTTGGGCTCTGGCCCTGTGGTAGTGTCTAGGGGTGGGTGCCTGTGCTCCCGGTGTTACAATGCTCTTTCAGCCTTGCTGTCCATGGACAGCTTAAGTGTTAACCAGCTCAATGGATGCTCTACTTTTTTGCAAGGGCAAAGGGCCAGGGTGACAGCTTTCTATATCCTGAGCGCTTGCCTAGCATCCCAGAAGAATCTGGTCACACACAGGCTTGAAGGATGAATGTAGGGTTTTATTGAGTAGTGGAGGTGGCTCTCAGTAGGATGGATGGGGAGGTGGAAGGGGGATGGAGTGGGAAGATGATCGTCCCCTGGAGTTTGGCCATTCAGCAGTGGAACTCCTCTCTGACCACTCCCAGCTGAACTCTTGGCATTCAGATGTTCCTCCTCTTCTTTTTCTCTGCTATGCCATTTGTCTGCTTGTCTCCCCGTCTCCTTGTTGGCTCATCTGCTTCTGGAGCCCGGGGTTTGGGGTTTCTATGGGTACAGGACTGGGGAGCATCGTGGGCCAAAAGGTAACAGAAATGCCTGTTCCTACTTAGGGCTGAGAGTCTCCAGGCTTAAGGGTAGGGCCTTTGCTGGGGAACCATTCTCTTCTACCCCGTATTTCCCTGTCTCTTGTCCGTATCACAGAGATCTTAGGGAAGAGATATCTAGAGCTGTGCTGTCTAGCACAGGGGAGACTGAAGCTCTTGAAATGTGGCTAATGTCACATGTTGAAGTGATATTTTGGATATAGTTGCTTAAAGAAAACATTACTAAAATCAATTAAACACCTAACAATTGGCAGTATCTTTGCTGGATTCCTCATTACCAACATTTCTAGCACTCAATCTAAGTATAAGCACTACAACCCTGTCACTATCTCATGCTTGAAACAAATTAACATGGTTAACACCTATAATTCCACTAATTCAATTCATCCAATTGTTTGTACAGTTTTACACTTTTTTGTGGCTTTAGAAAATTAAAGAAATACATACATGGTTTACATTATATTTCTGTTGGACATCACTGGTCTAAAGAGAAAATCTTAATCCAGTTCTTGCACACAGGTCCCTTGGATCCTCATGGATTGGGTGTGTTATGAGTTTGACCTAGGCCAGGCACAGTGGTTCTTGTCTGTAATCCCAGCACTTTGGGAGGCTGAGGTGGGAGAATTCTCTGAGACCAGGAGTTCGAGACCAGCCTGGGTAACAAAGTGAGATCCCCGTTTCTACAAAAATTAAAGAGTTTGAGCTAATAAAAACACTAGCTACAATGTACTGAACAGTTATGGTGCGCCAGGTGCGGGGCAAAATTGCTTTACATCCATTCATTGTATCCTCATGCTGTGAATGGAAAGGGGTCCAGATCCAGACCCCAAGAGAGGGTTCTTGAATCTCATACAAGAAAGAATTCAGGGCAAGTCCATACAGTAAAGTGAAAGCAAGTTTATTAAGAAAGTAGAAGAATAAAAGAATGGCTACTCCATAGGCAGAGCAGCCCTAAGGGCTGCTGGTTGCCCATTTTTATGGTTATTTATTGATTGTATGCTAAACGTGGGGGGGGGGGCGTTATTCATGCCTCCCTTTTTTAGACCACATAGGGTAACTTCCTGACGTTGCCATGGCATTTGTAAACTGTCATGGCACTGGTGGAAGTGTAGCAGTGAGGACGACCAGAGGTCACTCCCTTTGCCACCTTGGTTTTGGTGGGTTTTAGCTGGCTTGTTTACTACAACCCGTTTTATCAGCAAATTCTTTATGACCTGTATCCTGTGCCGACCTCCTGTCTCATCCTGTGACTTAGAATGGCTAACCTCCCGGGAATGCAGCCTGGTAGGTCTCAGCCTTATTTCGCCCAGCCTCCTCTATTCAAGATGGAGTTGCTCTGGTTCAAACGCTTCTGACAATACCACTATGAAGTAAGAAATACTTCCCGCTCTATTTTACAGATGAGGAAATGGAAGATGAGAGGCAGAGTAGGTTGCCTAAGGTGATAAGAGGATGAAATAACGGCGCGAGAAGTCGAACCCACTCCAGATCCGCCCATGCAAGACACAAGAAGCCACAGGAGGAGGAAGGGGCAGGCGGGAACTTAGAGCACCTTGGCGTGCCCAGCCCGGCGCCTACTCCCTCTCCTCTGCGCCGCTGGAGGCCTCGAGTTCGTGTCCTCTCGGCGCCTGCCTGGCTCCCCTTCCGAGGCCGCAGCGCCCTGCCATGCTGGCCTCCCCGCGCTCTCCCTGAGACCCAAGCCGACTCCCAGGCCGACCCCGCCGCCTGCGCCCAGCTGTGTCGGATCTACCTGCCCGCGACCGAGGAGCTCAGGGACTGCCCCAGGAGATGCTGCCTCGCCCGACAGGCGCCCCGGCCCCTGCCACGCCTCCCGCGCCTGGAAAGCACGACATCCCGCAGGCAGCATATCTGAGCCTGCATCGGCCTGCGGGAGTCCAGCCCGAGCCATTTTCCTGCCTGTCCCCACTCCTGACAGCCTGTGCCCAGTTCCCCTCAGCTCTCCCATGGTTCTCCAACGGTCCTTTCTGGGAACCCTTACAGCTTGGAGATCGTCTCACGGTGACCAGGGTGTTTCTGAGTTGTGTGTGTGTGTGTGTGTGTGTGTGTGTGTGTGACCACTGGAATGTCAGAATCCCCCATCCCTACCTTGGAAGTCCCGCTTTTTCCTCCCTACTGTTAAGGAACTTCAGACTGCCCCTCCACAAGGTTGCCTGCCTGGGCAGTCATCCAACTCCATGTCCACCGCAAGGACAGTGGGGACAGTGCACCAAGACACAAGGACCAGGCTGGACCCTAAGATGCTCCGAACACCTGGGCAGCTGTTCCAGACACACCGTCCCATTTTTCAGGATGGCACCTGTTTCCTGTTAGAGATTTCTTAAGGGAGATTGTGAATAATCACCAGTGATTTTAGTGGCAGCCAAGTGACACTGAAGCTTGGCAGATGTCTGTCAAAACCAGCTACGGGACTGGACAGCGAGGACCAGGAGAAAAATGTTTGTTTTTTTTAAAAGATACTCTGGTATTCGTATGACAAGACCCATTTTGTTATGCCCAAGAACAAGGGGAGAACCTCATCTTCGCCATACTTGAGTCTGACTCAGTGTGGCTGTGACTCATCCTTCTAGGACAGTTCCCCTGCCACAATAGCGCAAATGATGGCCTGGGGACTAAAATGACTTTGTCAAACAGTTGAATGGAGAGAAAGTGGTAGAGTTGCCACCTAATGCCAAGAACCCCCCCACCCCCGAGCTTTTCCTTTTTTTTTTTTTTTTGAGACTGAGTTTCGCTCTTGTTGCCCAGGCTAGAGTGCAATGGCACGATCTTGGCTCACTGCAACCTCCACCTCCCGGGTTCAAGCGATTCTCCTGCCTCAGCCTCCCGAGTAGCTGAGATTACAGGCATGCGCCACATGCCTGGCTAATATTTTTGTATTTTTAGTAGAGACGGGGTTTCTCCATGTTGGTCAGGCTGGTCTTGAACTCCCGACATCAGGTGATCCGCCTGCCTGGGTCTCCCAAAGTGCTGGGATTACAGGCGTGAGCCTCCACGCCCGGCCAGCTTTTCCTTTTAAGCTGTTCTCTTTAAGTTCATTGTAGCCAGGTTTCATGGCGAGGCACCATGATTTATACCACTGGCCCTGGATCCCCTCACGTGTTTATGTGACAAACTGGCACCTGTATATTAACAAGCTTTACATTTGGCAAGACATAGGTAACACCAGAAATCAAAGTGAGGGGCTTCTGGCAGGATTTCACATCTGCTAGCTTTTATATTTGATGCTTTCTCTAGGAGCTTGGCAAAAAGAAAACACCAACATCAAAAGTAAAAAAATCAAATCAAAACAAAAAAATCAAACCAAAATAAAGATAACAACAGGCGAGAACTGGGACACGATCTTCTTATAGTTGGCTTATTACCTGTATCTGTAGAATTATTTATTTCCTTAAACCTGTTTCCTTTTGTACTTTATGACATTTCTGTGTAACTAAAGTAAGAATCTGAGAGAACTCTAAACTGATATTTATAGATCCTACCCTCAAAACAGATAGACAGTGAGGTAGGGATGAACTAATGCAGTCAATCACTGAATTAATAAGAGCTGGAGTAAAAACTAGGCCATTAGCTTCACTCAGGTCATCCTGAAGTAGTAAAGTAGCTCTTAGAGAATTACATTTTGTACTAATAAATGTTCACTTCTGCCCACCTTTCAGTTTTCCACATATATTTTTACAACTGCAAAGTATCAAGATAGAGAGAATGGACATTATGGGAGCAGGCAGGATGTGAAACCTCTTATTAATCCTATGGCTTAAAATTTATTTATAAATTGCAAAGTTAATCAGTTTCCTTAAATCTTCCATCTTCCATTTCTTTTAGGAATTTTTTCAGCTCTTAAGAAAAAAGTTTTTGGAGGTCAGAAACTGATAGTGGACTTCTGAGAAAGGGAAGAGAGAAAGTAATTCAAAAGTCTTGTCTCTATGTGGAATATCATTTCCTTTCAAGCTGCAGAGTTTGAGTGGGTGTTTATTTGATCCTTCTGTTCCCCTCTCCCTTTCTTCTTTTTGTATTCCCATTAAGTGTAGGTTACACCTTTTGTAATTGCCCCACGGTTCTTGAATATTCTCTTCTGATTTTTTTCTAGTCTTTTTTTCTTTGTTTTTCAGTTTTAGAAGTTTCTAGTGACATAGCCTCAAGCTGATTCTTTACTCAGCAGGGTCTAGCCTAGTAATGAGCCCATCAAAGCATTCTTCATGTCACAATGTTCTTGATTTCTAGCATTTATGCTTGATTTTTTTCTCAGAACTTTCATCTCTTTGTACGTTATCTGTTGGTTCTTGCATATTGTTTATTTTTCCATTAGAACCTTTAGCATAATTATTTTAAATTCCCAACCTGATAATTCCAACATCCCTGTCATATCTGAGCCTGTTCTCATGCTTGCTCTGTTTCTTCAAACTGTGTTTTTTGTCTTTTGGTAAGCCTTGTAATTTTTTGTTGGAAACTAGTCATGATGTACAGGGAACAAAAGAACTTGGTACTGGTTCTTGCAGAAATTTCTTCTTGTGGGTTCCTGCTCTGTTAAATTGTGATTCTCTGTGTCTACCTGTTATGTCTCTCCAATTTTGGGGGGCAGCAGTTTGCTCTGTGACTTCATGTCTCTGATGGACCCAAGAAGAGTTGTTGATTTTTCAGTTCAGCTTTTTACTTGTTAAGATGGAGTGACAACTTCTAAGCTCCTTACATCCCATACTGGAAACTCTTAAGTCCTCAGTCAATATTCTTTCATTACAGGAAATGGGAACCTTCTGATGAGCTTAAGGTGGGAAAAAGGAACAAAAAATAAAGAAATAATGTATTGAAAGGCTATGGGGTAACTCAGAGAATTATATGAAGACCTGTGCAGGCAAGTCATGGAGAATAAAGAATTGAGAGAAACTCTGGGCTTGCAGGGCTACCTTGGATTGCAGTCCCACCAAGCTTCAGTAGGAAGGATTATTCCTCAAAGGAAATTCAGGGCACTGCTAGCAGAAGCAGAGGGATGCATTACAGGGATAAATACCTTTGTCCAGGGAAAGAGGAAACCAAGCAGTGCTGAGATCCTGACTCACTCTGGCCATTCCCCACTGGAATGGAGGACCACAGTTAATATTTTAGATCAAAGACTTACAGGATTCTCACCCAGTGTTAGAATTCTGAATACTCTTTAGTGAATTTTTGGTTATTAGGGGTTGAATTTATATATGAACATTATATAGATGACATTGATACATGAGAATAGCACTTATTGTTCATAGGATTTATTTTATTTTAGTTATTTTTATTTTTTAATTTTCTATAAAGATGGGGTCTTGCTATGTTGCCCAGGCTGGTGTCAAACTCCTAGCCTCAAGTGACCCGCCTGCTTGGCCTCCCAAAGTGCTGGGATTACAGGCATGAACCACTGAACCAAGCCTGGATTTATTTGAGACTTTTTCATTTGACATATATTCTAAGTATCCATATTGTGTCTCCCTTTACCCATTTTAAGTAAACATTATGGAAAAAAATTCCTAGGTAATTATTTTCCTAGTGTTTCTTTTTTTGCTTTGAAATAGAATCAAACTCTCTGAAGTAGCTGTCTGATTCAGAACCTGCTTTGTTTTGCCAAGGAAAATTAAAGATAAAAAATTCAAGGCCCAGTAGACTACTTGCCAATGATTGATTTGGGGAATAAAGAGCATTCCTGATCACCATCCTTTTCTGCTTACCTGATATATCAGTTTGGGGTCAATTGCAGACAACAGAATCTACTGAAGCTAGTTGGTGCTAAAGGGGATTTATTAGTAGGCATTGGTTGGCTTACAAACTCACTAGAAGAATTACAGGAGTGGACTCAAGGTTTTCTGAACAAGAATTAGAATGTCTCTAAATTGAGCAGGAAAGCTGACAGAAAGTGGCAGAACCAGGAAGCCACTGACCAAAGTCCTTCAGCTATACCGGTATAGATGCTCTATCTTCACTCTTTGAGAAAATTGATGTCAGGCATGAAAGTCAGCAGAGGAGACTGTAAAAGAGTAGTACAAAAGTCACACAGGCCAAAGGAAGAGTGTTTCAAAGAGAACAGAATGGGAAAGAGGATCTCAGAAAAGTCTATCCATCAACAAGGAGGCTGATGGAAATCTTAGAAGAATCATTCTAGTGAGCTTAATGAAGCCAGAATGCAGTGGGTAAAGGAGTGAGTGGGAGGTACGAAAACAAAGGCGGTGTGCACTACTCTTTCAAAAAAGCCTGGCTGTGAAAAAGAAGGGGGGGGGGTGTTGTTAGAGTGTGACATAGTGGGGAGAGGGTGACTTTCTCATTTTAGAAGGTGGGAGAGACTAGTAGTACATTTTTAAATTCTTGTAGGAGGAATCCTATTGAGTAGAAGTAGTTGATGAACATACAGGAGAACAATGTGTAATGGATAGAGTGTGGTTCTTGAAAAGGTGGGAAGTGGTAAGATCAGAGTTGAGGAGAGGGTGGGAGTGGTAGGGTCAGATATTTAAAATATCTGCAATAAAGAATGGGAGAGAGCAGTTCAGGCATCACTTCGGGGTCACTGGGTAGCTTTGAATCCTAATACAGCATATCTGTACTTAAAAAATGAAGTATCACAAATATCTAATAGGTAGATTCTAAAACGTGGGACTGGCTCAGTCATGGTGGGATGGGAGCTGTGCAAATCCTGTTATACATGGCTGAGAAGTTAGCAAATTTTATGGATCTGTTAAGATACTTCTGATTACAAGGCATAAATATAACTTAAACTCAATTGTAAAATGAAGGAAATGTATTGGCTCACATGGAAAAGTCCAAAGGTGTAGAGGTGGGCCTCAAGCACAGTTTGATCAAGGCTTCCTTTGTGAGTTACTTTGTTTGGCCCCACTCTATGTTCTGGCTTTCTTCTTATCTTGTCTTCCCTCAGGATTACACTGTGACTGTTAGTAGCAGCCAGGGCTGAGGATTCCAGGAAAAAACAAGAAGAGTGGGGAGGGACAGGAAAACTTACCTGCCTTCTGCTGCTTTTTGTTCCAATCCAATCTTCCGTGATTTGTCCCCTTGGCAGAACCTAACAAAAAGCCAGAGGGCAAGAGAGCTGAGAATCAGCTCCAATACAGAGCAGATGAAGGGAAGTATGGGAACGTGAATCTAAAAGCAAACAAGCAGATATTTGGCACAGGCTCAAGAGATACGAGACAGCCCAAATGGAGCAGCCCTCTTAGGAGTGGCCCTGGAGCAAGGTAGACAGAGATCTTCCCAGCACACAGAACCTGAAGAACTCATTCCACTACCAGCTTGTGGAGGCCTTGGCCATCCTAGGCCACAGGGGGTGATGGCTGCCGTATACTGGTGGCACAGTACGCCATTAGAAATGGTATGCTGTTCGGGGTGGGAGTTTGCCTCTCAGCTAGCCAATTCTCCACCTTTCTACAGTGAGTTGGGGGTGGCTGAATGTCTTATTTAGTCACATCCTGACCTGAATGAAGGGAATTCCCTTCATTCACATGGAGAACCTGAGTGCTGGAAGTTTGCTGCTGTTCTAAGTGAAGGCAGCTTTGGGTTGTCTTTGGGAAAGGGGACAAGAGTGCTTCGATGGTACAAATAAAAGTTGTATTACATTAAGGAAAGCGTATATAAAAAAGGAGAGTGTGTGCTAGCCAGCTAGGGGCTGGGCTGTGGTTGCTATTGTTTTGGGCTGTTAGCATGGTTTTCTTCCCTCCTCCACATGCTCCGGAGCTTTAACAGGGACCCCACACTGGTAAGACACTTGGCTTGGAAAGCACTTTACACAGTGCACATGGCTCAAACCGCCAGTCTCCCATGATCTTTGTCCACACACTCTTCAGGAGTGTGGATTATAGTGGAATGCCTGTGGACCAGACAGCCAATGGGTTGGATGAAGTGGACAGCTGTTGTTTTTGTCTGCCCATCATCCCTTCCTGTGGGAACTAACCTCCACCCTCCATGCGGTTCTGGAAAGGGCTCAAATCACAGGCACCCATACCTTGTCTCTAGAGGAGTCCATGTGACCTCAGGTAGGCCAATCTGATACTCTTTTCCAGGAATTTGAATTGGGGACAGACACAACAAAGCCAGGAAAAAGCTGACCATGGCTCATCTGGTGGCAGTGCCCTGAAGCTAGTTTATCTGGTGGCAGAGCCCTGGAGAGGCAGGGGTTTCTCACCAGAATCTCTAGCACTGCCCTGCTCCCTTCCTTCCTGAGGCCTGGGTGGTCAGCTATGTGCACTCCCCAGTGTTCCTCCTACAAACCTTTTCTTCCTTCATGAGAGTTTTCTGTTCCTGATAACCAAAAACCTCTGAAACAATAATTAACATGATTTAAAGACTTAGCCATCACCACAAAGTTTAAGAGTTGAAGTTGGATCTCCCTTGCTGGGGTTATTTAGGACAGAGATACTGTAAGTTCACACACATCACCAAGGTTCTGGGACAAGATGTGTTACACAGAAGCCCATGGACTCTATATGCTTTTGAAAAACAGAAAGGTGGAAGAAAACATTTCATAACCTGGGTTATATAAGTATTTTCTTACAAGATATGGCTTCAAAGTAACACATGAATTTTCTTTTTAATTTATCTAATATGATAAAAAAGTAATATACTAAGGGTGCTTCAGGATAAACTTATACTCTTGCCTTCTGCCTGCTGCATTTTATGAAAAGGGTAATGTTTTTTCTTATCTTGTTTATTAGTGTTATGAATATTTTACTGTTAATTTAGGAATACCCTGTTGCTGAAAGATAACTGTTGGACATGCACAGATGTGTACGATCCTAAACACTGTGCTTACAAATAATTTATTCTTATTTCATACATTTGTTTTTCAGCAAAAATGCATAGTCATATTATTTACACAGAATTTCATATTCAAGACTGTAGGGAACAAATGTCTCAGGAAACCAAAATCATAGCAAATCATACAACAGAAATGTGTCACATTTTTTTTTCAGCTACATGCACAGAACTGGCCAAAGTGATACCTATTTCTATAGATTATTTTATCACATAATGGAGAATTAAGATTAAGTAACGCTTTTCTGTTAGAATACACTATTGATTTGAAACCACATGTTAGTCCATGCCTGGAAGCTCACGTATCCTGAGAATGCCTCTCTTGCTAGCTAAATACAGTTCTTTAGGGTGTAGGTAAGGACTGGAGTAAGGGTAGCCTAAAAAGAATGAATCTGGCAAGCAATGGGAAAAATTTCTTTGTGCGCGCATCATTTTTACTCCCTTCTTTCTCCGTCATCACCCTTAAATGAACTTAAAAACAAAAACAAAAAACAGACACATGAAGGTCTCTATTTGATCACTGTTAACTCTTCCCTCTGCCTCTGACCTGAGGAAAAAATGAGTATGCCCCTTCAAGTATAATGCCCTTTACTGCAAAAGGGGACCTGCTGGTTGTACATTCTTGCAAATCCAAGAACAGTCACCGTATTTAAAACCTTTGTTTGGAAATGGGTGAACCTCATAAGGCAGATGGTTGGAGAAGGCCTAAATACACATGGAATCCTTTTAGAAATCTTTTCTCTTCAAGCTGGATATGTGGAAAGTGAAGTTTCAAGGGTAGTGAAAATGGCCTGGGAGATGGCTGAAATGAAGAGAGTTCAGAGCGACCACATGGTCTATACAAATTAAAAAAAAAAAAAAAAAAAAAAAAAAAAAAAAAAAGCAGCCACAGAATCCTCCCCCAGCCCTGAAACACAGAAAGCCTTTTTCTGGTCCATATAGTGATGGCATGGGGCTTATTCTTCTTTCTATTCTGAAGAAACAAGGGACAGAGTTCCAGGGCTGTACATTTTATTGGCTACGTTATTCACCATGCTTATAAACTCATCAAAGTGAAAGGTGCCTCACCTCTTTATTGCCTTGGTACTCAGTTGATTGGCGAGAATAATTTTGTTCATAGCCTCCAGAAAAGAAAACTAGCCTGTTTGAAAAGTAGACCTTCTGTGCTAGGTTTTGCTGGAAGAGGGAATTTAATAAAGTTTCTAACCAGAATTTTTAAAAAGACTTTTAAATTTAGCCATGAGACACACCTAAAACCTATCTCATGTGTTTTCTTCTTTTTTAAAAAATGATTTGTATCCTTCTTTAAACTATACATTATTTACATTTTTAAAGACCTACTAGGTCTTTATCATTTGAGTAAGAGCTCAAGGTGATTAAACTCACCGGATAAAGATGAGTCTTTCCAAAAAGCTCTGGTTCTCACTTATGTGCTAAGGCCTGTTTTTACAAACAAATGTCTATTAGAAACTTTACAAATATAAAATTAAAATACTTTTTTAAAAAATTTTCCCAGGAATTTTATTTTTTGCATCCAGCATATTAAAAACAGATTATGCTTTCCAACTAGAGATGGAACTAAGAAGAAATGAAATTGTGTCCCCATGCTTTATCTAGAAACAAGAGTTTATTTACACAGTGTCCTTCTTCAATATCATGGTGTACTGGGAGAAGCAGGGCCATCTTTACAGCACGGCCAAATGACCACCTGAAGACCCCCCATTCTGCCTTGAGTGCTTATTGCGTATTTTGGGTGGAGGTATAAGGCATGAGGGAAAGGTGGCCTGTCACTTTTACACATTGGAGAATAATTTTGCACATTCAAGAAATTTTCCTTGAGAAATGCCATGTTTGGAATAGCTTCCAGAGATTGATTGAGAACAAAAGCATTAAAGCAAGTGCATTACATTTAGAAGCACAATACATTGGGAAACATTCTCAAAAGCTCAAAGAGCAGGCTGTTTTTCCACTGAGCTAAATAGTAAATAAGTGTGCATACTGTTGCATATAGGTATATGTTCAGAGCTTTCAAAAGTCACATCCTGCCACAATTAACAGCTAAATGAGCATTCTTGGCCCCTGACCTATAAATAAACACTCTAATTCTGCAACTTGCTCACAGATTCTTAAGGAGCCACTCTAGAACAAAAATGCCTACAAACTGGTTAGAAATCTGCAAACCAGAAATGCAATACAGTTATCCTTTTTTAAATGACAACAACAGAAATTTATATTAGCTTTTGGAAGAGTGACTAAGAAGAACTGACATCCATTTTCACAATTAAGAAATAATTATTCACAATACCGAAGAAGCCAAATCTTCAATAAGAAAACGTGTGGCCTCTCACAAAAGAACACAGTAGTGCTCAGCTCCAACCACTGAATGCTTCCTTTTTCAGTTTGTCTAGGCTTGTTCGCTTTTTGTCAGGTGATATATGTCAGAGAATATTGACAATCCTTCAAGAAAATGATTCAAAAGGTGATGTACAATTGGCTGGTGCTATCCCGTAATGCCTTTTTGCCTCTGTCCTAATTTTATGGAAACAAAGTAAGGGCTTTAAGCCAGGAGATAAATGTACCACTCAAAATATACCTGGACACTCGTGCTCAGGTCAAACGCTACAAGATGTGGTTAAGCTGACAAACAGAATTCCTTGCCTGTCTACTCGAACACTAACACCCTGGGAGTTCACATGCTTTTCTAAGGACAAAATTTAAAACTCAGGCTGACTGCACAGTTGAACTTGCTGCCCCATTCTGACTGTTTGACTCTAATCCTCTTTGTTCTCCCCTTCCCATGCATTCTTCCTATCTTTTTTACCTCTGACACTTTTTAATGATTTCCTCCAGATTAATGTTTTCTAAGACATGTTTCATAAGTTACAACACAAAGATCCTAAAAGGCTAGAGAGCATTAGTTAATCTCAGTTAATTTTGGAGATCTAGCCATTTACCTTCTTATGTATGTGATTGGTTTGTTTGTTTGTTTTATTACACTATAAAATTCAGACACTTAAAGACATCTCAATTTAGGCACTTTGGATGATCCACTCTTCATAATAGTATGAATACTATCAATCTTCCAATAGTTATCGTTATTAGTGTTTTCATAATATTAGTGATAAGTTTTTCAATTCTGTACATATGCCGACTATCCCCTCACTTGGATTGTACATTACATTTTCAAGTTATTTTTAACAATAGGCCTAGGAGCACACAGAAAAAGAAAAAAGAAAGAAATTGATTGCTGAGGAAGTCAGCATGTGAATAGAAATAAGATTCTATGGATTGCACTTATGCTAGCAAAAAAAGAGACCCAAACTCAGGGACTTACGGCATTCTACCTACAGCCAAGGTCAGAGTTTGGTTCCTGGCCAGAGAGACTTTCTGGGGCTTCTCTCTTCCACCAGAAGACAAAAGGGTAATGGCTGTAATAATACGGATGGGTCCTTGCCCAATGTCTTACACACAGTAGGTGCTCAAAGATCATGAAAGGTATGATATGAGTGCATGAATGAACAGCTCAAAGATTGCTGACAGAGTGAAGTCAGCAGTGGTAAACTTCAACAGTTGAAGAACAAGATGGTAACAACCATTTTAAGTGGCTGATAACATTTTGTTTGAGATATTTTGATCTAATTTCAAAGACAGCCCTATCTCACTTTGCTCAATTTTAAAGTTAGTCAATTAAGGGACTGTATCTATATCTCTTTTTCCAATTAGTGTCTGTGTGCTTGGCCAGGCATCATAGCCATGCAAACTAGTAAACACAGTTGAGCAGACAATGGTCTCCGCATTCTAATGCCAGTTTGAAAACTTAATCCTGTCACCTTGGACCAACTATAAAGCTTTGAAATGGAGATAACTCCCACCATACCTGTCTCCTATTATAGCTTTGTGCAGATTAACTAATTAAAGTTATGAAGAGATTTAAAGATAAAAATTCCTGTTTATTATTGCTGTTAGTCCTCAGAGTTGGCACCAAATCAGGAAAAAATGATATAAATCACCTCTGTCCCAAAATTTTGCATTCTTAGAAATGATTCCTATGAAGTATCACTATAAATTAGGCTAAATTGTTTTTTGACTGCAAGCACTTACAAGCTGGATTTATGAATGGAAACATATGAAGGCCACTCTGTCCAGCTCTGTAGCCCCATACTTTCTCCCTGGGCTATTTATAGAAAGTGTATGGCTAGTGGAAAAGTTCACATTTATTTTTACAAGCCAGTCATGACATGACCGAGGAACTCATTTCCTCTCTCTGGGAAGGTCATCCTCTTCACCTGAGCTGCAAGAACGGCAGGGAAGAAAGGAACCCCATTAGCCAACTAAGTCAGTCTGAGTCAGCCCCAGAGACCAACCCACGGGGTGACAGGCACCGAAGTCAAACACCTTCATTTTCCAGGCATGACTCTATGGCGCCGCTCCTTGAGATGTCATCCAGATCATGACTAACAAGTAAAAATGAAACATATTACATAATATGCTTCAAAATTCTACTGCCAAAATAGGTTGTACATAGATAATGGACTGAATTCTTATTTATAATTTGTCCTACATTTCAAACAGCTGAACACAATAAAGTAAAACTGAATTTTAATGTGGCAAAATGGAAAGTGTGAAAAATATTTTAAAATATATATTGTTCTGATTGCCACATTACCTTGAAATGTGTAATAAACCTGGATAGTTCCGTGCAAATGGGGAGATTCAAAGTAAATATTCACTTCTAAAACATCAAGAAATTTAATAAATTCAGCAAATAAACTGTATAGTTTAACAAATCATCCCTGGCTTTGACTAGTGTATATGGTACCTATTTGCAAACATGAAGTGAAGCCAAACCAGTTTTCAACTAGAATGTCCTCTTGTCATTATTATATGTGGTCTACAAAATCTAAGATGGAATAGGAAAGAACAGTGGACGAAGGAAAAGGCAAAGGGAAGAGGAAAGTGAATCCTCATTCTCTCTGGGACATACTGGGTGCTGAAACCTGTGTGGCAAAAAGTGTGTCATCTCACTGTACTCATGCAGCATAATCACCTGAAAAATGATATGGGTATAATTTTATCCTTAAGTGGCCTCTCCTTAAGGTCAAAGACAAAGGACAAGAAGAGAATTCTGTCTGTGGACCTGGAAGAACAACAAAAAATTAAAATGACAAATTTGGTGTTTTAGTTATTGTTCTCAAACTCATTAATCCTTGCTAGAAGTCTTCCTCCTGAAAGTTCCTTCTGAAATTGAGGTCCCATTTTACAAAGAAACTACATAATACGCTTCACCCTGTTTCTCTAGCTTCCAAACCAATGTTCTTTGGGGCTCTAGAAAAAACAACAATGACATGCAAATAAATTTGCATGTGGAAATATCCTGATTTCCACAGTTGTCCTTGAATGCATCTATTGAATTAAGTTACAGCTGAGGAATAACATCTGTTGTAAGTACAAATTAGCCTCTGTAACCTAACAGGAATCTCCTTGCACTTCACAAAGGATGAGACACTGACACTCGTCAACAACTGTGCAAAGTGTATTTACAATCTCAGTAAGAGATTCTAAATTAAATATAGACATATATAAATTTAACTTCTATGTGCAAAGTAACACACACAAGGATACCGGTTCCTCCAGGGAATTGTGCTGAGCTTCTCTGTTTACAGAGAAGTGATTAAAAGCATAAACAAAACCAGCAATTGTTTTAGAAGTGCCAGCCTACCAGTGCTGAGGTAAGTGTTCATCTACCTCATATGCATGATCTAAGTTATATCATAAAATCAAGATGCACCTGTGGGACATGATCATCCTGCCCAAGACCTTCAACTAGGCAGTGGAGATCAAGCCCAAGATAAGCCACCACTACCTGGGCAAGCTCTCCATCACCTACAAGCCAGTGAAGTACAGCTGGCTGGGTATGAGGGCCACCCACTCCTCCTGCTGAGCCAGTAAAGGCACACATGTCTCCAAACAAAACAAAACAAAAAAAACTCCCAATCAATGACTTATTTGGCTTCTAACAAAATGACCTACCAGGAAGTGTGGTAAGTATTTAAACAAGTCATCTCAGTGGTTTGTGTTAATCTAGAGTGGCCATCTCAATTACAGGTTAGCATTTGTAAGAAATGTCTAAATAACATTGGCTAATCTGTTTGTTAGAAAGGATCTCAGGGACATGCTCATGAATGTTTCAAGGATTTAGGGTGACTGCCCATCATTTCCATAGTCTGGAACCAAATCAAACTTCAGCGTTTAACTAGGCAAGTGTAATCTTATTTAACTCAAAATTTTCAGTGACAACTCAATAATGTGCTCCTGCCTTTCATAATAAAACTGCCTTGTTTATTCTTGGATATTATGTTTTTAATTTTAAGCAAGGATGGATGGCATCAGTCTAGAACTTCTCCCATGGCTGCATTAGAAACACATCTACATTAGAGGGTTGGCTCTTTGTCCTTGTTGGGAACCCAAATGCTCTGCACGCTCCTGTAAGCTATCTCCAATCCCACCAAAAACTTGAAACCAACACCATCTTCTGCCCTCCTGGATGGACCATGAAACCTTGATTTTCAGTCAGGTAAGAAAAGCTTATTCTTACTACTCTCCCCATGTAAGAAACTGTGTTTGAGGACCAGTCATTTGGACTTTGCTTCAAAAGGCACATTTATTCCAGTGGCAATTTAAATAAGTAGAGAAGGAAAAAAAAAGATTAAAAACAAAACAAACTAACAAAAACCAGGATGGGTTTTGTGGAATACATTAAAGTAAACAAAAATCTGGGGTCTATACAAACCACTCGAGCTCCTCACCAATAGTTTAACCAGAGTCCCTAAGGTAGAATTCACAGTTGTATCATGACACACGCCTTCAGAAAACACTGTTTAAGAAAGTAATTGAGAACTCTCAAGCAGCTTCCCCTGATGTCCAGTTCAAGTGTATGCAATGCAGAAGGCTGTGAAATTCAAAACTATGTGACAAAGAAAATTCAGTGCGTACCACAGGCTTTGATAAATTATGAAAAATCAATGTATATATTACTATTTAAATAACATCTGAAAAACATTTTGAAATAATTAACTTGTGTTCACATTCCATGCATTTTCTAGCAGGTTAAGCCCTGGGTTTGCGTCTTTGTGCCTGTTTCCTACAAAGCTCCATTCTTTTGACAAATCCAAGCATTCCTCAGACTGAAACAGAAGTTCCCAAGGATTCTATTTACCCTCTTTACTGTGTACCTGACCTCACAGGGGCTACTCCTTATTACCAATGGCACAGATGATTGGAAAAGCAAACTCTTTGGGGCTTTATTTGGGATTTTACTCACTGCCTTTGAGAAATCCCTGGATGTCAAAGACATCACCTGAATTTTTTCCAGGGGCAAGAACAAGTGACTATCTCCCTCCCGCTTGACCACCCCTGCCAACCTCCCTACTTCAAAGCCTCCAGTGGGTTGGGATCCCTTTGTAGCAGTGAACTTTTTCCCTATGGTTTTGCAGCACCTTCCTTGAGCAAAGAAGAAAACACAATGAAATTTGAAAACAAACCAACAATAGCAACAACAGAAACTCCAAACAGATGGGCGAACCAGTAGTCTCCTCCAAGGCGGAGGCTCACTTTTTACTGCAGAATTCGGAGCTGTTTAGGAACTTCCTGATTACCAGCCCCAGGCAGACCACCAGCAGCAGCATGTAGCCCACAGTACCCGAGAAAGTGGGTGCGGCAGGCGGCGCCTGGAGGAACTGGCGCAGGCCCTCTTCTACGTAGTACACCTGGTCGTAGATGCTGAGGAAGGTGAAGATGTGGAAGAGCTGGTGGCTGTGGCCGATAATGTCGAAAAGACCCGGCTGGATGCGCTCGGGGATCTTGCTCACGTTGAAGAAGGCGGCCACCACCAGCCAGAAGTAGCGGCGGTAGAAGTGCACGAAGAGTGTGGGGTTCTCCCCACGCAGGTCGAAGAGCCAGCTCTCGAGCATAATGGGGCAGGCCATGCTGAGCGGCATGACGAAGACGAAGGTGCGCAGCGCGAACGGGTAGGTACACCAGTCGGTACGGCTCTTGCAGCAGGCCACAGTGCAAGCCACCGCCAGCACGAAGGCCACAGGCAGCACCAGGGCGCGGTAGGCGGCGATAAGGCGCGTGCAGTCCACGTGCCAGCCCAGGCGCTGCTGCAAGTATGGAGTCATGACTCTGGCATCCAGCAAGCTGAGGCCTGGCAACAGGTAGTAGTAGTAGGCCACCGTGCTGCCGAAGCCGTAGTAGCTGATGGACGCGTAGTCCAGGTAGAAGAAGGCGGCGCGCAGACGCAGCGACAGGCAGCTGAACACGTGCGCCGTGCAGCTCATGGCGAAGGTCAGCAGCACTCCCGACGCGTAGCACCACAACGGTAGCAGCCACGGGTGGTGGAAGGGCACGTCGCCGCCGCTCAGGAAGAACAGACGGCAGAACTTGCTCAGGAACAGCAGCAGCGGGATGAAGTGCGTCCAGAAGTTGAGCGTCTCGTTGGTAGGCTTCAGCACCGAGGCTAGGCACTCCTGGGCCGTGCACGGCAGACGCCGGTAGCCCGACAGGATGAAGCACTCCACGAAGTCGTCGGGCACCTCGTCCCAGCGCAGCAGCGGCTTGGCAGACGCTGGGGGGTCCCGGGAGGCGGCAGAGTGGGAGTTCCGGGCGGCCCCCGAAGCTGCCGGGGCCGGGGCCGGAGGGCCTTTTGTGCCCGCGCCCCGGGGCTGCAGGCGCCGCGGCATGGTGCCCGGGGCTCGGCTAGGGCGCGCGCAGGCGACCTCTGGCGCCGGCTCCCGGGCGCTGGGCAGCCCCCGCCGGCCGCCGTCGGAGCCTTTGTGCCCACGCCGGGGGCGTCGCTGCAGGTTTAGGAGAAGACCCGTGCCTCCGAGCAGCCGCTCCTAAAAATTAAATAAATCAATAAGAGAATCAATTAATAGGCAGCGCTGCGACCGCCAGGAGCGCGGAGCGCGCGAGGCTCAGCGGCTTCCTCGCCAAGCCCCTGCTACCGGCGCGCGGCCGCCCGCGCTGCGGCAGCGGCGGCGGCGCGGCTGACTGCGGCGGCAGCGCGGCAGCGGTGACTGGGCATCGCGCGGTGCGGGTGCCTCCGCCGCCGCCGCCCCCGGAGCGGGAGGTGGGGATGTGCGAGCC
This sequence comes from Homo sapiens, assembly GCF_000001405.40. Taxonomy (NCBI): domain Eukaryota; kingdom Metazoa; phylum Chordata; class Mammalia; order Primates; family Hominidae; genus Homo; species Homo sapiens. The sequence goes on from NC_000003.12 coordinate 142,963,743, forward strand.
GAGGCGCGGAGGGAGGGACGGGCGCACCGAGGAAGGGCGGGGGCCTCCCAGGCTAGGGTTTCGCGGCCGCTTCGGGGGATAGAGTTGTCCCCTGTCTCGAGTTCCGTACCATCCCCCTCCTCGGGCCGCCGCAGCCCGGGCCGCCCCGTTAATGATTGATGCGGGGGCCGCAGGCTGGTCGGCGACGCGGCGGCGCGCGCGCCGAGTACTAGAGTCGGCCCTGGGGTTCGAAACCCGACAGCCACGCGGGCGTTCTGGAGGACACTGGGGAGCCGCGTTCGCGGGGGGCGGGGAGCTGCGGCTGCGGGGGGAGGGGAGGGCGCCGGAGCCGGGCAGGGCGGAGAGATGCGCCAGCGGTAATCTCCGGAGGTCGCCGGGGAGGGGGGCACTCCGGAAGTCGGGGGGCTTTAAGCCCGCGTCCGGATCGGGGCCGTGTCATTGTCAGCTACCTGGGGATGCGCCTCTCGCTCCCTCACTGTCTTTGCGTGTGTGTTAGTGTGTGTGTGTGTGTGTGTGTGTGTGTGTCGGCCTGTCTACGCACTACACGAAGGCTTAGTTGGTCTTCTTTCGTCTAGTGGGCGCACTCAGGTGCGTCACCATTCTGCCGTTTCCCTCGCCCTTGTCCTGTCCGAAAGAACCGTCCGCAAGCTGCCCTGTGGTCGCGCTCACCAGCTCTTCGAGCCGCAGCTAACCCATCTTCTTGTTTTTGTGTCTTTAACTAGGACTTCTATTTGGAACTGAGTCCGACAGCTCAGGACTGGCTGCTCAAACTCCACAATTTAATGAAAAATCTCAGATGATGACTCAGAAAACCTCTAATGATCTGAGGAATATATTAAGGGATTCCAGAGTCAAAGGCTGATCATGGAGGGCATTGATGAGGGAAGACTTCAGGTAGGAGGTGCATTCTAGCAGGAACTGAAGAGAATGAAGTCCAGTTGGTAGAAACGGAGGGGGTGGCTTGGATAAATCTTATATGTAATTAATCAGAAGTACCTGGCAGGTGGCTGGAGACCAGAAGAAAGGAACACTGGAAGAATGAAAACGGTTGTGATGCACTGCAGTGTGAAAATATGCCCTTGAGCCTTAAAGAAAGGGGCTTAAGGCCGGGCGCGGTGGCTCACGCCTGTACTCCCAGCACACAGATCACGAGGTCAAGAGATTTGAGACCATCCTGGCCAACACGGTGAAACCCCGTCTCTACTAAAAATACAAAAAATTATGTGGGAGTGGTGGCGCACGCCTGTAGTCCCAGCTACTCGGGAGGCTGAGGCAGGAGAATCGCTGGAACCCAGGAGGCGGAGGAGGTTACAGTGAGCCGAGATCGCGCCACTGTACTCCAGCCTGGCGACAGAGCGAGACTCCGTCTCAAAAAAAAAAAAAAAAAGAAAAAGAAAAGAAAGGCTACTTTCATCGCTACTGCACATCCTCTAAGTAGGTTAAGGAAGATTTACTTAGTAGAGCCTCAAGATGGATTTAAGTTATGGATAAGAATTATTTATAACTAGGATATCATTCAGTATTATAAGTGTCTGCAGTTACTTAAGGATGCTAGAAACAGTCTAGAAGTTTCAGTCTTCTCTCTGAAGTATACTTTCAAGTAGTAACTGATTTAGCAAGCTCTTACACAATTAGATCAAACGTGCGCTTCAGTCTTCTGCCTTTCTGCACTGCCACACATTCCTGTCTAGTGGATTTTTTTTTTTAGGCGTGGATTTTTAAGAAGTGAGATTTTGTTGTAGTTATTTAGCCAGTGTCTTATTTTAGTGTTTTCTGGTTTTCCACTGTTTGTAGCTTGTTTTAAATTGAAATCTAATTTCCTTTTATATCTGGACTGAGGACCCATGGCTATTTGTAAAATGGATTAAATTTAGGTGTTTTAATCAAGTGTAGGAATGATAAACTTGAATCCAGGGCAGGCCCGAACTTTTTTTTTTTTCATATTCCCTTTGTTACTCCACAAACAACCAGAGCTGTCACGTGTAAAAATGGTGATCCTATAATAATTCTTATATTTACCACACTCTTAGTTGCATAATCAGCTCGCTTACATAATCTAGAAAAATATAATAGAAAGTTCACTTCAAGCAAAACAATGGAATTGACTGTAAATGGGTATGCAAAAACTTGAGTTAGATAAAATATCTTTATGACAAAGAATGGTGAGATTGACTCTAATAAAATATGTTCTTTTAAAAAATCAGTATTTTATAAAGTAAAAAAAAAATGTTTCATGTTAAGTCTTTGAAAAAGTCTTTGTGATATCTGCCTTTGTCCTTTCTCACACATCCCCTACCCTGCTTGAGGCACAAAACCAGTTGATGCCATGGAGTGAGTGGTGTTCATGAAAGTTCACTGGTGCAGAGCCCAGTCAGCTGTCCTTGCTATACCTTGACAAAGCTCAGTAAAAAGGAACTAAGGAAACAGCAAAACTGACCTAACTTATAAAGTAAAACAGCAATATGGCTTTTCCTTAATTGCTACCAATCTATAGAATTAATTTCTCTTACTTTTTAAATTGAGATATAAAAATGTGGCCCCCAAATCCTGCACAGGCTGAGTTTTGTAGTTTGTTTTAACTCCAGCAAACTGTCTCTTGTCAGTGGGAACCATGCTCACATCCTCTGGACTTGGCTAAACAGAAGCAATGAGCAGGGTGCCATTCCCTGAAGGTGCATTGGGACATAAGGCATCTCTAAGGTAACCAGGACTGACTGCAAAGTTTTTGACAGACAAGAATCACCAAGTTACACTGGAAAGCCACTGCTGGCATTTAGAGGCAAATGCCAGCTAGTTCTATCAATTAAAGTTAAATCAAGACCACAAATGTGGTGTTGGTAGTTCAGTGGAGGCTCTGTACATCCAGGTGTTGAGGGGTCCTGGCTGCAAAATGCAGTCATGTGTCATGTGTTGAAACTGTAGCAAAAGGGATGAATGCTCTTTTCAGTCTGGTTTGCTTTGGTAATGTTCTTGTAGACCAACTACACGTTTTTGTTTCTTTCTACAGGAATAATATTAAGTATATGTAAAAATGCCACTGCAAATTTGATGTTGTTTAGTAAGGGCAGTTAGCTATCTGTAAAACCAGCAGAAAAATATGCTGTGTTATTGGCTAATAATATACCTATTTTTAGAGGAAATAATTTTTTCTTGTCTAATTTTTAGCCAGAAAACAACCAACTAAAGAAAGAAATAAAAAGAAAAGAAGAAAGGAAAGAAAGGAGAGAAAGAAAAGGAAAGAAGGAGAGAGAGAAGGAAGGAAGGAGAGAGAGAGAAAGGAAAGAAAAAAGAAGGAAAGAAGGAAGGGAAGGAAGGAAAGGAAGAAAGAAAAGCACAGCACTATGGACCTAGTGCTTAATTGTACCCAAGACTCTGTATTAAGAGAGAACTCTGTAGGGTTCAGTCCCTCTTCTCAGAATATATAGTTTAGGCTGGGCACGATGGCTCACGCCTGTAATCCCAGCATTTTGGGAGGCCAAGGCAGGTGGATCACTTGAGGTCAGCAGTACGGGACCAGCCTGGCCAACATGGCGAAACCCTGTCTCCACTAAAAATACAAAAATTAGCCAGGCATGGTGGTGCATACCTGTAGTCCCAGCTATTTGGGAGGCTAAGGCAGGAGAATCACTTGAACGTTGGAGGCAGGGGCTGCAGTGAGCTGTGATTGTGCCAGTGCACTTCAGCCTGGGCAACAGAGCAAGACTCTGTCTCAAAAAAAAAAAAAAAAATATATATATATATATATATATATATATATATAGTTTAAACAAAGTGCTTCCCTTTTCCCTAAATGGAAAACAGCCATGATCTGACAGGTCAAATATAGTCACTACCAAGTCATATAGTCTAAGCTTCCTAATTGTGGAAAATCTAATGGTATCAGGTGTAACTGTAGCAACCTCTAGTGACAAGTGCAATCAGAAAGCCAGGTAGAGGGCTGGGAGAGAGCAGTGGGAGACTGAGTTATCTGGCACTGTTCCTGCCTGCTACTGACTGGGTGACAGACATGTCTCTCTGTTTTTTTGTTTTTTGTTTTTAGAGGTGGAGTCTTGCCCTGTCACTCAGGCTGGAGTGCAGTGGTATGATCTCGGCTCACTGCAACCTCCACCCCCTGGGTTCAAGCAATTCTCCTACCTCAGCCTCCCTAGTAAGTGTAATTACAGCTGCATGCCACCATGCCCGGCTAATTTTTTTATGTTTAGTAGAGACGGGGTTTTACCATGTTGGCCAGGATGGTCTTGAACTCCTGACCTCAAGTGATCCGCCCACCTTGGCCTCCCAAAGTGCTGGGATTACAGGTGTGAGCCACTGCGCCCAGCTGACAGGCATCTGTTTTGAAGAAAAGCTAAGGGAAACTTGAGGATGCTTTTTGTTTTGGGGGTGGGGGGTTTTTTTTTTTTGGTTTTCTAAGGCTTTATGAAGGGAGTGACAATGCTACACTCCCCTCCCTCAGCAAATTCACCTATTTTCTTCCTGGGGTCTCTAGAGTGGTTTCACAAGACTAATGAAGGGGAAGAATAAAATATTACTTCTGCTTAAATAGATGTCATCCTTTTCCATGCACATGCTCTGTGAAGGTTTTATGATGCACTAATATGTAGTCTATGAAGATAATGTATAAATAATATGTTGGGACACGAGGGTGAACCAAAACACTTCACCTGATAAGAATGTGCGACCCAAACTGCTGACCTACTCTCGATAGTCCATTGCTCTTGTTTGTCCAGCCTGCTTCCATCCCCTCTCCCAGATCCAAGATGGATGCCATTTCCTGCCACTCAGATGGCTGGAAAGGCTGTTTGGGGTCACCATCTGTAAGCCAACAGTCCCCAACCTCTGACCAGACCTGCCCAAGTGCCCAGGCCTTCAGCCCCTTCTACAGCTTCCTTGACCTAGGATGGTGGTCTCTGCTCTGGAGCTGTTTTTCCCAGGTCTGCCCTTCCTGTTTCCTGATTGGAGCCTATATTGTTTTCCTACAAAGGCCTTGTATTAACTTACTATATTGAATGTAATTCAGAGTTACCTTTTGGGGAGGAGACTTGTTTTATCATAGGCTGTTGCTTGCTTTTGATAGAGCCTTTTGGATAGCTTCCATTTAACTTGAGAAACACTTAATACAAGTGTGTGAGCTAGATTACTGAGTTTCTTCTCCCCATTATTTATCAACAGTTCTCCTTGAAACAAAGATCTTTGCACATAGTAAGCACTTAACACATTGTGGCTGGGAAATTTTTTCAGTACCGTAAGCTTTTAAAAGGTTAGAACTTAGAGTCCTAGAATCTTAGAGTAGGACTGCCACTTAATCCTTAAAGTCATCTAGTCCAACTCTCTTCCCATTCGTTATAATTGCTTTGGTTTATTGATAATGTACTATATTCAGGTATTGTGATAGGCGTTTTACATATACTTAATTCTTAGAACATTCTTTGAAAGGTGAATGCACTAATCCCATTTTCAGACAAAAAACACAGAGGCTTCAAGAAGTTAAGCAGCTTGGGTGGCAGAACTGTAGTCAAACTTTATTCATTCCAAACCCCTTACCCTTTTCTTTATAGGATGCTGCCTCCTGAGAAGCTGTTGTGTAGCGAGCCTTGACCATCTCAAGGAAAGAGACTTACTGTCTTACACAGCTTCCCCTTCTATCTTAAGATGTTGTCATTGTTGTTAGAAAACTTTGTAAATAATTAAATGAACATAACTGATAAGAAAAACACCCTGTTGCATCTTGGCCCAAAGCACAGCCATAAGTGTTATTGAGTTGAACCAATAATATCTGGTTAGAAAGTCCCCAGAAATAATGATGCCAAATTAGGCATGTGTACAGTATATGTGGAATGTGATGGCTGGACATTGATTAGGCACATTTATTAAAAGAACATCTTCCTCCAAACAAATAACAGCTGTGAATCCCCAGGGGGTTGCCATACCCTAGATCACTGCAAAGAGGCAAATAGAAGATTCTGTGATTTCCTAGATGATCTTTGCACTTAGCACAATGATATTGATTATAGTAATTGATTAATACACAAAAGAAAACATTCTGCTATGATATCATTGCCTACTTAACATCAAGGAGAAGGCATCTCAGTCACTGGGCTCTGTTTGGCTCTTAGTTAAAGTCGCTGCTCGTTCCCTTAAGTTTTTTAATATAATGATTTTCCTTTTCATTGAGATTCAATATCTGTCTGTTGAAAATATTTATGAACTTGATTATCTAGGTGCCAATCACTAAACTAATTGAACGGTATCATATCCTATATATATATAGATTTTTAAAGAGTATGTTTCAGTAACCTTACATCATATGCCCCTTTCATGTGAAAACCACTAGACTTTGGGGTTGCCGATGAGCCTCCTCAGTGCACTTGTCATTTCTGCTCAGTTAACAAGGAACATTTTTTTCTAGGAACATATTTACTCTCATGGGCACCCACTGGCGTGGCATGAGTCCTTTGTACCTTGTGTTCTGAGAATTCCGTGGTCTAAATGCATTAATATTGTTTCATTCTTGGTCCCTGCCTTGCTCCTCCAACCTCCCTCCCTCTCCGCACCAATGTCAACTCTAGATGCCCCATTCTCATACACACTTAACTCCCTGTCTGGAGACAGTACTGGGTAGGAATTAGTGAGTAACTCTATAGGGAGCATTCAGAAGACAGTCTCCAGGTTTTTTTGGTTTTGTTTTGTTTTGTTTTGTTTTTTGTTTTAGACGGAGTCTCACTTTGTCACTCAGGCTGGAATGCAGTGGCTCACTGCAACCTCTGCCTCCCATGCTCAAGCAATTCTCCTGCCTCAGCCTTCCCAGTAGCTGGGGATCACAGGCGCCCACCATAAGCAACCCAGCTTTCTATTTAACAAGCAATAGTAAACACCAATTATGTCCAAAGCTGATACTAGAAGCTCAGGGCGTGGAAGAGCAGAGAAGTGAATTGGAGCGTAACAAAGTTAAGTCAGACTCGCCCCTGTTCTCAGTTGCAGGGAAATGGATCCACAATGTTTAAATGCAACCATTTTGTGATTTTTTTAATTTGGTGCAGCCATTTTGAAACTAGGAACATTTTAATGCTGCACTAAACACCATTAAGCTTATGATGTTTTTATTTTTAGGTAATGTGCTAGACAGACGCTTGCACCCCATCCCTGACCTTAGCCCCACAGGGGTCCGGGCTGGGGTGAGGGTAAAGCACCCTCTGGCAAGCAAACCATGTAGAACTAAGAGTCACGAGTCAACCACACTTCTTCATCTCTTGGAGAACCATCAGTCCTGGATAATTTGTTTGTCTGTCCCTTGGCTTGCCTCTCACATTCTCTGATTTCTCCTTTACGGTAACAATGCCTATGCTCACTTACTTGTAATTAACACATAGGTTTGGCTGCTGGAGAATGGAATGGCCACTCTTGCATTTTGGAGGCTTCCTGATTATACCAACCTTGTTTAATGGGGTGTATGTGGGTAGGGAAGGAAAATGGGAATGGAACAACTCTGTGGGCTACAATTCCATTCCATATTCCCAGCTCCAGAGTGCAATGGAAATCTTCATTTAACATTTCTAACAGGTGCCTCAGCAGTGTACATACCTTATATCTATTGTCTTCAAACTCTTTTATAATAACCACTTAGAGGGACACAAGCTAACCCAGGTCTGACAGATGTAAACACAACACCACACAATACTTTTTTTCCACAAATTATCAAAACAATTTTCGGGCTGGGTGTGGTGGCCCACGCCTGTAATCCCAACACTTTAGGAGGCTGAAGTGGGAACATAGCAAGCCTGAGCAACATAGTTGTAGATGACCCCATGTCCAGAAAAAAATGTAAAAGCCAGGTGTGGTGGCACACATCTGTAGTCCCAGCTGTACAGGAGGCTGAGGTGGGAGGATCACTGGAGCCTGGAGGTCAAGGCTGCAGCAAGTCATGATTGCTCCAGAGGCTGCAGTGAGCCACGATTGCACCACTGCACTCCAGCCTGAGCAATGGAGTGAGACCCTGTCTCACAAAAAGAAAAAAAATTCAAATATCAAGCAATTGAACAATTACTTTCAGAGTAATTGTCAGCAGTAGATTTATAAAGCATTTTAAACAATTCATAAAGTAGAAAATGAAAGTCTCTTATAAAGAAAGGGATTAGGAATGGAGAAGGGGTGAGGAAAATCTGTTTTACTTGCGATTTTTTTGTTATTTAAAAAATACCTGTGTTTTTACACACATGCTGGGCTCTTTTGACTTAGCTGCACAGAATGCCTGCCTCAGGAGAGACTAGCATGGGTACAAATACTGTAAAGGAAGGGATACAAAGGGGAAGGAGGAGAAAATTTATGTATGAGACAGGCATGGAAATAGCCAGTCGTAAGTTTCCAAATTGGAATGTTGTCGTCGTTAGGGCTGATGTGGTTTTAAAATTCTACTTCAGCCTCATAGTTGATGGCAGAGAACTGTCCTCCTAATGGGGGATGGAGGGAGAGCCCAGCGAAGGAGCTGCCTTTGAATTCTGTCCTGCATGACTGGAAGTGGTTAGTTCAGATAAGAAAAGGCTTTTTAAAGACTGAGATTGCTAATTACCACTCTCCCTCATTCTATCCTCTCTCCTCTCCACCAGCCTTTCTGCTGCTCCTCTTACTCCCAAGCATGTGCCACTAGGAGAGGCTTCCTGTGGCTGTGCACAGGCTGTCCCCTGTACAGCGGCCCAGCTGAGGGGGCAGAGTGAGGCTGATAGGCAAACCACGCTCTGCCGGCCACACTCTAAGCCCAGGCCTTGGGCTGTCTGCTCAGAAGAAGGGGTGCCTTTTCTTGATTCACTGGTGGGCTGACAGCTGCCCCAGGGCCCTTGCACTTGCTGTTTCTCTCTGCCTGCTTCTGCCTTGGAGGCTTTCCTCCCAGACCTTCCCCTTCATTCAGTTCTCTGCTCAGTCTCTACACCTCTCAGAAAGCTTTGCTGCCCACTGTGTCCTAAACTGATAGCCCCCTCACCTTGCCTCACTCTCTGCCTCCACACCCTGCTTGATTTTCTTCATATTTTCATGATCTGAGTTTGTGTAATATGTGCTGTAATATACAGCTACTCATTTCTTTCTTTCCTTCGGAAATATATGTTCTATGAGGGCAAGGCCTTTGCTTGCTGCTCCATCTTCAGCATGTAGCAGAGTGCCTGGCACATAGTAGGCACTTAGTAAACATCTGTGGAATTATTAAAAGATCCCCCTCACTGCAAGCTTTCTAAGCCCAGAGTTAGGCTCAGCTCACACTATGTGTATTGACCCTGCTGGCAGAATCTTCTCTAATTAACTGATCTCCACAACCCAGAAATGCTAAAACAAAAATAGAAAACACAAAAGCTGTTGGCTGTGAACCTCGGCGACTAGGGCAGTGGTTTCTGCACTTCAGAAACAATCACTTGGGTGGGGACCTTACAAACAAAACAAAAATCACGTGTGCTGCATCCCCCATCCCCACTCCTCTGAGTCTCTGGAATGAGGCATGTTGATTTGCTGGACTAGTAATTTATCCAGAAAGAAACAACATATAACATGGGCTATTATGATAGAAAAGAGTTTCAGTGCTTTGATTTGAATTTTAAAGGTCAATTCTAACAAAGTAGTTTGTATCAAAAAGAATTCCTCAAATCTCTTCTATTAATAGCATCAGTTAGCACCCCTGCAGCTCAGCAGAGTCTGTTTAGGATTCTGTCTCACCATGTTTTCGCCTTAACTGAAATAGAAGCAAATGTCAGTGCAGATATAGGGCCATACAGGTATCAAACATTTACATTCTTTGCCTGTGGCCTGAACTTTTGGAACTTAACAGATCCTTCTCCTGAAAGCCTTCTTTTAAAATGCTTAGCGTTTTGGGAAAAAAAAAGCCATCAGAGCTTTTAAGAGCACTGCACACTAATTTTCGACCCACTGGTGAGAGTGCAGCTGCAGAGAGAAACTCTAGTTTACAGAGGCCCATGCCTACTCCTGGCACTAACGCTTGGGATGGCCCGTCTCACCGGCACACACATAGTCCCATGGCTGGCCCTGTTTGGGAAGAAGAACAGAGAGAGCAGCCAAGCCTCGGGGCTGCGCCAGGTTTGTTGCAGGCCTTCTCTACATGCCCTCCCTTGAACCTGGCAGCTCCTGGAGGTGCCAAGTGACCTGACAGTCTCCCAGGGAGTGTGGAGTCTAGCCCAGTGCTGGCTGCAGACACTCAGGAAGGAAAAGAGCTCTGGGAAGTGTGGGTACATGAGAGGTGGAGGAAGACTGGAGTTCAGCATCAATAACCAATGGGTGGAAGTTGAACTTCAAATGGCATCCCGCTTGATTGAGGTTGGATTTCATTTTACCTGATGTGCTCAATAAGACACTTAGGAAAGTATAGTCTTGTATTTTTAAGAGAGGTGGTTAGATATCTGTGTATGATGACACAGGAAGATTGCACCTAGTGGTAGTTCCTGGGGAAAGAACAATTTATGCCTTATTGCCTCACCTTTTCAGGGGGCTTTTATTGCAAATGTAATGCTTCCTCTCATTTGCATTCAGTGTATTTTCTTTTGGTGCAAAAACTACGTCTGGATGTATTTCATCCTTCCATCCCTTTCCACAAATTCAGAGCTCCCCTAACCCTGTCCCAGGAGGACCTCCTTACTGCTAATCCTGTGCCCATGGTGAGAGCCAGTAACATTCCCACACTTTCTGCACATCATGTGGAAAAGTATATTACAGAGCTTGAAATTGCTACCTGAGAGCTGTATACATCAGAAAGGATTTTCTTTCCATGTGTGTAAGGAGTCCTGTGCTTGTTTCTTCATGTGACAGCTGGGGAAGAATTGACTATGGTGGCCACCCTTGATACTTTCTCCTCTTCTCCCCTTGAATGGATAATTGCCTAGAATTGTGCCATACGGGGATCTGTGACAGCCTAGCAGTGGTCCCTGGGGTAAAATGGGAAAGGAGGGCCTTTGGGGGCCCTTTTGCCCATTTCCTCAGCCCAGAGAATGGAAGAGTCTTGCTCAAGGTCACACAGCTAGGCTTCTGACTCCCAGCCCAGTGATTTCCCTGAGGCTTCCCAGGGTGCACAGTGAGAGGTGGTTGAAAGAGCCCCAGCTTTGAGTCAGATGGGCCTGGGCTTGAAGTCTAACGTTGTCATACACCAGCTGTGTGACCTCGGGCAAGTTGTTTAGCCTCTCTGATCTGTAAAGAGAAACCGTAATGCTTTCCTGCAAGGTTGTTGTGAAGATTGATGTATAGAAAGTGCTGGGCAGGCTGGGCATGGTGGCTCATGCCTGTAATCCCAGCACTTTGGGAGGCCAAGGTGGGCGGATGACTTGAGACCAGGAGTTTGGGACCAGCTTGTCCAACATGGTGAAACCCAGTCTCTGCTAAAAATACAAAAATTAACCAGGTGGTGGCACTTGCCTGTAGTCCCAGCTATTTGGGAGTCTGAGGCACAAGAACCGCTTGAACCTGGGAGGTGGAAGTTGCAGTGAGCCGAGATGACGCCACTGCACTCCAGCATGGGCAACAGGGCGACACTGTCTCAAAAGGTCTCAAAAAGAAAGAAAAAAGTGCCAAAGAATAGGTGTCAATAAAAGCCATTTCTATGCTGCCTTTACTCAATGATATCCAGCCAGGATATCATAAAACACTGGCTTTAACAGGGTACAACTTGCAATGGTGTTTATTTTTTAATAGGGATCCTTGAAAACGAAAAGCCATTGAGATTTAAAAGGATGAATTTTAGTAATGGGGTGGATACCTGGGTATAATCCAGTTACAGCTCCACCTGAAGGTGCTGGGAGGAACTCCTGTGGCAGAACACAAAAGAGACACCTTGGTAGTGTTGCAGGCAAGGAGTCAGCCTCAGGTGTGGAGGGTGGCCATATCTAATGGGAAACACAGAGTGCATAGCAACCAGAAAGCCAAAGTTGAGATGCATGCTTGGTCTCAATAAATGACATCAGGGTGGTCTATGAGGAGGTGATGGGGCCTCAGAACCTGATCTCATATTCAGGACCTGGAGAAGCTGGAGCAGAGGACAGACAGACAAATTCCAACATACAGTCCACTGCTTCCGTGCTGCCCTTTTAAGTCTAGCAAGAATACCTTTTGTATGTTGAAATGTCAGTTGCTGTTTCTTATTTTCATAAGAGGGGTTTTTTTTTAATAAAGTATTTTTTACCAGGCACAGTGACTCATGCCTGTTATCCCAGTACTTTGGGAGGCCGAGGCAGGCGGATCACTTGAGGTGAGGAGTTCCAGACCAACCTGGCCAACTTGCTGAAATCTCATCTCTACCTAAAATAGAAAAATTAGCCAGGTGTGGTGGTGTGCACCTGTAATCCTAGCTACTTAGGAGGCTGAGGCATGAGACTCGCTTGAATGCAGGAGGTGGAGGTTGCAGTGAGCCGAGATCGTGCTGCTGCACTCCAGACTGGGTGACAGAGGGAGACTCTGTCTCAAAAAAAAAAAAAGAATTTTTAGGGGAAAAAAGCTAATAAACTCTAAGCCCATTGACAATATTCTAAATTCTCTTCCAATTATTCTTAACATACCTACAGATGTTTCATGTAATTGTAATCCATGTGTGAATTCCATCTTATGTTCTGTTTTAAATATAGATATTTCCATGAAATACCATTGTATACATCCTTTACATTTTTAATACCTTTAGGATGTTTAATACAGATCACATTATAGTTCTCCATTGGAAGTATTTGGGATACTAAGAATTTATCATGATGACCAATTACATTATTATGAAAATATCTTTGGATTTTTTTTTCTTTCAGGTTGTTTCCTTGACATAAATTCTCCCAAATAGAATTATGAAATCAAATATATGGACAGTTTGGTGGCTCCTGTTATAATTAACAAATTCCTTTTTGGAAAAAAAAAAAAGACAGATGTTTCTCCTTACTGCACTATCAACTCAAAGCCAGAGTAGGTCTTATACTCCCTGTTCCAGAGAGATTCATCAGATATGCATGGGCCTCTGCCCTGGACCCTGAATACACACACTATCTGTGTGCGTCAAGGTTATAGCAAGGCCTGCCTTGAGGCAGAGGCAAGCATCCGTGCTGGGCAAGCTGACTCATGCTGGCCTCAGCCCAAGGCTGACCTCAGCCCCAGAGAGGAAATGCTCCTTCTCTTTCTGCTTGGAGAACGTGTGCCCTGTATAGTAGTAGAGGGGAGTGGATGTAGAATTGGGCTGGAAAAGGAATTTCCTTTGTGTAGCATTAGCAATTACTGAATATACCGTTAGTTTTTTTATGATAAAAGACTCTATTTGTTCAGATGTACAGATAATCAGATTTGGAGATAACCAATTGTGCTCTATTTTGTCATTCCAAAGGAAATCAAATGAGTCAGTCACAATTTTTGTGCAGCACTAACCTCATCCCGCTAGTTTATAAGTTCCATGAGGGCAGGGACCTGTCCTGGTTGCGCTACCATTCTATCCCCAGCACCTGGTACAGTGCCTGGTGTGTGTGCAATACGTATTTGTTAAATTAATAAATGAATGAATGCATTCCTAGAAACAGGAAACTTCAATAAATGAAACAACCTAGTTCTTTCTCTCCAGGGGACTTTCAATCCAAGCTATACGTACAGCTGTTTAAAACATAGTTAACAGTGACAACCCAACTTTTAAGTGAACATCAGCCACCTGAACAAAATTAAGTCCATGAATTCTCTTTTGAAATTAAACTTAATCAGTATTTTCTGGGAAATTACAGGATTGTTTTTTGAATTCAGCTGGTGCACTTGTCCCAGCTGAAGGAATGGAGACCTGATGAGTCAGTGATGAATCCAGGGCTCTATCTCCAAATGGTCATCCATGAATTAATCATTAGACAGCAGGCAGTGCTCCACCCATGTTAACTTTCCGTTTTCAAGATTATGTTTCACATAACAATGAAAATAATTTTTCTTCTAAAAATTCTCTTAAAATATGAAACTGTTGTATGAATAGGATATATTTCTATTTCTAACTGGTTGTTGTTAGTGTGTAGAAAAGCTGTTAATTTTTGATATGTATCATATATCTAGACATTTTTTCAAATTTTTTCATTTTTTTTGGTTGACTCGGGTTTTCTAAGTATACTCTCATATCATTTTTTTTAACACACTGCTGGATTTAATTTGCTAATATTTTATTTAAAATTGTTTACTTCTATCTTTTTAAAATTTAATTTATTTTAATTATAGAAAGTAGAGATGGAGTTTTGCCATGTTGCCCAGGCTGGTCTTGAACTCCTGGGCTCAAGCATTCCTCCCACTTCAGCCTCCCAAAGTGCTGGGATTAAAGGCATCAGCCATGGCACCCGGCCTACTTTGATCTTTATAAGTAAGATTGTTTTATAATTTTTGTGTTATATATTTTGTGGTAGGTTTTGGTATTAAGGACATGGCAAAATCATACAGTGAACTAAAGAGCTTTCCATCTTTTTCCATGGTCTGGAATGGTTTGAGAAGCATAGGAATGATCATGTTAGTGCTTATCAAGAATTGTAGTGTTCTATAACATTAGGAAATATATCAACACAATCTAGAATATTACCAAGTGATAATGTGATTATGGCAATAGATGGAAAATAAAACAAAATAAGTAGATTTTCAAATAAAAATTCCAAGTATAAGAACAGAAGAAAACTACTGAAACCTATTAAAGACTATGAATTACAATCAGCAACATCATATGATGGAATGAAAAATTAAAATCAACGATTAAAATCCCCCATTAAAATCAAGGACAAAGCTGGAATATCCACATTCACCACTATTATTCAATATTTTCTGAAGGCTTTAATGTAATAAGACTTCCTTTCCATAAATTTAACAACTGGTGTAATTATTGGAAAAAAGGATAAACTTTTTGCATTATACCTGGAAAATGTAAAAGACTTCACTAAAAGCAATGAGAACAATTAGAGATTTTAGCCCAATTGCTGAATACAAGATAAATATGCCGAAATTGTTAGTTTTCTTTTATATTAGCAATTGTCTAAATAGATATGGTGGGAAATAACCCATTCACAATAGTGACAAAATTATAAAATAACTTAGAACAAATTCAATGATAAAGGTACAAGATCTGTATTAAAAGAAACGTTAATATTTTATTGAAGAACCTAGATAAATAGAACATTACACCATAGTCACGGAAAGAGAGATTTAATACATACATATCAATTCTTAACAAATTAACAAATACATTTAATGAAATCCAAGTCAAGACATGCAGGTATATTTTCTTTGGACCTGGACAAATGATTTAAGTGTTTGTATGGAATAAAAATATGCAAAGGTTTATTGGATAAATCTAGAAGAGTAGTGAGGGAGCTCCTGCCTTACTGGAGAGAGAGTAACACTTACTATAAAGCTACTAAAATCAAAACAATATAATTGCAACTCAACTGCAATAGAATCCAGAGACAGACTGATTATATTTGAGAACTTGTATAATTGATGTAGTTTGGATATTCATTCCCATATTTGATCCCAATATTGGAGATGAGGCCTACTGGGAGATGTTTTGGGTCACAGGGGCAGATCCCTCATGAATGGTTTGGTGCTGTCTTCACAGTAATGAGTGAGTTCTTGCTCTGTTATTTCCTGTAAGAAATGATTGTTAGAAAGAAGCTGGCACCTACCCCCTTCTCTCTTGCTTTCTGTCTCGCCATGTGATATCTGCACATATTGGCTCCCCTTCACTTGCCACCATGAGCGAAAGCTTCCTGAAGCCCTTGCCAGAAGTAGATGCTGGTGCCATCCTTCTTGTACAGCCTGCAGAACTGTGAGCCAAATAAATCTCTTTTCTTTATGGATTACCAAGCCTCAGGTATTCCTTTATAGCAACACAAATGGACTAAGACAATCATGAAGTTTGTGTTTCAATTAAGTGGAAAAGGATGTTTATTAAATGCTGTTGGCATAATTAGCTGTTTGTATGAATAGTTAGAAGAGTAAGGTCCAGAGTGAGATTGCTTGGGCTCCCATCTCAGTTTTGTATCTTAGTAGCTTGAGAGTAGATGTATAATCTCAGTTTGGTGGAGACTTAGTCCACAGCAAGTGGACTAACAAACAGGCTTTCCTCAGCATTGCTGGTGAGAGTGTGACCTGCCACAATCCTTGGGAAAGTTAAATCAGTGGGTAAATCAATAAAATTAAACTTGCACCTTTCTTTTGACCCAGCAGTTCCACTTTTGAAAATCCAGAAATAAAAAATACCAACAATTAAAGGGTAGATGCATAAAGAAATTTGTTGCAATATTTTTTGTTGTTGTTGCACCTTTTTTTTTTTTTTTTTGTAGACCACATGCTCAGGAAAAAAACCCACAAAATAATCTGAAGGGGTTTTTTTTTTTTTTTTTTTTGAGACATAATTTCATTCTTGTTGCCCAGGCTGGAGTGCAATGGCACGATCTCAGCTCACTGCAACCTCTGCCTCCCGGGTTCAAGTGATTCTCCTGCCTCAGCCTCCCGAGTAGCTGGGATTACAGGCACCCGCCACCATGCCTGGCTAATTTTTATATTGAAAGGTTCTTAAATAAGGAAATGGATGAACAAGTTATGGAATATTATACAACTCTACTAAAGAATAAATTACGCATATATGTGTTGACCTTGAGTGACAAAAACCAGTTCCAGAATAATGACATAACAGTTAACATTTATTGAGCAATTACACCATGCTAAGCCATTTAGATGTGATGTCCTTGTAAAACACTGTTGCAAGGGTTCTCTTTCAACCTTCTCTGCATCCTCCTCCTGGGTGTATCCTGGGCTTTGGCTTTTTCTGCTTTGTTTTATCTGTCTTCCAGAAATGTACTGTCCATTGGTTGCTTTCTCTTCTGTTCTCTTTGATGTTTTAAATTTATCCACCCCTACCACTTTTAAAGATATCAGAAATATCTACACAGTGATGGTGTCTGGAACAGCAGGGGGCAAATGTGTATGTTTGGTTCACTCTCTCGAGCCAGAAGGCTTTAATTTCATGTTGTTAAATAAGAAACAGGGAAAAAAACAGCCCTACATATGCATGCATTGATTTATGTAGATTTGTATGAGGGAAGAGGAAGATATCAGAGTTAAACATGAGAGTTAACATTTGATTTGACATGTAGGAAACCTATTGTCCTACAGTGGAAAGCCCTGATGATTTTGTAAATGACATTGTTTCACTTACAATTGTGGATAAAACCTGAATCAACAGGCACTCTGTCTTTTGTCATCATACTACTTTGTCAGTTTTGAATTATATACTCACAAAGAAGGCAGGGTCCCATAACTACTAAAAACAAGTTATCTTAATTAAGGCATTCAAGCCAGATGAAGTCTTTTAATATCCCAATAGCTCAGACTAAATCATATTGTTTTAGGACTTGTCGGCTAGGGCTGCCATAACAAAGTACCATAGACTGCGTGGCTTAAACAACTGGTATTTATTTTCTCACAGTTCTAGGGCGCAGAAGTCCCAGGTCAAGGTCTGGTAGGGTTGGTTTCCAAGGAGCCTTCTCTCCCTGGCTTGCAGACAGCTGCCTTTTCACATGGCAGAGAGAGGGAGCTCTGGGATCTCTTCCTCATCTTATAAGGGCACCAGCTCTACTGCATCAGAGCCCTACTCATATGACCTCATTTAACCTTTATCACTTCCTCTCAAGCTCTATTTTCAAATACAGCCACATGGGGATTAGAGCTTCATCATAGGAATTTTGTGGGGGACATCATTCAGTCCATAGCAACTATTCCTCAGATTTTTATTTTAAATTTAAAAAAGATCTATCGAAAAAAGCCTGTGAGAAAAGGAAAAAGAAGTTATGTTTACGTACACCTTGGTGGAATATACTGAGAGCATAAGGAGATTTTAAAACTCCCTTAGTCCTCTAAACATGTATATGTTTGTAAAATTATTTTTGTTGCTTTTCTGCTAGCCAGTGGAATAAGCTCATTAAAAGTCAGTGGAGCAGCATGTCCCATTATCAGCACACTAAACCACAGGATTAACGAATATTCTAGCAAAAGCAATCACATTTATTAATGTCCCCATGGAGCTGTGGTCTGAAACAAAAAACTTAACCATAATAATTTGGTATCCATTAATCAAATAAATTAATTCTTCCATCTACTGTTCCTAGTCTATTTCAAATTTCCTGATAATAAAAGGGGGGAAAACGGAAAAGAAATAACTTTATTTTTAAAAAGAATAACAGTGGGAAAAGAATAAACCCAAAGGAGTGTAAACAATTAATTTGCATTAGTTGGCAACTGATGATTCTGGCAAAACCACATGCAAAGAGCTAATGAACCCGTTGACTCCACTGATAACCACATTCTGTAGTTGGAGGAGGTAGTAGGAATTTAGAATCAAAATGATTGCCTGGAATGGCCGACAGGGGTACATGAAGACAGACGGTAAATAAAGGGGAAGGTTTTTTCCATTCATTCACCCAATATAATTATCTCCTTTTTACCAGTGCTAGGTGCTTTTCAAAAATGATCTCATTTAATCCTCTCGCTAACCCTTACAGATGAAGAAATCGGATGAGAGGGAGAGGAGAGGAGGGAGGGCTGGGTTGGGGGGAAGGGAGAAAAAGAGAGAGGGAGACACACACACACACACACACAGAGAGAGAGAGAGGGAGAGAGAGAGAGAGAGAGACTGTCCTGACCAAAGGAACACAGCTTGCAAGTCGGGGAGCAGAGTTAGAAATTCAGAGCAATCTGACTTCAAAGCCTCTATTCTCTTCCCTGTCACACTGTAGGTGGACTGTTGTTTATACCTGCAATTATTTGCTTAATCTCTGTATCCCTTCTTAGAGAGTAAGAGGGCAGAGGCTGTGTCTGTCTTGTTGATTCTTGTGTCCATCATTGCACTCTGCAGACTCCTCTCAGTGGTCTCTGTTGGGAGCAGGACACTTCCTGTTACATTTACTTCCCATTTGGTGCAACCTGCTAAGGATTTATTCATTTCACCTCAGCCAGGCCGCTGATGCCTGTTCTCAGATTGCCTGGTCTCCTGCCTTCGCCCCTTCACTTTAAACCATCTTCCGTGCAGCAGCCAGTGGTCTTCTAAAATGTAAATCAGATAATTTTGACCTTAGAATAAACTGCAAAACCTTACCATGGCCTCCATGCCCTATTCCAACCCCTGCCCCCACATCTGCCCTGAAGACTCTGACCTCCCCATCACTACTCTCTGGCTCCAGCCACAAAGGCTCCCTCACGCTTCTCTCTCTCAGCTCTGTTCCACCTGAGAGCCTTTCCACCAGCTGCTTCCTTTGCTCTCTTCATTTTCTTTATTCAAGAGAAATACATGCACAAGGAAGCACATATAAGCATATGTAGCATTGCTTGTAATAAAACAGTTGAAAACAACCTTATGTCTTGCATCAGTAGGAGGGGCCTATACACTTTGGGGTGTATTCTCTGTACTTAAGAATATTATGCAGCAGTTAAAAAGATCAAGATAGGCCAGGCACTGTGGCTCACGTCTGTAATCCCAGCACTTTGGGAAGCTGAGGCAGGAGGATCACTTGAAGCCAGAAGTGTGAGACCAGCCTGGGGAACATAGCAAGACGCATCCCTACAAAAAAACTTAAAAATTTGCTGAGTGCGGTGGCATGCACCTGTAGTCCTAGCTACTGGGGATGCTGAGATGAGGATTGCTTGAGCTCAGGACTTTGAGGCTGCAGTGAGCTGTGATTACACTACTGCACTCCAGCCTGGGTGACAGAGCGAGACTCCATCTCTAAAATAAACAAAAAAGACCAAGATATGCACTGATGGAGTATAAATTGGCACAGCTCCTGTGGAAGGCAGTTTGGCAAAATCTATCAAAATTAGCTACTCAAATACCCTTTGACTGTGCAGTTTCCCTTTGGGGACTTTATGCTGCAGACATATTTACACAGATGGAAAGTAATATAGGTACAAGGTTCTCTATTATAGCACTGATTGTAATAGTAAACATTGAAAACAAACCAATACTCCATTGACAGGGCTCTGGTTAAATTATAGTATAGCCATCCAGGGGAATACCATGCCTCTGTAAAAAGGACAAAGATGCTTTAATAGATGTTCTGAAAGACGTGGAAAGGCACTTCAAGCTTCAGAACAGTGCCATAAAATATGCATAAATTGTGTGCCGAATGGGGAAAAATAACCTATATTCATATTTGATGGAAATGCATGAAGAATAATTATTTGTCATGAGAAACAAACAATGGTGGTTACCTAGGAAACTAGTATGAGAACTGTGTAGACAAGGGACAGGAATAGGGAGGGAAACTTTTCATTGCACATCTTTTTATTCTTTTTTGGGTTTTAACCATATAAATGTATTACCCGTTCCCCCCATATGCATATAACGAGGAAGAGGTGGGTCTGCATATACTGACATGAAAAGGTCTGCAAGAGATATTGCTCAGAAAAACAAGCAAGTAGCAGAACAGTGTGCACATGCTCATCCATGTCTAGAAAAACAAGGGGGATGGCCTCAGGAGAAGGGCTTGAGAGGGGGGCCTGAAATGGTAGTGGGGGTGGGATGGCCAAGAGGGACTTTCCCTTTAGCTTCATGGTTCATTTTTTTTTTCCCAAGAAGAATGTAGTATGCGCTACTTGTTAATTACTTATAAATGAAGGAATAAAAAAGCTTTCTGGGATTGGTATTGTCTGGCGATGACCAGATCAAGGGTCAGGTTCTGGGAGCTGGTGACCGAAATGGAATGAAAGTGAGGTTGGAGTTCAGGAGGTACAAGAAATGTTCAGCCAGGCTGTTACCTAGATGTACACAGATGTTCAAAAGCTGGGATGTGGGGTGCTGGGAGCTGGGGTAAGACACTGAGGGGTAGCTCTGAAGGCTACAAGGAATGAGGGGGAGCCTCCAGAATTCTTTATCAATGGAGGCAGCTCCATGACTTCTAGAAGGGATGGCTGGAGGTTCTAGAGCTGATCTGCACGGCAGGAGAGAGGACTTTTATCTGATAGTGCAAGAGAAATAGTTCAGACCTGGACTGTCCAATGTAGTGGCCACTGGCCACATGTGGCTATTGAGCATTTGAAATGTGGCTAGTGCAACTGAGGAACTTAATTTTTAATTAAATTTAATTTAAATAGCTACATGTGTAGTTATGTTTCTCATAGTCTCAGATCTAGACTGAAGTGCCTGAGGAACTTGGGACTGGTAACATGGGGTGCGGAAGAATAAATGGTCTCCAATAGAAATGCCAAAAGGTTGTAGAGTGACTTAGGAGAGTGCCAGGATCCTATTCACGAGGAAAAGTGCTCCTGGGACAGACTGAATGTATGAGGGCAGAAGATATTTATGTGGAGACAAGGATCTGACATTTCCATCATTGCAGAAAGTTCAGTTAGACAGTGCAGGTCTACCCACATGCTGCTGCTGAGCCCTTGAAATGTGGCCAGTCTGAACTGAGATGTGCTGTGAGTGGAAATAAATACACACTGGATTACAAAGACTTGGTATAAAAACAGTGTAAAGTATCTCAATAATTTTTAATACTGATTACAAGTTGAAATGTTTTAGATATAGTGTACCTATATATTTTATTTATATTACAACTGTTTCTACTTTTTAAAATATAGCTACTAGAAAACTTAAAATTACATATGTGGCTCATGTTATATTCCTTTTGGACAGAGCTGATCTAAAAAAGTGCAGGGAAAAGGTTGAGAGGGGCACCAGGTCAAAGCAGGGCTGAGGATTATGAAGATAAAAGGCACTTTGGAAATGATGGCCTCACATTGCTACATTTTGGTCCCAGGTGGTATTTGGCCTTATCTCAGCTTGATGGGGAGAACTGTCATGGGCTCTGCCAAGGCACTGGGGTTCCAGCCCAGAAAGCGGTCAGGTAGAGGGGTGGAGGAGTGATGCAGAGGGCCTTGTTATGAGGATAGTTCAGGACTTTCCCAGGTTCTTTTTTCCCTCATTAAAATGTACTTCTCCCTCTAGTCTTAACTTGGCTAATAATACCTTAACATTTTACCCCTTTTTATAGTAAAGTTTGGCCTGATTAAGACAAGCCCTTCTCTTAAACACATGAAAAGGTGCTCAACTCACTTATAATAAGAAAAACACAAAGCAAAATATAAGGACATACCATTCTTCACCTAGCGGACTGGCCAAGATTAAAAAAAAAAAAATCAGGTTCAAACGATGTGGGGCAAGGTATGGGAAGACAAGGGGTTGGGAATTTGATTGGCACAACCTTTATGGAAGACAAATCGGCAGTGTCTGTGACAACTTTAATTGTGTATATCCTCTGACTAAATCCCAGTATTTATCCTACAGAAATACACATTGCAAAATGATATATGTAAAAGGGCATCCATTGCAGTAGTGTTTACAAAAGTAAGAGACTGGAGTCAATTTAAATGTCAATTTATAGAGACTGATTAAATAAATTATGGGTATCATTTCAATCAAATTATAAAATAATGTAACTTTAATAGCAGACAACTGCTAACAATAATAAGACAGGTCTCTATGTCAGATGTAGAAGGATCTCTAAATTATTGGTAAGTTTAGAAAAAGAAAAAGAAAGTAACAACCATGTATGTAGCACACTGCCATTTCTGTGGGGGCAAAAAACTCAATATATTTGCTGACATATATTTACAAGTGTATCGATTTTTTTTTTGAAGGATATATAAGAAATCAGTAACAGTGGTAACTTCCAAGGAGGGCAAATGCATTGTAGGGAGAAGGCCGACTCTATCTCTCACTGTATACTATTTTGTACCTTTAAAATTTTATGATATAAATATATTACCCACCAAATAAAATGAAATAAGACATTTTAAAACTTCTCTTTATGTATGAATTTCCTCTTATCACAACTCCATAAAGTGTCTTTGCCTGCACTTCACGATACAGCTCTTCCTGCTGCTGCAACTGTTTTTGCTTCCTAGAGACTCGGAATTACTATCTTTCCACTTAGTAACTGAAAAAAAATTGTATTCATTTATTTGATTGTCAAGTACAGTATCTGGATTTACCAGTTTTTAGGTTTCAAGAATTATTTTTTCCCTCTACTTTGTCTTTTTCTTCATGCTTAAATGTTTATCATTAAGTTCATCAAAGTATTTTTCTAAAATATTTACATTTAAAATGCACATTTCGGCTGGGCATGGTGGCTTACCCCTGTATTCCAGCACTTTGGGAGGCCTAGGTGGGTGGATCACCTGAGGTCTGGAGTTCGAGACCAGCCTGGCCAATATGGTGAAACCCCATCTCTACTAAAAACACAAAAAAGTAGCCGGGCATGGTGGTGGGCGCCTATAATCCCAGCTACTTGGGAGGCTGAGGCAGGCAGGAGAATCACTTGAACCCAGGGCAGGGGGAGCCGGGGGGAGGCGGAGGTTGCAGTGAGCCAACATCACGCCATTGCACTCCAGCCTGAGCAATAAGAGCAAAACTCTGTCTCAAAAGAAAAAATAAAAGCACATTTCTCTTATTCTTTGACATTCTCTTGTAATATACATTTCAGTTACATGAAATTGAAAGACAACCAAATGCAATGTGCCCTCTAGTGGTTAAAGAAAATAATTTACAATCCACCTCTCCTGAGCCAAATACACAGATCAAATGTAATTTTTCAAAGCCTACATTCAGTTATGTGGATAACTTAATTGGTTATTTCAGTGTGGCTTTTGTCCTCTTATGAAAACATGGCATATCAAAAAAATTGTCCATCTTATAAAATAATCATTTTTCTCTATTTGCAAAAACAAAAAAAGTATTGACCTATTTACCTGTTTGTTGAATAAACAATATATTAAAATAGACCAAAGAATGGGGAGTGAAAAGTAAATTTCCTCCCACCCCTGACCCTCAGAAGCTAAAGATGGCTTTCCTAGTGGCAAGCACAGTTGCCAGTTTTTAAATAAATATATTGTGTATATGCATAAACAAATACACGTTATATTAGTTATCTACTGCTACGTAGCAGATTACCCAGAACTTAGTGGCTCAAAACAACAAACATTTATTATCTCACATTTTCTGTGGGTGAGGAATGCAGCAGCTTAGCTAGGCCCCCAGCGCTGGGGCTTTCCCAAGGATGTAGTCAAGCTGTCAGCTGGTGCTGCAGTCAGCTCATGTCTCAGCTCGGGAGGATCTGCTGTCAGGCTCTCTCAAGGGGTTCTTGGCAGGATTTAGTTCCTCACACGTTGTTGGGCCGAGGGCCTCATTTCTTCACTGGCTTTTGGCCTGAGGCTTCCCTCAGTTTCTTGTTACACGGTCCTCTCCATAGGACACCTCACAGCATGACAGTTGGCTTCATCGAGTAAATAAGAGAGAAGAGCCAGAAAAGGCAAGCAAGACTAGAAGCCAAAGTTTCTTGGTAACCTAATTTCGGAAGTGATATCCTATCACATTTGCTGTGTTCTGTTTGTTAGAAGCAAATTCCTGGGTTGAACCATATTTAAGGGGAGAGGATTAAATAAGGGCATGGGCACCAGGAGTAGGAGATCACCGGGGGCCATCTTAGAAGCTGCCTGCCACACAGTTGTATATGATATATCTATAGATGCCTTAAAAAAAAAAACTTAAGGTTCTGTACCTTGCTTTTGTCATGTGATAGTGTATCTTGGAGCAAGTTCTAAGTCAGTACAGAAAGATCTCCCTCATTCTTCTAACAGTGGCATAGCATTTCAGCCCCCACCTCTACAGAGAGCATTCTTCGGGCATGCCATACCAAACCTTCTTAAGAGTCCCACATTGAGAAAAATTTTGCAATCTACTCATCTGACAAAGGGCTAATATCCAGAATCTACAATGAACTCAAACAAATTTACAAGAAAAAAACAACACCATCAAAAAGTGGGCAAAGGATATGAACAGACACTTCTCAAAAGAAGACATTTATGCAGCCAAAAGACACATGAAAAAATGCTCATCATCACTGGCCATCAGAGAAATGCAAATCAAAACCACAATGAGATACCATCTCATACCAGTTAGAATGGCAATCATTAAAAAGTCAGGAAACAACAGGTGCTGGAGAGGATGTGGAGAAATAGGAACACCTTTACACTGTTGGTGGGACTGTTAACTAGTTCAACTACTGTGGAAGTCAGTGTGGCAATTCCTCAGGGATCTAGAACTAGAAATACCATTTGACCCAGCCATCCCATTACTGGGTATATACCCAAAGGATTATAAAACATGCTGCTATAAAGACACATGCACACGTATGTTTATTGCAGCACTACTCACAATAGCAAAGACTTGGAACCAAGCCAAATGTCCAACAATGATAGACTGGATTAAGAAAATGTGGCACATATACACCATGGAATACTATGCAGCCATAAAAAATGATGAGTTCATGTCCTTTGTAGGGACATGGATGAAGCTGGAAACCATCATTCTCAGCAAACTCTCGCAAGGACAAAAAACCAAACACCGCATGTTCTCACTCATAGGTGGGAATTGAACAATGAGAATACATGGACACAGGAAGGGGAACATCACACACCGGGGCCTGTTGTGGGGTAGGGGGAAGGGGGAGGGATTAGCATTAGGAGATATACCTAATGTTAAATTAAGAGTTAATGGGTGCAGCACACCAACATGGCACATGTATACATATGTAACAAACCTGCACGTTGTGCACATGTACCCTAAAAACTTAAAGTATAATAAAAAAAAAAATAAAATGAAAGAAAGAAAAAAAGTGATTGCCGTTTTGCCATTACTTTCAATGGGAAAACCGCAATCACATCTGCACCAGTGTAATATCACTTTATCACGACAGTTTTGAAATAAGCTGAGAATAATTTTGATTTTATTTTTACAAAAAGGCAAGTAGAGCCTTGTGGATGCTTGATGACAATAATCTTTGAATATTAGTAATGTCAATATTAGTTGACATTAATAACGTGTTCAATGCCACATTTTTGAGTACATTTTCATTGGTTTCTAAGAAGAAATAGGTTATAGATTTAATGATTTTTGTACATGAAAGGGAAAAATTTTACTGCTTGTTAGAATTATAATACTTTTAATTTAAAAAAGTCCCATATTGATGGATATTAAGGGCATTTTTGGTCTTTTGCTGCACACCTTCTTTACCTATGTGAGAGTGCATCTAGAAGGTAAATTCCTACAAGCAGAATTGCTGGGTTAAAGGGTATGAGCACTTCACATTTTGACAGCTATGGCCAAATAGACATTCAAGGGAGGTTGTACCAATTTATTTTCCAACTATGAAGTATAAGAATTGTCTGCTTACCCATAGTTTCTTTTCTTTTTTTTTTTTTTTAGACCGAGTTGCGCTCTTGTCGCCGAAAATGCAGTGCAATGGCATGATCTCGGCTGACTGCAACCTCTGCCTCCTGGGTTCAAGCGATTCTCCTGCCTCAGCCTCCCAAGTAGCTGGAACTATAGGTGTGTGCCACCACGCCTGGCTAATTTTTGTATTTTTAGTAGAGACAGGGTTTCACCATCTTGGCCAGGCTGTTCTCGAACTCCTGACCTCATGATCCACCAGCCTTGGCCTCCCAAAGTGCTGGGATTACAGGAGTGAGCCACTGCGCCCGGCCCACCCACAGCTTCTTGAAGCATTTTTCCACAAGTTTTAATGAAAAAGGAAATGAGAAATCACAGGAGAAAAACTAAAATTCAAAGTCCAGTAAACTGGCCAAATTGGAGTAATTAATTCTTATTAACCAGAAATGGAACAAGGCTCTGATATCTGCATAATTTTGAGCTGGATTTATCAGGGTATTTTCCTAGTTTAATATACAAATGAGATGAGGGACCCTTTAGTTTAGGCCCAAGTTTGCCTGGTGATCTTTTGTGGCTCCTGTCCCTACAATGTTAGATAATGTTTCCCCCTCTGAGAGTTGTGTGGCTTTCTTAACAGCATTGAATAGATAGCATATCAGATTCCAACTTCATCTGGAGGATATGGCACTAATAGTGATATGGTGTGGCTTTGTGTCCCCACCCAAATCTCATCTCGAATTGTAATCCCGGAGGGACCTGGTGGGAGGCGACTGGATTATGGGGAAGCTTTTCCCCATGCTGTTCTCATGATGGTGTGGGAGTTCTCACAAGAGCTGATGGCTTTAAAAGTGTTTGGAAATTCCCCCTTTGCAGCATTAATCTCTCGCCTGGCGCCATGTAAGTTGTGCCTGCTTCCCCTTTTGCCATGATTGTAAGTTTCGTGAGGCCTCCCCAGCCATTTGGAACTATGATTCAATTAAACCTCTTTCCTTTATAAATTACCCAGTGTCAGGGAAGTTATTTATAGCAGTGTGAAAATGGACTAAAACAGATAGCAAAGCAAGTTTACACTGATTAATTACTTACTTTTGAAACTTTACAACTGTGGCCACTTTTGACTTTTTTTTTAACTGATGTTTCAGTCATTAGAAAAACAGAGAATGTTGGGGGTAAAAAGAAGTCTTATAAGTCACACATAGCTTAAATGCTGCAGCTTTTCCCCAAATTCTGGAATCCTTTCTAAATCAGTCAGCATCTGTCTATGTGTCTTCACACACAAATACTCATTTCATTGAGGTAGATTGTTCTCTTGTTAAACAAGGAAAAAGCTTTAGAGTTTAAAAAATTATTTTGTACATTGGGTTGAAATAAAAATCTGTTGCTTTGTGCCTCTTTCCAAAGCTTTCTTCTCTGCTTAAGTGGTCACAAGGAAAAAGTCTTTGTTCCTTGTCAACAGCTCCCATAGCTTCCTCAGGTCTGCTCTTCTCCAGGAGGATTATTTTTTCTTTTTTTTCAAGACAGGGTCTTGCTCTGTTGCCCAGGCTGGAGTGCAGTGCTGTGATCATAGCTCACTGCAGCCTCAGACTCCTGGGCTTAAGTAATCCAGGAGGACGATTTTAATTGGCATCATTCCTTTTTCCCAAAAAATAATTTTAAGATGCACCACGGCTGGGCGCGGTGGCTCACGCCTGTAGTCCCAGCACTTTGGGAGGCCGGGGCGGGCAGATCACGAGGTCAGGAGATCGAGACCATCCTGGCTAACACAGTCAAACCCCATCTCTACTAAAAATACAAAAAATTAGCCGGGCGTGGTGGCGAGCTCCTGTAGTCCCAGCTACGCGGGAGGCTGAGGCAGGAAAATGGCGTGAACTCAGGAGGCGGAGCTTGCAGTGAGCCAAGATCACACCACTGCACTCCAGCCTGGGCGACAGAGCGAGACTGTACAACACAACACAACACAACACAACACAATACAACACAACCACAACACTAATTCCTCTCCTCTGAAGATACTGAAATGGGAAAAGTTCCCTTGTCCCCCTTGCAAAGCGTGTGACGGGGGAGTGGCTCGCTTCTTCAGTGCCCCGCTGCTCAAATCTCTAGGGGAGCATACAGAC
This sequence comes from Homo sapiens, assembly GCF_000001405.40. Taxonomy (NCBI): domain Eukaryota; kingdom Metazoa; phylum Chordata; class Mammalia; order Primates; family Hominidae; genus Homo; species Homo sapiens. The sequence continues at coordinate 142,992,096 of NC_000003.12, forward strand.
GGGCAGGTTGTGGGGCTCTGACCCCATGGCAGTGTCTAGGGGTGGATGTTTACAGCTCCTGAAGCGCCAACGTGCTACCGTGTGCTTTTTTAGTTTTGCTGCCTACAGGCGGCTTGTGTTAACCAGTTCAATTAGCCCCTCTACCTTGTTGCAAGGACAGAGGGCTTTCTGTATCCTGGGTTCTTGTCTTGGTGTACCAGAATAATCGGATCACACCTGGGCTTGGAGAATGAGTGCAAGGTTTTATTGAGTGGAGGTAACTCTCAGCAGAAGGGGGAAGTTATAAGAGGGATGGAGTGGGAAGGTTTTCCCCTGGAGTCAGGCTGCTCTGTGGCCTGGGCTTTCCTCCGACTGCCCCAGCCAAACTCCAAGCCGTTCTGCTTCTACCAGTCAGTGGCATGCAAGTTCCTGTGGATGTGTTCCTCTCAAAGTCCAGCCGCTCGTGTGTTCCTCCACTGATGTGCTTCTCTCGACGTCCAGCCGCCTATGTGTCTCCTGCTAGGGTCTTGGGGGTTTTTATAAGCACAGGATGGGGGCATGGTGGGGCCAAGGTGGTCTTGGGAAATGGAACATTTGGACAGGAAAACTAAAATGCTTGTCCTCACCTAGGTCCATGGGCACAGGCCCGGGGGTGGAGTCCTCACCAGGGATCTGCCCTTCCCTTCCCAGCACTTCCCTGCCCCCCTTCCATATCAATATTCCTGCTCTAAGATTTAAAAAGATGTCAAGCATGAAGACTCCTTTAAGGGCAGTCTTTCTGCTGATCCCCACATGATAGTAGGTGTATTTTTAGGACAACTGATTCAGAGCATGCATAATGACAAGAGCTGCTTTAAGTTCAAGAATGTTTTGACAACATTCATAGGACTATGTATTCACAATAGCCAAAGCTAGAAGCAACTCAAGTGCCCGTGGACATATGAATGGATAAACACTGTGGTATGGACATATAATGGAATATTACTCAGACTTAAAAAGGAAGGAAATTCTGACACATGCTACAACATGGATGAACTTTGAAGACGTTATGCTGAGTGAAATAAGCTAATCACAAAGGGACAGTTACTGTATGAATCCATTTATGTAAGGTACCTAGACTAGTCAAGTTCATAGAGACAGAAGGTAGAATGGAGGTTGCCGGACCAAGGGGAGAGAGGAAAGGGAAGTTACTGTACAGAGTTTCGATTTGGGAAGGAGAAAAAGTTCTGGAGATCGATGGTAGCAATGGTTGCACAACAATGTGAATGTACTTAAAGCCACTGAACTGTACACTTAAAATTGCTAAAATGGTGAATTTTAAGTTATGTGTATTTATCACAATGAGAAATATAATAGCCTATCAATCACAGCAGCATCTCCAAACATTTGAAAAGTAGTTGTATATGCATCTGAAATCTATTATTCATACAATCGACAGTTTTGCCCCACCTTCGAAATCTTCAGTCATTCCACAGCGAGCCTCTGAGGGCCATTTGGACTTTCTTTGGGCACAATTGATTAGACCAAGAATGAGCGGTTAGCCCCAGTTGGACTATTCAGAACCTTGTCCTAAGAATTTGGAATTTGATTTTAGAAACTTGTTATTAGTCTCTGTGTAGAGGTAAAGGTGAGGTAATATTGTTGGGAGTTATAGGGCAGTCATCTTTTTCCATGTTCATTTTTTATTCAACAAATATTTATTTTTTGTCTACTCTGTGGTAGGCATTGTGCAGGATGCTGGGATTCAGTGGCATCCCTGCCCTCCTGAAACAGAGCAAGCCTGACCGTAGGGAGATGATCTCTAAAGTTATTTCTCATATTTTTGTTAGACCTGATGTTTTGCACACTGTTTTCTAGTAAATGAACAACACAGTATGCCATGATTTTTTAAAATTACATTTAACTTCCTCTCTATTTTTTAGCACGTTTTTCAGCACCAGGACAAGCATCATTGCTCAAGGAGAGCTTGGTTGACAACAGGAAGTTAGAAGGAGTCTGAATTGTAACAAGTGTGGCAAGAGCACCAAGATCACTGTGTGTGTGTGTTCACAGAAAATGTACCAAAGGTGGGTGTTTTGTTTACCAGTGGCAGCAGCGCCACCACGTGGCAAAATAGTAAATGATGTTTGTAATTTCTATGCCTGCCTGCATAGAAATTACTCAATTCTTGAAGGAAAAAAAAAAGCAAAAATTGGGCATGAAAGGGGATCTGTATTATTTCACAATTGGTACTTAAGGGGAGACTTTTAAGTCTGTTTCAAATTAGCATAATTGGAATCTTCTTAAAGTGAGGCAACACTGTGCTAAGGTCTTCATCCTGCCCTCGCAGAAGTTAATTAACCCCAGAGGTGAAATCTTGAGAGCTGGACAGACACTCCCAGTGGTTCTAGAGTATCCTTCATTAGGTCTTTCCTGACTTCTCCCAAACCAATCTTCTCCTGTGTTTCCATAAAACTGTTTCTGGTGCTCATTTCATTCCTTAACAAATATTCATTGAGTACCTGCATGGTGCTTACTCTGTTCTAGGTATTGCAGATGCAGCAGTGAACAAATCAAACTAAAATTTCAGCCTGTACTTCTTAGCATCTTATTGTGATACATCTGGGAGTGTTTTATGCCCTGCAAGCCCTTTGACAACAGGGACCTGTCTTATCCCATCCTCACTGGAACCACACCTTCTACCCATTGAATTCCCAAGTAATGATTTCAGAACTCAACTGATTAAAGATGACTATATTTATTAGGACCATTCCCAAGTCAGTTCTCTGGTGGGATCAAAGCTGTGTCCTTTCAGCCAGGGACAAAATACAGAAACAGAAAGTTCATTATAGATCCTATGGTAAACTGAATAATGGCCCTCCAAAGATGTCCACACCCTAATCCCCAGAACCTGCAAATATATTGCCTAACATGGCAAAGGGACTTTGCAGCTGTGATTAAGGCTCTTGAGATGGGAGATTATCCTGGATTGTCATAGTAGAGCCAATGTAATCACAAGGGTCCTTATAAGAGGGAGGGAGCAGAGTTGGAGAAGAGATAAGGGTGGAGGCAAGTGTCAGAAGATGCTAATGGAGGAGAGGGCCACAGACCAAGGAATGCAGGTGAATTCTAGAAGCTGGGAAGGGGAAAGAAAAGGATTATTCTTTAGAGACTCCAAAATAAGCACGGGCCTGGTGGTACATTTTATATTTCTGACCTCCAGAGCTATAAAATACATCTGAGTTGCTGTAAGCCACTAACTTTGTGGTAATTTGCTACAGCAGCAATAGGAAACTATACAGATTTCTACCTGTCCTCCTCCTAATCTGCGTTCCACACTGCTCATTTTCACTGGTGTGCAGAGTGGGACATTTCTACTTTGTTCCCCTATTTTCCCAAGTCAGGGAGATGTCCTGGTTTGTCTTGACACAAGCCTCTAACAATGTTTCTCTAACAGGGCTGTGTGACCATTGGCATTCTTTGGTGTATCCTCACAGTCCCTTAGTTTTCTTATGAGAGTTTTAAATTCTATTCAGTTCCACAGTTAGCTAAAAAAAAGTTAATGTACAATTCAAGGTACAACCCAAAAAGTTATCCTTATCCTCATAAGAATACTAAAATCATCTCATTAGAGTCAGGAATGAGACAAGCATGTTTGGCCGGGCGCGGTGGCTCACGCCTGTAATCCCAGCACTTTGGGAGGCCAAGGCGGGCGGATCATGAGGTCAGAAGATCGAGACCATCCTGGCTAACACGGTGAAACCCCATCTCTACTAAAAATACAAAAAATTAGCCGGGCGTGGTGGCGGGCACCTGTAGTCCCAGCTACTCGGAAGGCTGAGGCAGGAGAATGGCGTGAACCCGGGAGGCGGAGCTGGCAGTGAGCAGAGATCGTGCCACTGCACTCTAGCCTGGGCAACAGAGAGAGACTCCATCTCGATAAAAAAAAAAAAAAAAAAAAGACAAGCATGTTCATTAGCACCACTCTTAACATTATTCTGGGGGTACTGGCTAATGTAATTATACAAGAAAAAAGTATAAAAATGGGAAAGGAGGAGGCAAACTGGTAATTATTTGCAAATATGATTGTATACCTGAAAGTTCAAGGGAATAAACTGAAAACCTATGTAAATAATAAAAGAATTCAGTAAACACATTACACAACATTAATATATCAATAAACAGCTTATTTAGGACATACATAAATACAAAAACTTACTATAATCACAGTAACAACAGAAAAGACAAAATACCTAACAATTAAAGTAACAGGAAATAATGCAAAGTTAATGTGAAGGAAATGGAACAAAACTTGAAAAAGAAGAAAGGTATGCCATGTTGTTTTGATAGAATCTTACCACTATAGCAATGTCAAAATAAAGCCTTATGTGTTTTAAGACCACTGTTACTAACAACTTTTGTTATTAACAGATGAAATTGATGAGGGAAAGTCTTCTTTCATTTTCTTTTCATAACTTCATTCTCCACCCAGCCTGTAATATTACCTGGTCTTGTCTCGTGAGTTTCAGTAAATATGGGGATATGTACGCTTCGCACTGGCCAAAGCCAGGTCACAAGTTAAGTGAGGCCTTATCTTTGGTGGTCCAAGTCAAGCCCACCTTTGGGTTGCCTGGCCATGGCAAGAGAGAGCTCCCCAGATTTGCCGTGTGCTGGTTCTCATGACCTGCCACAGGAACCTTGAGTCCTCCTTTATCACACTCACACACACACACACACACACACACACTCAGGAACGCTCATTTCCATTTCCACAGTACGCCATCTGGACTCTCCTAGATTTTATTAACCTTGTTGATAAAATAATTCCTACACAGTAAAGGTTTCCTTCTCACTAGGATCATAGTTAAAATGGCAATTTCTATTATTTTCAACATGGCACCAGTGTATTCTTGGGCTATATACTTTTTGACATCATTTTTAAAAAAATGCCACTGCTAATTATTATTATTATTATTATTATTATTATTTTTTGTAGAGACGGAGTCTCGCTTTGTTGCCCAGGCTGGAGTGCAGTGGTGTGATCTCAGCTCACTGCAACCTCTGCCTCCTGGGTTCAAGCATTTCTCCTGCCTCAGCCTCCTGAGTAGCTGGGACTACAGGTGCACGCTGCCATGCCCAGCTAATTTCTTTTGTATTTTAGTAGAGAAGGGGTTTCACCATGTTGCCCACGCTGGTCTCAAATTCCTGAGCTCAGGCAATCCACCTGCCTTGGCCTCCCAAAGTGCTAGGATTACAGGCGTGAGCCACTGCGCCTGGCTGCCACTGCTAATTATTATTGTCAAAGGAATCTGTATATAATCAATAAGTGAGTCAGGTAATTTTTGTGTGTGTGAGAAAGGGGGAGCAGCTGCTGTTGCTACTAAAACCTTATTCATAACACTTACGTTGTGGGGTGGGTGTGGGGCAGGCAGTCAAGTGCAGCAGAAGGAATTTTCCATTCCACACTGACCACACCTCCGTGAAGGCTGTTTCCTAATTATTCCTAGAAGCAGCTAGGATCTGTCTTAGCAGAAGACATTAAGTCTGATTTTTAGTTGTCTCTCCTTTTATCTTCTTTCTTCAGAGCCTAGCACAAGCTAGAAACTCAATAAATGCCAAAGAAGCAAATGGAGTGTTCCTTTTACCAGCCTATATCCTGAAACCCAGAGAGCAGGGAAAAACTGTTTAAAAACTGTCTAGAATGAAAATGCCACCAAGTAGGAGCAGTCCATTGGCACAATACAGGAGGCTGTAGCTTTGGGGCAATCATTTTTTAAGGTCTCTATCTTTCAGCATGCACAGGTTCCACAGCTGTTTGTATTGTTAAATACTTTCTCCACTCCACTTTTTTCCTCCTTAAAGAAATCAAAACATTTTTGGTGGGGAGGTCTAAAAATTATTGTGAGCCCTAGGCACTGAGTCTCCTGTACCTTACTAACAAGTCAGTTCTGGCTGGTGCCTGGGGGAACTGGTTGGTAATGTTTTGATCATCACCCCAGGTAAGTATTACACTGTACATCAGAAGTAGAAAACTGAAATGCCTACAAGCAGGCTGGGTATGGGGAATTTGTCCACCGTGTATGATGAGTTGGTGGCTAAACTGGTGTTCATAGCCCCCTTCCCTAGAAGTCGCTGCAGGCCACCTCACCTGGATTGTCCCCCAGTGTTGCCAGACTTCCCCATTTTTCAAGAAAGGCTAGAAACCCTGAGTTTTATGTAAAATCTCTCTGTTTTAAAATGCTAGCTCAAATTTCAAAGAAAAAATCTCCCTGAATGAACCAAACAAAACATCTCAGTATTGTATATGGCACTACTTTGTAATTTCTCTTGAACGTATCTGCTGCAGGGAGAAGCCTTAAAAACAAATGGCAGGTGTGGGCACCAGAAAATCAACACATCGGGAAGAGAAAAATGGCATGGTTTTACTGTAATTGTAAAAAGGTAATACTAGTTGCAGTAAATTGCATGATTCTTACTGTTTATGTGTAGTCCCTTAGCACTAATCTAATTATTCAGATTCCATAAAATTCCATTTGGATTATTTTCATGCTATTTCACTTTCCTGAATTTGTAATTTGAGTAATAGGGCCAGAATTTCATGACGTAATAGGGCCAGAATTTCACGTATCAAGAATTCTTACTCATAATTGTGATGTTCAATTTTTTTTTTTTTTTCCTGAGATAGGGTCACTCTGTTGCCCAGACTGGAGTGCAATGGCAAGATTCCCAGTGCTCTGGTGGTCCTCCCACTTCAGCCTCCTATCTGGGACTACAGATGCATGCCACCACATCTGGCTGATTTTTAAATATTTTTTTGTAGAAATAAGGTTTTGCCATGTTGCCCAGGCTGGTCTCGAACTCATGGGTTCAAGCCATCTGCCTGCCTTGATCTGCCCGCCTTGGCCTCCCAAAGTGCTAGGAGTACAAGCCTGAGCCACTGTGCCTGGCAATGATTTTGAATTTTTAAAAGCGTACTTAACCCTTAATAAAGGCCCGTATTATTTCTAGTCACATCATATTTGTCTGACTTGCTTTGGGGCTTACAATATAAAAAAGAAGAGAGGAAAGAAGTCTGCATTCTTTTGTTTTTGACTCTTCAGGAGTATTTAGTAAAAATTATTTTTAAAATAAGTAGGACTTTGGGGATTTGACTGAAAAGCTACACATATTCACTTTCTAGTGACAAAATCAGCCTGTGGCATTGTCAGAACACCACAAGGCATACCCAGTCCCACTTCTCCTCTTCATCTCAGCTGATGATTTCACTTTCTAATCCTATAAACAGTTAAGATCTAGGCTGGGCGCGGTGGCTCACGCCTGTAATCCCAGCACTTTGGGAGGCCGAGGTGGGTGGATCACGAGGTCAGGAGATGGAGACCATCCTGATTAACATGGTGAAACCCCGTCTCTACTGAAAATACAAAAAATTACCCGAGCGTGGTGGCGGGCGCCTATAGTCCCAGCTACTCGGGAGGCTGTGGCAGGAGAATGGCATGAACCCAGGAGGCGGAGCTTGCAGTGAGCCGAGATCACGCCACTGCACTCCAGCCTAGGCGACAGAGCGAGACGTCTCAAAACAAACAAAACAAAACAAAACCCTGTTAAGATCTAGTGTGCTGAGCTCTTCAAAGTGGTAAAGTATAGGTTCCTTGGAAACAGAAGGGTCTCTGATTTAGGATTGGTGGGGAGGGAGGACTGTAAGCCTTCCTGGAGGAAGGGACATCTTCACCCAGAGTAGAATTGGATTAGACTTCAATGAGAGGGCAGGGCAAGGTTGAGGGAAGAGGCCCAGAACTGAAAAAGTATGACAGAATCCAGCAGTAGAAGTAAATTGAATTGGGTTGGAGGGTGCAAGTCATTCTAATTTCATGTGTAGCACTTGTCACTTTCAGATCATTTCTTGTTTACTGTCTGTTCTTCTACCCTCATACCCTCACAGAGAATAGGAGGCCTGGCCTGCTGATTCCTTAGTGGCTGGCATATATGTCTGTTAATCTTTCTTGAGAGCCAGCCTTGTGTCAGATCCTGTTCTAAGTGCTTCCCTCGCTCCCCACCCCCGCCATTCAACAAAATTCTACTTCTTCAGAGCTGGTTCAAATGCTTTCTTCTCTATGACCACCCCCCCCCCTGCCCCGCCCCGTCTCTTTTCCTCACTCCTACTCTCAGAATTAATTACTTCTTTCAGAGGTCCCTCAGCTATTGATCCTTCCTTGCAGCATCAATTTAATTATGCATAGTGTCAGTTTGCGGTTTCCTTGTCTCCTCCATTTCTCATTAAGTTTTAAATCATATGAAGACAGTGCATGTTTGTCTGTCTCTGTAAGCCCTACAACACTTTGGGCAGGCTTTTACACACAAAACGGGGCTCAAAAATATTTTGAATAAATGATTTAGGGAGAGGTCCACAAACGCCCTCCACTCCCACCCTAGTCCTCAGAGCAATACTTTAAAATAAAAATCTGACCATTTCAACCTTGTTAAAGGCCGATCTTCATTCTGAGAACAGAATTCTAACTCCTAAGCACGATGGTGACCTCAGGGCGCTGTGTGAACCTGCACCCGCACCCCTGTCCAACCACGTCCCTCCCCACACCTGGTCTAATAAAACGACTGCTTTAGGTGACCTGCACGATCGGCTGTACTGATTCATGCCACAGGCTTTTACCTCAATTACTCCCTCTGTCTGGAATGTCCTTTCTTTCCTTGCCTGGCCTGATTCGGGCATGGCCTTCTCAAGCAAGCTTTCCGTCTTTGAATCTAGGCCCTGATTAAGAACTTTTTAAAAAAGTACTAAGTTCAGAAAAGTTTAATATGGTGTTCCCCCATTTATGTGATTAAAAATGAAAACAATACTAAAGTGTAAAATGTAATCTTTAAAATGTCACACAACTTTACATGCATGCTAGATTTAGAATACCATCTGTATTTACGATTTTCTCTTATTGACTGTCTCCACGCGCACCCACTCTGCAGACGCCCTAAAGAGTGTCTATCGGATCACCCTCAAGTTGGGTCAAACGGCTCCTCTTCTCGGCTTTTCGGGAGCAACCCTATCTCAACATTCACCATCTTAAGATGAGCAGACTGCAAGTTTGCCTCTCCCACCAGTATGGGAGCTGCCGAAGCGGCAAGAACAGCGTTTCCGTCCATCGAGCGCCAGGTCACCAGTCAGCTCCAGTCCTATTTTGAGTTGAAGTAAAAGCTCCTCCCTAGATGGCCAGTGCACGTCTTTAAAAAGCGACTCCTTTCCCACAAAGGAAATACGACTGGTTCGCATCTATCAAGGGTTGGCGTTGGGATAAGAGGGTGAAGTATCAGCTGGCCCTGATTCTCTGAATTCCCGGACCCAATAACGCGACCAAGCACCGTGACTCCCAGGAAAACTAGCGGAGTGAGCGCGGCTGAGGAAATTACTGACACCGGAAGTCACGTGAGCGGCTGCCCCTAAGGTCGCTATCTCGACAGTCGACTATTCAGCCTTGCAGGCGCCTCTGGCGGGCTTCACTGAGATCCGCTCTTTCGGTGCTCGACTCGCCCGTGCTGCTGCCGCCGCCGAAGGAGGGGCAAAGCTCAAGATGGCGGACAAAACGCCAGGCGGATCTCAGAAGGCCAGTTCAAAGGTAATTTCTGACAAAATTTCGTAAGTCAGCGGATCTACCACTGTCGTTTGGGGCCCACAGACGCTTCTGGCCTGTGAGAGGCGATTGGGATTGGGGTCTGCATTCTAGTCGCGACGGTAGGCCCGGGCGCCGCCGCACCGTTGTGCGCAGGTTGAGAGGCCTGGTATCTCCCCATAGTCCCAGCCGGGATTCAGCTCGAGACTGGCGTGCCCAGTGGGTGGAGGCGTGAGTGCTTCGGCCCGCGCTTGGCATTGGAGTGAAATCAGGAATTCAGATTGAGGTCTGAAGCAGTGAAAACGCTCTCCTGTATCTCAGCTTCCTGCGCCCTGAGGCCGCCAGACAGCGCCTGGGAGAGAGGCGGGAATCGCTTCCCGGTGCTTAAATGTCTGCTGCTTTTTTCTCGGTTTTGGATCTCACTCACTTCCGGCCTCCCTCAGTTTCCCTCCAAGGAATGAATAACCTCTAGGGTCGCCAGCTGTGAGGGGAGGACCACTAGGGCAAAGACACGGAGTGGGAAATGCAGAGGCGGGAGCAGCTCTCCTTTGCAGTGCTGCATAGCCAAGGTTAATGTACAGTCTACACGTGGTCTTTACCTTAACGGGAAGTAAAAAGCACTTTTGAGGGTAGAGGACTCGTGGTCTCTTTCTTTATGTTGAAGAAACAGTGAAAAGAGAAGCTCCGTAGACTTGTAAGCTACATACGATTAGTAAATTGCATTTGTGTTTACAGGGAACCCTGGGCACGTATTGTGAAACCAGTGAGCTGTGGTAGTAGTTAAGCATTAGTACGGTTGGGTTCTTAGTTGCCATCTTGGGCGGGACATTTAATCGTTTTTTGGTTTGGGTTTCTGGTCTCGAATATATTAAAAGTAATTGGTACTGCCACGAGGTAGTTAAACTTTCCGATGCTGATGCAAGAAGCTGTGTAACACTTTCAGGTGCTAGGGACTGTTAAATCTTAAAGAGTGTGTGACTGTAAATCGGCTATTAGAAAGTTAAATTTACGGTAGGAGAGAAGCTTGCGTTTACAGTTCTGAGAAACATCATAACTCGTTTTCTACTTGCTTTCTCTAATCCGACTGTTTATGCCATTTGGTGAACGATGTACACCAAAATAATTAATTCATAATTAGTAATGGTCTTAACAGACATCGTTTAGTTACATAGAAACTTTGGTGAGGGGCCAGTTTCGGCTTCTTTACAAGGTATTGTGTCAGTTTTTTTTCCCCCTCCTCAGTACATTTTCTCGTCTCCCTCTCTTTGGGGGCGAGCTCTACCAACTCTTCTCAACAGACTCCTGACAAGAACATACCGTTAGGGAGCTATTACTAAAGCTAGCTACGTTCATAACAAGTCGTGCATAAGCCTCACAATTTTTGTTTCTTCTCAAAGTAATATTTTAAGTATTCCCTACTTGAGGTCTTGGATACATTGAAAACATTTCAATGTCTGTGTTCAGGCTTCCTTCTAAAATAGTGCTTCTCATGACTGAATGTATGGCTGTTCTCAATAAATAAATTATTGGATTATCCAGTAATCTTTTCTGTTTATATTGCCTTAGATTATAATCTCTTGATGCTATTAGCAGATTTCTTACTGATGTCTGTGAAAGGAATCAGAATATCTTAACTAATTTGGAGGCTGCATAATGTAGTGGGAAGATTATGAATTTTGTTAACAAGAGATTTGGGTTCAAATCCTGACTTGGTAATTAATTATATTTGCGATAATAAGGCAGATTGCTTAAACTCTGGAGCCTCAATTCCCTCATTTGTAATGTAGATATAATTCTTTTTTTACATGGTTGATATAAGGATCAAATGAGATAATGTCTATGAAGTACATAATAAATCTTAATTTCTTTCCCCTCTTTTTGTTTTTAGAGGAAATCAAAAGTTCTTAGCTTTCAAAATGTCAGGATAAATTTTAATCCTGTGATTTGGAATCTAAGTCATCAGCTGTCATAATGACTGCCCAGATAGCTGCTTTTTATTTATTTTATTTCTTTTTTTTTTTTTTTTTTTTTTTTGTGAAAGAGTTTCGCTCTGTCGCCCAGGCTGGAGTGCTGGAGTGCAGTGGCACAATCTCGGCTCATTGCAACCTCCGCCTCCCGGGTTCAAGTGATTCTCCTGCCTCAGCCTCCCTAGTAGCTGGGACTACAGGCGCCCGCCAGTACGCCCGGCTAATTTTTTGTATTTTAGTAGAGACGGGGTTTCACCATGTTGGCCAGGATGGTCTCGATCTCTTGACCTCGTGATCCACCCGCCTCAGCCTCCCAAAGTGATGGGATTACAGGCGTGAGCCACCGTGCCCCGCCCTGCTTCCCTGCTTTTTATTTCTAACACATAATTTATTAGAGAAATTGTAAGATCATTTTGGCTAATACTACAGTATTTAGAATTTCTAGCCTTTGATATCTGGTTTGATTTCCTTTCCTCTGGAAAGAACAGATGAGTGGCTTATATTTTACAATACAGATGGAGTGAACAGATACTTCTGTTTCATGATTCGTCGTTTTCTTTGGTAGTTACATTCCCGTTAATATGGATAGGGATGCTTATTATATTTCTAGACATTGGGAAAATGTTAATTTTAAATGTACAATATGGCAAAATTATTAACATTTCTTAATTATAAAAAGATTAAATTAGATAACCTCTACAGGTCTTCTAGTTGGGGTGTTTTTTTTTTTTTTTTTTTTTTTTTTTTGAGAGGGAGTCTTGCCTTGTCGCCCAGGCTGGAGTGCAGTGGTGCAATCTCAGCTCACTGCAACCTCTGCCTCCTGGGTTCAAGCAATTCTTCTGCCTCAGCCTCCCGAGTAGCTGGGACTACAGGCGCCTGGCCAATTTTTGTATTTTTAGTAGAGATGGGGTTTCATCTGTTGGCCTCTTGACCTTGTGACCCCCCCCCCCCGCCTCGGCCTCCCAAAGTGCGGGGATTATAGGCGTGAGCCACCGTGCCTGGCTTCTAGTTTTAAAATGATACTTTATGTATGTGTATGTACTTGAATGACTTACCTTTATTCATAATTGTCCCTAATGAAGAGACCCCTGTGCACTTTAATTTTCTGTGTAATTTTGTTGTGCTTTGCATTTTAGAGCCTGGCAGATGTAGACATTTAACAAATGTTCTAGAAATGAGCTAAAATTTTCCTGTGCATTTGTTTGTTTATCACTAGTCTAAAATATTGCTTGGTTGGGGAGGGGTGTTGATGTTATGTAGTAGCTTTCATTTTGAGAGGAGAGAGAGAGAGCCTGTAATTGTTTACTTATAAAATTGTTAAGCATATTTCCTTAGAATTTAATTTATAAAAAAATTACTGTTTTTGACTGTCAATTGTTTGCTTACTCAGCAAAATTAGGATATGAAGAAAATGTAGTATTTTCTTTCCTTCTGCCATCTCCTGTGCTGGTAATATTGCTAATGTAATGTAATTGTGTGCCCTGCTATTTCACTCTGTGACTATGGCTTTTTTTTTTTTTTTCTTTTTTGCCGTATCGCCAAAAATTGAGTTAGGTGAATGGATAAAACAAAATACTACAGGCTTCCTTGGACATCCAGTGCTGAATTGCTTTGGGAACTGTTTTGATTGACTGCCTTTGCTGATTAACAAAAAGTATCACTTTTAAGAAATAAGTAAACTGAGGACCTGTTCAAGGCTTGTGAACCTTAGGTATTTATTACTGCCAGTTTTCATTTTTTGTGGTACCTGAAAGTTTATGAAAAAGTCCAAACAAAATACAAACCTTGAAAATCAGGCTTTCAAACAGTTTGCCAATTTTAAACTGAATCTTTATTATGGTTTATGGTTGTAACCTTATCTTAAAATGTAAGGTAGTTTTTTTGGTAGAAGGTTTTGTTTTGGTCTGGAAGGTAGAACTGAACTTCCTTCCATTTTCTCGATTGATAACTTTTTCGAAACTTGAACCTGCAGCACGGGTGCTAGAATATGCCTGTTGGTATGGTTTTAAAAATAATTCCTATCTTTCTGGATTGAATTGTTTTCTGAAAGTCCAGTTTTTATTTTCACTTTTTGTTTTTTATTTCTGAAGCTTTGTTTTCCTTGGAAAGTAAACCTAAGAAAGATACCCATTTGCCTTACTGGGTATCATTGAGAGAAGAGCTCATTTAGTATGCCGGTTGAAGTATCTACCCCTCTACCCTCCACCCTTTTTTTCAAGGAGCCATCATTTTTGGAATAAAAAGAAAAACTTGCTACAAGATATTAAAATCAAAAATAGTAATATTACAAACTATTTGCCTCATTCTAGTATAGGTGGTTTTAACATTTTATTGCACATCAGCTGTGAGCTGGATATTTTGCTGAAATAACGTTTTTGAAAGCAAGATACATTTGTCAGTAGCACTTGAGGCTAACGGTAGTGTTAGACATATATTCCTTGAGTTAAGTTTTTTCACAAGGCCCTTCCTCAGTTTAGATAAACTATAGGTTATTCAGAGTGTACTTACAACTTTTCATATAGTATTGGTAGTGTTTTGAATAATTTAAAAAATCATCTTAGGTTTGTTATTTAACTTTATTTATATAGTGCTTGTATTAATGATTTTGTGAATGTTTTTTAAAGATGGATACCTTGATTTGGCTTGGATAGTGGTATTAAGCTAGGTAGCTGTTGTTAATGAGTGGACAGCATAGTATGTTGATAGTGTGGAGTGTAATTTTGTTTGGTGGTAGGCACTTGTTCTGACAAGTCAAGTATATTGAGACTCTGTCGCTTGCCAGATCTTGTGCTTGATGTTGAGTTAGAAAATGTTAAATAAGAATGTACCCATTTTTAGCGGCCGGGCACAGTGCCTCCCGCCTGTAATCCCAGCACTTTGGGAGGCCAAGGCGGGTGGATCACCTGAGGTCGGGAGTTCAAGACCAGCCTGACCAATATGGAGAAACCCCATCTCTGCTGAAAATACAAAATTAGCTGGGCATGGTGGCACATGCTACTCGGGAGGCTGAGGCAGGAGAATCGCTTGAACCTGGGAGGCGGAGGTTGCCGAGAGCCGAGATCATGCCATTGCACTCCAGCCTGGGCAAAAAGAGCGAAACTCCGTCTCAAAAAAAAGAATGTACCCATCTTTGAGGAGCATGCTGTCTAGTAGAAGAGAGTCAGCACAATGCAATTAAGGTGGTGTTATGCTTCCTATAGGAGAGATTGTTAAACTTGTGGAGATGAAAGTTGCTTCTCTTAGAGGGTGAGAGGAGAAACGTGGGAGATTAGGAGACAGATACACGAATGGAGAGCTCACTAGGCAGAATGGTAGTGTTGGAGGAATGTTGCTGTGGATAGCTTGGTAATTTGGAAACTCAGATGTGGGGTTTTCACTTAAAGTAAAATTGGAGCAGCCAGAAGAAAACTAGTTTTGTTCTCAGCCAGCAAGCTATAGGGCAACAGGTAGTGTAGTTGGCTTCACTTTTATCCCTTTAGCAGCCATCAGAATGATCTTTTTTCCTTTTGGATTTTCTTGCTGTCCCTCCCCACATTTCTACTGTCTGCTTTCTCTGCCTTAAAATAAATTTCTCTTGTGTATGCTACTTTATTGTGTCAAACTTCCCTTAGTCTGCCTTTTCACTTCTTCCTTTTGTATTTTTCTTTTCTTTTCTTTTTTTTTTTTTCCAGAGACAGGGGTTCTTGCTATGTTGCCCAGGCTGGTCTTGAACTCCTGGCCTCGAGCAGTCGTCCCACCTCAGCCTCCCTAGTAGCTGAGATTATAGGCATGAGCCACTCCCTCCAGCAGCTTTTGGGTCCTTTCAAGAGATTTTTTTTTTTTTTTTTTTGAGACAGAGTCTCGCTCTGTCGCCCAGGCCTGCAGTAGTGCTATCTCAGCTCACTGCAAGCTCCGCCTCCCGGGTTCACGTCATTCTCCTGCCTCAGCCTCCCGAGTAGCTGGGACTACAGGTGCCCGCCACCGCACCTGGCCAATTTTTTGTATTTTTAGTAGAGACGGGATTTTGCTGTGTTAGCCAGGATGGTCTTGATCTCCTCTGACTTTGTGATCCGCCCGCCTTGGCCTCCCAAAGTGCTGAGATTACAGGCGTGAGCCACCGCGCCCGGCCGACTTCAGGAGATCTTTAGGCATCATTGGTTTGTGTTCTTCAGTTAAAAATAAAAAGCCAAACTCAAGACAAAGAATACAGTTCAGTTCCAGGTTAGGAAGAGGGAGAAGCTCAGCTTCTGAAGTAGTGCTATATTTACTGTTTACCTTGACTGTTATCTTTAGAAGTTGATGATTATTTTAAAAATTGTGTTAACTGCTGTTTGAACTGTTAAAGTTCCGTGCTGAATGCTATGTAGCTGTAGGTATGTATCAGTGGAAAATGTCTGGTTTGCAGTAAATGTGATTAGTGACATCTTAAGCTAACTGAAATCAGCTGGTGCATTGTCCTACACCGGTGCATTGTGCTACACTATGCTGTTACTGCTCTGTTTGCAAATTTATCAAATTGTGTAATTTTGAAAGCTGACAAAATTGTTACTTTTGAACTGATTATTTTTGTATTAGAGATTATTTAATTTGGTGAATGGTTACGCAAGTGAGATCCTTGAAGATTATAGAGCTTCATCTTTTGATGACTTGGAGTCAGGGAAGAGTTAACTATATGGAAATAGGCAGAATGCCTAGGTTCTTGTATCTTTTGTTTTTAAATCCTAGAAATGATGATTTGGATGTGGTGGCATCAAAGACTACAGAAAGGGTAGCGCTTTCTTAGTTATTCTTTTGGATGCTTATTCTTTCTGGGTGAACTTTAGAATTGTTTTGGCAATTCTTTTGCCCCCTTGCAAATATTTCCCTTTGGAATTTAGAGCGGTTGAATGAAATTGTATTAAATATGTAAAGAAATTTAGGTGTCATTGACATTATCTTAATATTGAATTTTCCCATCCAGTAATATGAATCTTTTGAAAAGGTGGCTTGAGTAACTGGATTTTTCTCGAAGTTTTTGTTTTCTTCACAAGGGTTATATACATTTCTTAAATTGGTTTCTAGATGTTTTTATATTTTTTGTTGCTTTTATGATTAGGATGTTTTTGTTGCTTAGCAAGTTAATACTGGTGTATTGGAAGGCAATTGAGTTTTTTTTGTTACTATTGTTTGTTTTTGATATGGAGTCTCTGTCGCCTAGGCGGTAGTGCAGTGGCGCGATCTCAGCTCACTGCAAGCTCTGCCTCCCGGGTTCACACCATTCTCCTGCCTCAGCGAGTAGCTGGGACTACAGGCGCCTGGCTAATTTTTGTATTTTTAGTAGAGATGGGGTTTCACCAGGTTTGGCCAGGATGGTCTCCATCTCTTGATCCACCCGCCTCGGCCTCCCAAAGTGCTCGGATTACAGGCGTGAGCCACTGCACCTGGCCCAGGCAGTTGATTTTTTTCAGTCCCTTCAGCCTCTTGCCTGAACTTGTTTTTCTTTTGTAAGAGTAGTTATTTATTCTTTTGGATTTTTAAATTTCTAGATATTTGTAAATTTATGCATTTCAAGATATGTTTCAGGGTGTGTTTCATAGTTAATAAATACTAAAAATTTTCTTTTATACCACCTTGACATTTAAGAAAGATTAGCCGCTAGAAGAAAATCAGGGTGGACACAAAAGTTGGGGACAGAAAAACCATGGACAGAAAGAGTGAGATGGGGCCGGGTGCGGTCGCTCATGTCTGTAATCCTAGCACTTTCAGAGGCTGAGGTGGACAGATCACCTGAGGTCAGGAGTTCGAGACCAGCCTGGCCAACGTGGTAAAACTCCGTCTCTACTAAAAATACAAAAATTAGCCAGGCATGGTGGTGCGTGCCTGTACTCCTAGCTACCCAGGAGGCTGAGGGAGGAGAATTACTGGAACCCGGGAGGCGGAGGCTGCAGTGAGCCGAGGTCGCGCCACTGTACTCCAGCCTGGGAGACAGAGTAAGACTCTGTCTCAAGAAAAAAAAAAAATGAAAGAAAGAATGAGATGGGAGGGGTCCCAGTGCTTGGTTGTCCTGTTGTCCTGGGCTGATTTTTGCCTATGCTAATGCGCAATACAGTGGAGTTCAGAGGAGTAAATTGATTCAGTGTAAAAATCTTACCAGCTGTTCTTAGCCTTATGTCTGGACAATGTAAATAAAACAATACTGTATGGATCTTTGCTCTTTTTTAAATAACATGAATCTTCAGTTTTTCTCTTAAACTAATATTTTATCTTGTACTTTATATGACATCTTGTCTGGGAGTTGGGGTCAGGTGAGATATTTGTGATCTCAATATTCTTGATTTCATTTGAACATTTGACACTTAAATATATAAATAAAAACAAGTAAAATTTCACTACCGTATACCCTCAAAAATAAAAACAGCTCAGTGACAGTTATATTTTGGATCCCCAAGTAAAAATTCTTGGAGAATCTTTCTTTCAGAAAGATAGCATACATTATTTAGTTAATCGTCCTACAGCTTGTCATCTTTGTCTTTACATGTGTAGTGGCAACAAGTTATTGCATACCATGTATAATCTGATAGGTAGATCACTTAAGAAAAGTTGAAGTTTTAACAGTTGACATCACTGGAAGATATTATATGAACTCTTTCTCATGCCACCAGGCAGCCTGTGACATGCTATCGAATCATCTCCCTTAAAACGAGTTGTAAATGGTGCCTTATTGGGGATTTGATAATATTTTCTGGAACTTTGCAGAATTTGTACCTTTTAATAGACAGCAAGGATTTATATGTGGATTTCTTTATGTGGCTTTGGGTGATTAGAGAAAGAGAGTTCTCGTGCTGTGGACCAAGAAGTTGCTGGGCAGTGCTGTGGCAGTAAACGATGCATCTATGATTAGGAAGAGCTTTTGCATAAAACTGTGTAAAAATGGTGGTTAGGTTTCCAGTGTATACTATAAAGAGGTAATTTTGCCTCATATATATCCCACTAGTGTTTATTATATTTTTGGAAATATGCAGGCTGAATTTTAAAGAAATGACTTACACATTTACTTTGTATCACAATCTTTTCATAAGTCAGAGACTGCCTTTGCTCAGTTTTATTAGCTGAGGAGAAATTGCCAGAAGTTAGGAAACTCTTAAGTTTGTATAACACGAGAGACATGTTTTGTTAGTATAAGACATTTTAAATTATTGACTTTTATTTTTGATACTTGTAGACGAGATCATCAGATGTTCATTCATCTGGATCTTCAGATGCACATGTGAGTATAGAAGGCAATCTTTGTCTTTTTTCCTTTAAAATTTAACTTCTCCTCATATGTATCCCTACATCAATGATTTTACTTGACAAATAAATACAATTGTATGTGCTTTTTTCTTTTACTCTTTTTTTTCTAGGCGCCTTCCTTTTTTTTTTTTATGTTCTGCTTGCATAACTTAGCCCTCTGAAGCGATGTTAGAAACCTAGTATGTATATTTCCTTATGATTTTTATTGTGTAAAAATCTGTACATACATAACGTATCTATACTTATACTTTGACTATGGGATTGCATTATGCATATGCCTTTCTCACCGCACAAAACATATGTTGGAAATCCCTGCAGGTAAACTGTTAACAGCTCTAATCTGTTCTTTCTTAAGGCATCATAATGTTCTGTGGTGGGGAAGTGCAGTTGTTTGTTATTTCTTTGTTGATGGGCATATATTTTTTGTTTAAAGCTTTCAAGTAACATTTTGGATAGATAATACTACAATAAGTATTTTTTTAATATATGTTATTACAGCAGTGTTCAAAGTGTAGTCTGAAGACCCCTGGAGTCACTGAGAATCTCTGAGAAGGGTCTGTGAATTCAAAACTATTTTGTAATAATACTAAGGCATTATTTATGCCTTTTTCACCATTTTGGCATTTGCACTAATGCAAGTGTAGCTGGAGGTACAAAAGCATTTGGTGGGTAAACTGTTGGCACTTCAGCACAGATCAAGGCAGTGACACCAGAGTATACTTGTAGTCATTATATTCTTCCCCACCAGGCACAATAATTTCACTTAAAAAACTAGCATAATTAGAAATAATTTTTACTGCTTGATGATGCAGTAAAAGTTACTACTATTTTACTACTTCATCAAGCAGTAAAAATTATTACTATTGTCTTCATCTTTTGTGTAGTTCGTCTTAATATTCTGTGTGATAAAATAAGAAGTACGTATAACACTTATGCTTACCAAAATGTGATGTTTGTTTGAGTTGAGAAATGAAACTAGCTGCTTTTTTCATGAAACACCAGTTTTACTTGGGAGTGACTGACAGGCAAACTATGGTGAATCAGACTTGGGGATTTTGGCAGACATTTTCTTGAAAATGAAGGTAACGAACCTGTTACTTCAAGGAAAACAACTGTTACCAATATAAAATTCAAGCTTGTGAGTTAGAGTTATTGAAAACTTTCCCTGTTCTTAAGAACTTTTTTGGTGAAATCAATGGTGATATTAAGGGATGTGATATTTTGATAATCTACAATGAAATTTGTCAATATCTGGCATGGCTTATTCCTAGTTTTCAGTGCTATATATGTATATATGTGTGGTTTGTTTTTTTCTCTTGTTTTACTTTTCCTGAAGATGGATGCATCTGGACCCTCAGATAGTGATATGCCAAGTCGGACACGACCTAAGAGCCCAAGAAAACATAATTATAGGAATGAAAGTGCCCGTGAAAGCCTTTGTGATTCTCCTCATCAGAATCTCTCAAGAGTGAGTATAGATAAGATAAGGTAAAGATAAGAAAGGATAGTTAATGATTTTAATCTGTCTTTGACTGAATTTAGTGGTCGAATATTTGGTTTTGTATGTGTTTCATCTTATTCTATTTGAAAATAGCATTCTTTTTGTATTTGGGATAACAGTAAACTCATTTATGTAGGGACATCTTTTTAGCTCAAATGTGAGATATTTCATTTTAGAGTTTTAAATTTTATTTGAAAAACAAAGTAGTGTTTGGATTTAAAATGGTTAATTGTCAAGTTTATCTTTCCCCACTTAAACATTTATTGAACCAAGTGCGAAATACCAGTTACTGGAAATGCACAGATCATTGAAACACTGTTCGTGTTCCCACTGAGCTTATAGTCTCACTCTGAAAGCAAACAGGAGCAGGTGCTATTCACTCTAATGAGTGCAGTGCCCAGGGTAATACAGGAACACAGAGAAGGAGCTTCTTCACTTTTAGATCTCTAAAGTGCTCTCAGGCTCTTTTAGACTTTTATTCTATGTCAAGTAATATTTTCTTGTGGTTAAATTTGTAACATAACACAGTCATCACCAGCCAGTATTAACCACTGGTAACAAAGTATTTTTCTTGTTTAATATTTCTAGGCATAAATATATTTTTACTTTGCCTAGATTTATTTTTATAAGAATCCGTTTTAAAATATCCTGTTTTTAGTTATAAATTTTTTTTCATTTCTGCAAGAATTCTGTAAACAAACTTTTAAATGATTGCTTATATTGTTTATTTGAAAAATACTCCATAGTTTCCTTTGCCACATCTCTGTTGGGTATCTGAATTTAGCTCTTAGGGTATAAATAAAATTTGAGCATGGTAATTTTTCATTGGGTTTCATTTAATTCATATATAATTTTGCCACTTGTTTAAACTTTTGAAGTTGAAACCAAAGAGACTGAATGATGGCAAAACGATTTTCTTTCTATTTTGAGAAAATTTATTTTGAATCCTCTCCTGAAACCCAATATTGACTTTTAGGTTATAAACTGCTTTATTTTTCTCAAAGGGATTTTAATATAAATTTAAAATAGTTAGCAGCAATGTTACTCTTCTATTCTGCATCTCCCAAAGGCAAGCCTATTTAATGACTAGGGAATTTAAAGTCTTGATTTTGTAATTGGTTAGCTTCTCATTTTAGTAGGAGAGAGAAACCTTCAGATTTCAGTATTTTAGGTTGTATTTAATAAACATTTCCTACCTTTTAAGTTTATAAATCAAATGAGTAACTGACTGAACAAAAAGGTCTACAGACAATGTATTCAGGCTATATTTCAGAAGGAAGTTGCTTCTAAGTTACATAAATGAAGACTTCATTAAAATAGTGTTTTCTTATATTTAAAATTGATATAGTTTTACTTGAGCTGAAACTTTAAATATTGTAGGTGATATTTTAATCCCAGCAAAGAATGAAATTATGTTCATAAATATCAGTATTATTGACGAAGAATGAGGTAGTTTACCAAATTATAAAAAATAAGTGATTTATAATATGTAAAATGAGTGTTGTAGGTGGTAAATTCCTGCCCCAGGACCATGGAAATGTTTGCCTCCATTTGCTTATTTGAGGATCTGTTTTCTGTCATTGCAACTTTTCCCCAGAAACATCTGTACTTTCCCCCTCAAATGCTTTTATTCTTGTTCTAAGCATTAGTGTCAGTCTCTTCTATTTTTACCTTTTTTTTTTAACATGACTTTTGCATGTTTTTGACCTTGAGCTAGTAAATGAAGACATTCTTTGATGAATACTTAACATCAGAGTCAAGTAAGATAGGCACCTGATGTGTAGAGTAGCCCCAACTTTTCTTTACAATGAAATTTAAAAAAAAACGGCAGTCTATTCTGAAGACTTAGTTATCAGTTGATGTGTATTAAAGTTTTAGATAGCATTAAGAATCTATATGTAAAAGTATGCTTTTTATTTCTTAGCCTCTTCTGGAAAACAAACTTAAAGCATTCAGTATTGGAAAAATGAGTACAGCTAAGCGAACTTTAAGTAAAAAGGAACAGGAAGAATTAAAGAAAAAGGTAATGTTGAAAATGTATTTTGAATTATCCTTGGAAATGAATGTGTCTAAGGGGTTAGTAAGTGTATTAGAGGAATGTTTCCCGAAGATTCTTAACCTCTAGGATATTCTCAGGTCCGCCTCTGAGTCAAGTCTGTAATACAACATATATTCCTAGGAGTTGAGCTTCTATCCTTGTTCCCTCACCCTGTTTCTTTTTTCTTTGTTATAGTTTTGGCTATTTTCTAATCTATTCTTTTTGTATAAGTAAAGTGTATGTGTGTGTAGACACATTGTACCCATTCCCCTTAGATTAATGATAGCATGCTTTATACAGTACACTTTTTTCCTACTTGCTTTTTTAACTTAACATTGTATCTCAGAAATTACCTCAAGTATATAGAAATACTCCTTATTCATTTGCTATGGCTGTGTAGATATGCAATCATTTATTCAACTAAAATTCTATCGAGGGCATTTATGTTTTGTTCTTTTGCCATTAAAAGTAATGCTGTTATGGATAATGTTATGCATATGTTTGGTTTTTTTGCTAGTGTTATCTTTGGGATATATTCTTATAGGTGAGATTTGGGATATATTCTTATAAGTGAGATTACTGGGTTGAGTGATAAATGCATAAATGTAGTTTTTCTATATTTGTCATTGTCAAATTGCTCTCTGTAGGGGCAGTGACATGTTGCACCCCTGTCAGTAGTGTATGAATGAATGTTTCCCCATAGCACTGCCAGTAGAGGACTTTTGCCAATCTCCTACATGAAAAATGGTATCTCAGTGTAGTTTTACATTTGGATTTCTCTCATTATGAGTAAAGTTTAACAGTTTTTCTTGTGTTTGTTTCTGTGAACTGTCTGCTCATATCTGAACCATTTTTTTCTATAAGTTATATTAACACTTTGTTATACAAGGTACAATTTTTTTTCTCACTTTGTTGATTGTCTTTTTATTTTGCTGCTGGTGTTTTGCTCCATGCAGAAACTATTGTACAATCAGATTTATCAGTCTTTCCCTATGATTTCTGGTTTTTCAGTTTTTTCCATTACCAGCTTATAAAGAAATTTCCTCATGTTTTCCTCTACTACTGAATGGTTTCTTTTTTAAGAATATTAAATCAGATTATTTTGTAGTTTATTCTGGTATGTGGTGTCAAGAATAGATTAATTTTTGTCTTTTTTCAAATAATTATTCAGTTATCCTAGTATCATTTATTGAAAAGTTTGTCTATTTCCCACTGATTTGAGATGCTCCTTTTATTGAACACTAAATTTCCACATGCTATTCAATTTTATTCTGTATTTTCTGTTATGTTCCATTGGCCTTTCTTCTGTTCATACATGTTTTGGGGACATTTAGAATAATTGAAAATATCAAGATTCTTCTGAGCTTTCTTTATATCAAGATTCTTCTGAGCTTTCCTTAATGCCACTTGTCAGTAGATATTGCTGCTTCAACTTCTAATACTCATGTTTTTGGTGATTTGAAAAATATTTATATTCACTGAATTAAATCATCATGCCTTGGAAACTTGGTAAACATTACTAGCAAAATATGTTTTCATATAGTCAGTTGTCATATAATTTGATGCTTGAGTTGTCTCTAGACAAATTTACTAATTAATCTATACTTAGGGGTTCTTTTCTAGTTCTGCAAATTGCCGGTAGAGGAGCAAAGCCTCTCTTGGTTTCATTAATTAATACTTAATATCTTCTAAAGATTAGACGTTATTACTTGTTAGGACTGCTTAACCTGGGAAGGGAGGGTTTTCGTCCATATTATTCCTTGATGAATTTAGCCTTGTGTACATTAACAATTTTTGTATTGTGTAATATTAATATTTTCATGTGTATTTAGGAGGATGAAAAGGCAGCTGCTGAGATTTATGAGGAGTTTCTTGCTGCTTTTGAAGGAAGTGATGGTAATAAAGTGAAAACATTTGTGCGAGGGGGTGTTGTTAATGCAGCTAAAGGTAAGTTTATAAAGTATAACTGCTAATAAAGCATAACTGTATTACAGTTTTTGAGCGAGCCCCATCTTGGTTGAATGACTGCAGGTAGATAATTATGAAAGGAAGTTTGGTTGCTTTTGAATTTTACATTTTCTATCAGCACCCTCTAGTGGTTATTATTAATTAGCAAGATAAATGGCCAAGTGTCAATTAATGAGATGCTGAAGACAGATAGCTTTTAAACATATTTAGTTCCTTTCAAGTTTTAAGACAGCAGAGCACTTGTCACAAATTTTAATATGTGTCATAGTTTTGCTATGAAATGATTAAATTAGCATTATTGAGGTGATATTTGAATTTAATTTCATATTTGTTAATAGTGATACATCTTAATACTAAAAGCATTTTACTAATTTTTACTTGTTTTTAAATAAAACAGTAAAGAAAAATATTGCGAAATTAGTTTTGAAACTTAGTATTTTAAATTTCAGAAGAACATGAAACAGATGAAAAAAGAGGTAAAATCTATAAGCCATCTTCAAGATTTGCAGATCAAAAAAATCCTCCAAATCAGTCTTCCAATGAAAGACCACCATCTCTTCTTGTGATAGAAACCAAAAAACCTGTAAGTCATACTTAAGTAATTGACCATTTATGTTCAGAGATGACACTGCCAGTGATACTTCCACTGTAAGCAAGACTTTGGCTTTTTTTCGTTTTTGGTGGGGGCAGGGTGGTAGATGTTAAGTTTTGATGCTTTCTAACCCAGTAATTTACTTAGATGAGAGTTAATGAATTGGGACACGTAGATGATATTCTTTTTATGCTTTTTGAGCAGTGAACATTTGCTATTTATGCTCATAATATATTGCAAGTCAAAAATTGACTATATTGCAAGTCAAAAATTGACTATATTTGACTTGCAATGGGGTTGTCTTTTTAAGCATTTCTGAACTGAGGTATTTAAATTATTAGTATGTGTAGTGTATATTTCCCAGAACATTTTTGGAACATTTTGGGAATTACTGTCAGAATTAGTGACACTTAAAATATTCTCAGTGTTAGAAAAAATTTTTTTTTCTTTGAGGGTTTAGTTTTTATGGGAGATGGTAGACAGATGTGGGTCATGTCATTTGGAACCAAATGTGGTGAATAAATATGATTGCATTGAATAGTAAGCCTGGTTTTTTTTGTGTGGCTTAAAAAATATCTCTAAAAGCAATGAAAAAAAAACCCCAGCTTTATTGAGATATAATTCACATACAATACAATAAAATTTACCTTTTTTTTTTGAGACAGTCTCTCTGTCACCCAGGCTAGAGTGTAGTAGTGTGATTACGGCTCCTGCAGCCTCAACCTCGTAGGCTCAGGTGGTCCTCCCACCTCAGCCTCATGAGTAGCTGGGACTACAGGCAATGTAGTCCCATGCCCAGCTAATTTTTTGGTATTTTTTTGTGAAAATGGGGTTTTGCCATTTTGCCCAGGCTGGTCTCAAACTCCTGGACTCAAGCGATTTGCCCACTTTTGCCTCCCAAAGTGCTGGGATTACAGACGCCTGGCTAAAATTTATCCTTTTAAAGTATACAGTTGACTAGGTGCAGTGGCTTATGCCTGTAATCCTAGCACTTTGGGAAGCTGAGGCTGGAGGATGGCTTGAGCCCAGGAGTTTGAGACCAGCCTGGGCAACATAGCAAGACTCCATCTTTACAAAAAGAAAAAAAATTTAAATAAAGTGTACAATTGAGTGGTTTTAAGTATGTTGAAAATTGTGCAACAATCACCACTCTAATTTCAGAATATTTTTATCACCCTAAAAAGAAATCCCTACCCATTATCAGTCACTCCCATTTTTTTTTTCTATTAACTTCAGTCCCTGACAGCCTACTAATCTACTTTCTGTCTCTTGATTTGTCTATTCTGGACATTTTTTATGGATGGTATTATATAACGTGGTCTTTTGTATCTGGCTTCATTACTTAGCATAATGCTTCAAGGTGCATCTTTGTTGTGGCATGAATCAGTACTTCATTCCTTTTTGTGGTTGAATAATACTCCATTTTATGGACATACCATATATTGTTTATCCATGCATTACTTAGTAGATGGACATTTGGATTGTTTCCACTTTTCTGCTGTTAGAAATAATGCTGCTGTAAACATTCATGTGTGGGCTTTTTTTGTGTGAACTTATGTTTTCAGTTCTCTTGGATACATGTATATACACACACCGAGAAGTGGAATTGCTGGGTCACATGGTAACTATGTTTAGCCTTTTGAGAAACTGCCAGTTTTTCCAAAGTGGTTGTATCACTTTACAGTTCCACCAGTAATGTATGAGGGTTCCAGTTTTCTCACGTCGTACACTAACACTTTGAGACCAGCCTGACCAACATGGAGAAACCCCGTCTCTACTAAAAATACAAAATTAGCCGGGCATGGTGGTGCATGCCTGTAATCCCAGCTACTCGGGAGGCTGAGGCAGGAGAATCGCTTGAACTCGGGAGGCAGAGGTTGTGGTGAGCCAAGATCACAGCATTGCACTCCAGCCTGGGCAACAAGAGCGAAACTCCATCTCAAAAACAAACAAACAAACAAACAAAACTATTTTGTTTGAAAAGTTTATTTTAGTCATTTTAGTGTGTGTGAAGTTGTACTTCATTGTGGTTTTGATTTGCATGTACTTGATTATATTGAGCATCTTTTCATGTGTTTATTGTCCATTTATAAGTTTCTTTTGGAGAAATGTCTGTTCAGATACTTGGCCCACTTTTTAATTGGGTTATTTGTATTTTTGTTGTTGAATCGTAAGAGTATTTTACATCTTCTTGAGTCAAGGTTCTTATCAGCTATATGATTTGGAAATGTTTTCTGTTCTCTGGGTTGTCTTTGCATTTTCTTGATGGAAGCATGGAGGTTTTAAACTTTAATGGAGTCCAATTTATCAGTTTTTTTCTTTTGTTTACGCTTTTGGTGTCATATCTAAGAAACCATCACCTAATTCAAGATTATGAATATTCATTCCTGTGGTTTTCTCCCAAAAGTGTTATAGTTTTAGCTCTTACTTTTATGTCCATGAACCATTTTGAGTTAATTTTTGTACATTTAGTATATGGTGTAAAGTAGAAGTCCAACTTCATTTTTCTGTATGTAGATATTCAGTTGTCCAAGCACCATTTGTTGAAAAGATTATTCTTCCCTATTAAATTATGTTGGCACTTCTAAAAGAAGGATTCCAAAAGTAGATTAAGAAGCAGTTTTAAAAGAGGATTCCAAAGATGTTACTTACTGTTCCAGTAACTCATGTCCTCCAGAGGTGATTTTTGAAGAGTGCGTATTTTTGGCAGTTACTTTCCATGGCAGTTCAGTTACTTCATGTTCATTAATTTCCCTGACTACTGGTTGTCATTTTAATTGTTTAATTGTAGTAATAATTTAATTGTTTGTTATTTTGAAGGAAGGGGAAGGGAGGTTCAATGATAAGAAAAGCATTCTTCCTTTTTAATTTAAATAATTAGAACATACAATTTGTACTGAAATGATGTAAAAAGGCTCTTATTATTGAATCATTGGTTTTGCTTATCCTTTTGTTTGAAGTATAACTTGTCATATCCTTTATAGCCACTTAAAAAAGGAGAGAAAGAAAAGAAAAAAAGCAATTTGGAACTCTTCAAAGAAGAATTAAAGCAGTAAGTTTTATAGTGTGGAGAATAACTATCATAGGTGTATTGAGCTGATACATAAACAGATGCAAGTATAAAGAATATACTGTACCAGTTAGTTATTACTAACCAGTTTGCTATGAGATTGTTTTAGATATTATAATATTTGGTGGGCTATCTTTGAAAATAAATTAGCATTTAGTCCAGCACCTGGGTTGCTTGCATTACGAGGATTCAGTTCAATTGATTTACTTAATGTCCAGAGTCCTGTTTGCAGTGGAAACAGTATACTCACTGGGATGGGAGTGAGGGGCAGTTAGACTTAGCAAGAAACAAATTCAGTGGTTTTAGTGTTTAATTTCCTCCTCACCTTTAAAGTAGGCTTTGTGTTCCATTGGTAGTATGATATATCAGAAATTTGCTCGTGGTTGTATTATAGCTGAGGGACCCTCTAATCTTGGTTATCAGTACCAGTATTTAATTACAGATATTTCTAGTTATTTGATGATAGTAATTTGATAAGCGCTATTCTGAAATGTGAATGAACAAATTTTGGCTCATTATAAGTGATTGTAAATATTTTCAACAGAATTCAAGAGGAACGTGATGAGAGACATAAAACAAAAGGCAGATTAAGTCGATTTGAACCTCCTCAGTCAGATTCTGATGGTCAGCGTCGTTCTAGTAAGTGGCATTTATTTTAATGTGTATGCTTGTGATTAATTACAGTAGTTCCCACCTTATCCGTGGCGGGTTACATTCCAAGGATCACCAGTGGATGTCTGAAACCATGGATATATACTATCCTTTTCCTTACACATTCATAGCTGTGGTAAAAATTAATTTGTAAATTAGGCACAGTAAGAGATTAACAACAATAAGTAATAGAACAATTATAACAATATACTGAAATAAAAGTTATGTGCAATCCCAACACTTTGGGAGGCCGAGGCAAGTGGATTACCTAAGGTCAGGAGTTCGAGACCAGCCTGGCCAACATGATGAAACCCTGTCTGTACTAAAAATACAAAATTAGCCGGGCGTGGTGGTGCGTGCCTGTAATCCCAGCTACTCAGGAGGCTGAGGCAGAAGGATTGCTTGAACCTGAGAGGCAGAGGTTGCAGTGAGCCGAGAACGTGCCATTGCACTCCAGCCTGGGCGACAGAGCAAGAGTCTGTCTCAAAAAACAACAACAACAACAACAGAGTTGTGTGAAGTGGTCTCTCTTTTTGTCTCTCAGAAATACCTTACTGTAACAAACTGGGGGAAACAAAGGTGAGGGTAAGGGGGGACTACTGTATTATAAAAACTAATAATTGTCTTCTTTTCTCCCCTTTAAGTGGACGCGCCTTCAAGAAGAAATAGATCATCTGGTGGTAATACAGTTTTTTGCTCTTTTAATCGATAAATTTTCCAAACTTTATGTTTTGCAGGTTATAATTCTTTTTTTCTTTCTGCCCTAGTTCTTGATGATTACGCACCTGGCTCACATGATGTAGGAGATCCAAGCACTACTAATTTATACCTTGGAAACATTAATCCACAGGTAATATTAAGTAAGATGAATGTTGATTGATATGCTTTATGCTTTTGGAAGAAAGCTTTGTTAGTCAAAAAAAATCAAGATTCTGAAGCTGACAAATCTGATGGAATTGGATAGTCTTTAGAGTTGTCTTACTGGTATGGCCCAGGTTGTCTTGCCACATATTCTTGTTTCCTCTTTCAGTAACTAGATTGAACTCTGGATTTGAAATGTTTTACTAGGTGCTGATTTTATTATTAAATCAGGGTGTGACCATTGATGAATAATATTATTTTGAGACTGTCCACTTCTGATGCATACTTGTTTCCTTGTGGAGTCCCTTTTTCTTCTCATAGTAGTAAACTACTCTTTGTGGTTTGTCTTTTATATTTTAATTCTTTTCCTGCATTGGTGCTGTTAATTATGATATGGGGAATGTAGTAACGGTAGTATATAATATGCTATTATTAAAAATTATATTTTGCATATATACTGTTACCTGTTTTCTCTGCATTTGATTACATGGGTAGTTGATTGTTAGAACAGATGATTAGATACTTTTTTTCTTCATTGTCAATACATATTTCCTCTTTAATTTAAATGTACTAACCATGCCTGCTTGAAAAATGTTACTAAATGCCTAAACAAACCATCACTATAAA
This sequence comes from Homo sapiens, assembly GCF_000001405.40. Taxonomy (NCBI): domain Eukaryota; kingdom Metazoa; phylum Chordata; class Mammalia; order Primates; family Hominidae; genus Homo; species Homo sapiens. The sequence continues at coordinate 143,022,194 of NC_000003.12, forward strand.
ACATCTTACTTAGATCCAGGACCTTAAAACAAAGGAAGATAGAGAGTAAAAATGATTTTGATTTCTTCATCCACTGAACTTCCCCACCCTGGCATCTTAAATAAACCAGAATATTTATAGTATGAAATGATTTATGAATGCCCCACGCGGGATTTTACTTGTGTGGCGTTCCTGGTACTTAAATGGAAAATTGAAGCACGTTGCTATGTTGCTTTTTATTTTGTAAAAACTACTTTGTTTTCTGAAAATAATTTTTTCTTTTCCCTTTTTTGCATAATAAAAATCTTTTACCCTTTTTAATAGATGAATGAAGAAATGCTGTGCCAAGAATTTGGAAGATTTGGACCGTTAGCCAGTGTGAAAATCATGTGGCCTAGAACTGATGAAGAAAGAGCCAGAGAGAGAAATTGCGGCTTTGTGGCCTTTATGAATAGAAGAGATGCTGAAAGAGCTTTAAAAAATTTGAATGGTAAGAACATTTTTATTATCCATTTATACAATTCAGATATTTCTTTGGTTTGGAAAAGTATTTATAAAAACTAGGAAGGATTGGACCTGAAATGGAGAGGTTAAAATGAAAATTATTTCAACTCACCAGAAAAATTTTGTTTGGAAACTTTTGAGAGTTAACAAAATGACCTTTCATTTCTTTCTTGTAGGAAAAATGATTATGTCTTTTGAAATGAAGTTAGGTTGGGGTAAAGCTGTACCTATTCCTCCACATCCAATATACATTCCGCCTTCTATGATGGAACATACGCTTCCCCCACCTCCATCCGGACTGCCTTTTAATGCGCAGCCTAGAGAGCGGTTAAAAAACCCTAATGCTCCTATGTTACCGCCACCTAAAAACAAAGAGGATTTTGAGAAGGTAATTTAAAAAATGGACATAAGGCCGCATCTAATTTGTAAATACTAAAGCTGTGGTAGTATTTCTTTTCAACAATTTTATAGAAAATGTGTGTGTAATTCTGTTTGGCAACTTTTAAAGAAATAAGTAGATGTGTTCCCTGCCTTAGCCCATGGAAACCCTATATTTGAAATACTAGGTCATATTTTTATTTGTGGCTACCATTCCTTTTTTGACCACTTGTTAAGTTTTTTTTCCTTTGTCCAGTGTTGTATCCAGATTTGCTTAAGTGTATTAACTAAATTTACTTTGTTCTGAGAAAGTGATACTTTGTATTTGGTTAAGTGACATTTCAATTAGAAAGACCTCCTAAGTAGTTATTGTTTGGATGGCAGCTAGATCTGAGGTATTAGAATATTTGAGAAGATTTATGTGGTTTGTAAAAAATAGTTAATCTAGTAAAAGCAAAGGGTGAGTATTTTCTTTTTAGTAAATAAAACCAACTTAATTTCAAGTTATAAGAATTCGTTGGTTCTATTATGAATTAATTACACTTAAAATGACAGGGCTGGTTTTAAAGGCTTGGGAACAAAGTAGCGAACTGTATGGTCAGAGGCAAACAGTTAATTATTTCACAAATTAAAATCTTTATCTGATAATTCTCAGTGTAGTACCTATTTCAGTGCATTGATGTGCATTCTGGCAGGAATGTTCTGATTCTTTGCATTTGGTGAACGTTTATTGTTCACTGAACACATCCATTTGCATTTATGTAATTGCTTAGTGTATAATGACTTCAAATGCAGTGATTGCCTGCAAAACTTGTGATTAGATATGTAGTATTTTCAATGCATATGTATATTTTTGCTTGTTACTTGTTAACAATACTCACATATTCTATGTTTATTATCTGATGTGACTTCATATACAGACTCTGTCGCAAGCCATAGTCAAAGTGGTTATCCCAACAGAAAGGTACATGTTTTTCTTTATTATTACTGATCTAAATATAGACAATATCCCCTTCTGAATTTAAAAAGAAATGGTGTTGAGGAAAAGGTAGTATCTTGACTGAGCAATGGTTCCTTCCCAGTACTTTTTGCGGGGGGATGTGTGAAATTTAACTAACTTTTGTATACTTTGCAATTTTATGTCAGTATCTTTTTTTGTTTTTATTGTTATCACTGTAGGGAATGTTTATAGTTTGACTAGTTAGAGTGTATTTATTAGCTCTGATTTGGAGTCAGACAATAGACTATTGTCATGGGAAAATAGATGTTTTAAGTGTGTCGTAAATTTCAGATAACGTTACAGTTTGACCCAATCTGTTGTTATTTTTTTCTTGTTTTCTGAATTATCTGCATTTAATATATAACCTTGGTTTGAGTTCTCCTTACTGAAGGCATAGCTTTGTTTTTTGTTTTTTCAATTGATTTTAAGAAGAAATTCCTATTATTGTCATGAACACTGGACATACTAGAAACTTTCTTTTCATGGTAACAAAGGTATTTGGAATTCTTTTATTTTCCTTTCTTCCTTTTTTTCTCTTTCAACACACTATTAAAGCAGAAGAATTCATGCTGTAGGTATGCTCTTGCTCAGTCAAGCTAAGCCTTTTCCCAAACACAGGAACACAACACTGGTTGAATAATAAATGAACACAAAAGAATACCAAATTCTCTTTGACATTGGCCTTGGTGAGCAACACCAGCTGAACTGTCTGCGGCAGCGGGGGACCAGGAAAACATCATGGGATGGATTGGGAAAGTATACAGTTTTTGACCAGACATTGGTACGATCGACTCCAATAAATGTGGTTTTATTATAACTGAGAGACAATTTTTTGTTTTTGTTTTTTTTTTGGTTATTGTTGCCCAGAATAAGATAATTACCATTTTAAAATTAAATAATGCACTTTAAATATATCATCTTTTTGTACTACACTGTTTTATTCTAATAGAAAAGTCACCATTTTTAAAATAAACACAATCCTTAAGGAAGAAGAATGTGATTACAGTTCTTTAGTAATCTTGACATCAAGTTAATAACAATTAATTGTCAGATTTTGATTTTAAATAATCATGAAACATTTTAAAAATACTTATAAACTTTTAATTTTCTAAAAATAGATTTATCAGTTACAAGCCTGTTTAAAACTATAGTGGGTTTTTCACCACTGATAAAAGCATTCACAGGATAGTATTTTTGTAGCATTCAAAAAAAGCACATATCTAGTGGTAGCTTTACATGTATGTGGCTCAGCTTATTTCTAAACAAAATTTTGAGTGTGCGTTTTGCCGAAAGTCTTCACTCACCATTAGGATGAATCCTTTGTTTTTAAACTTGCTAAACAATTTTCCTCTATCTTAAATGCTAAAGTCAAGTTGCTTTTGACTTAATTCACACAAGTTTCTGGATGTATAACATTTGTCCACCTAGTAATTAGTCTTATACATAAAATTTCCCTTAGCTTTAATTTGGCTCCTATCAGTGGGGAGTTTTGGAATTGAATCATAACTTTACATTATCGCCCTTCCTTCAAAATAATGTCATTAACCATATGAATGCTGAAGAACTGCATATTTGCAGAGCAATTACTTCTGTGAAAGAGAAATAATTTTTAAATAGAAAATTAAGCAATGTTTTTAGTTTTTTGTTTTGACAATTTGAGGTTGAATTAGTAGTTTTAAATGCATGATTTCCCCTTTGTAAAGATTTAAACTGTGATGCAATTTTTTTTACTTCCTTTAGGCTTAAATTTTTTTCACTATGGAGAGATTTCATTTTAAGTAGGTTTGTTTGAAAGCTATGAGAAAATAATTATAGTCACCTTGAGATAGATTATTTTATTGTTCATGTACTCTGAAATAGGGCATTATAGAGCCACAAAAGTCTGTCTTGTTCTATAACTATATATTTATTTACATTCTAGCAGTTATATGAACGTAATTTGAGCTGGGAATGCTAAAGGTGTAATTTAGTGTGTGCTTTGTACCAAGAGCCAATATCCTTTTGCTTTTCCCAATTGTTATTTGCCAGCTGTGTATGGATGGGGACTGGTGAAATGAGGAATCAAAAGCAGCTTATAAATAACCTGAGTCATTTTTGCCCGACACCATAATCAATGTCCAAAATTGTGTTTGGAGTCTAATAAAATATCACATGATTTTAGGACCCAGCTTCAGATAAAGACTTCCTGTGAGTTCAGTCAATAAAATGACTGTACTAAAAAATTACTCACATATGTTTATTTTTGGTAAAATATTGGAAAATAATTGTTACAGAAAATGGGAAGGGCATCTCACCGTGTACCCCATTTTGCAATATTTTGGAAAGAGTAGTACTCCATTCACTTAAGGCTTTGGCAACATAATTTCTTCATTGATTGATAGTGTACAGGCATATCAATCTCTTGTTTTGGAGGGAAAAAAGATATATAAAGGCAGAATTATCTATTTCATGAATTGTGAACTAGTTTGAAGTGTGGTCCAAAGGGATGTTGCCTCATTAAAGGTCAGATTTAATAAAAAATGCATCTGGTGTGTGTACCAGAAAAACACAGGAGTTGGATGGATTTTTTATTAAATCAGGCCTTAAACTTGTTAAATAGTTTTGCATTTTTATAAATTATAGTCATGGTTATAACATTTCAGTAGCACCATAAAAGTGCTTGGTTTAGGAATTTTTTTTTTTTAAACTGAGATAGTGTGTAAATTTCTAGATGGCTGTAATAACATGCAGGCTCTAAGTTACTGATTTTATATATCAATATTTGCAGCTTTCTAATTAGTTGTGATTTATAATTTAATGTTTTACTTTTGGAAAATAAGTGACATTTAGAAAATTAAATATTACTATGAGGCTGTATTGTGGTTTCCTACCCTCCCTCACCTTTCCATCCCCTCCCACTTCCCTACTCCCACTGCCCCACACCCTCTTAATGCACAAGGCATTAACATATGCTCCAGGTTACTTTTTTGGTATTAAATTCGGTGTTAGTCAGCAGAATAATCATTTTCTGCACAATTATAGTAACTTAGGTCAAGTGTAGTTTTATATAGTGGTAGGTCTGAATCCATTTTCTTTAACTGTGTTGTTGTTGTAGGAATTTGCTCGCCCTGATACATCGAATGATAGAGTTTGTTGTACGTGAAGGGCCAATGTTTGAAGCTATGATTATGAACAGAGAAATCAACAATCCTATGTTCAGGTGTGCATTTTTTAAAAATTGTGAAATATATGTAACATAAAATTTCCCATTTTAACTATTTTTAAGTATACAGTTCAGTGTCATTAAGTACATTCACATTGTTGTACAACCATCACCACCATCCATCTCCAGAACTTTTTTCATCTTCCAAAATGGAAATTCTTTACCTGTGTAGCAGTAACTCCTCAGTCTTCTAGCCCGTTAGCCCCGGCAACTGCCATTCTACTTTCTGTCTCTTAGTAATTTCATTACTCAGGGTAAACTCACATGAGTATAATCATACAATATTTGTCCTTTTGTGACTAGCTTATTTCATTTAGCATAATGTCCTCAGGATTCATCTGTATTATAGCATGTATCGGGATTTCCTTTTTTAAGGCCAAATAATATTCCATTATATGTATTTACTATATTTTATCTTCAGGCATGCAGTTTAAAACTACTTTTAATTTATTAGAATTAAAAATATTTCCAAGAATAAAGTTGTAAAAGTATGGGATTAGTTCTGCAACGGGATGGGAAGACAGTTTTAGTAATCAGAGTAGAATGTATTGAGGACAATTTTCCATCAGATTTTGATTTGGTTGATTAAATAGTATTGTTTTTAGCATTCTCTAGGAGGAAAATACATTTCATTATGCTTTTCAATGAAGGAATCATAAGTGAGATACAGTTGAACAAATGAGTTTTAAAATAAATTGCTTATCCTCTGAATTGTTACGGTATTCTTAGACACTAGTTTAACACTTAAGTAATGTAAAATCACTGCTTTTGTAATTACATATTGGGAAAATCTCTCCATTGCCAGACACAGTATCTGCCATGTAAGTGTTCAGTGAAAACGATCATAAGACTCATGATGCATGCCTTCTGAGTATTAATGTCAGTCACTAAGGCAGTCTAGGGCTGCAGTAAAGGAATGGGGATAGGTAGCGGGTGGTAGTGGGTGAGATTCTCTTCAGGGATCTTTGTTTTTGTTTTATTTAGAACTAAATAGGCAAATAATATTTCTCATTTATTTATATTTAATTGAAGATAGCTCTTTGTTAAAGAATATGATGTTTAATGTTTGTTTGTTTTGTGTAGGTTCTTATTTGAAAACCAGACACCAGCCCATGTTTACTATAGGTGGAAGCTTTATTCTATTCTGCAGGCAAGTAGAATCAATTACTTTGTTAATTTTGACTCTGAGTAATTAGACCTTTATAATAACTCTAAATGTTTGTTAGGGAGATTCTCCAACTAAATGGCGGACGGAAGATTTTCGTATGTTCAAAAATGGATCTTTTTGGAGGCCACCACCATTAAATCCGTACTTGCATGGAATGTCAGAAGAGCAAGAAACAGAAGCTTTTGTAGAGGAACCTAGTAAAAAGGGAGCACTTAAGGAAGAGTAAGATATTTTTCCTTTCTATTATATATTCAGAAAAGTAACTGTAATGGTTGCTTTAATTAATGGTCTTATTAAGATGTTAACCCTAAAATAAATTTTTTTCACTTGTGAATGTTTAAAATAGTAACATCTTTCATCATGTGCTTTATAATTTTAAACATCCTAACAAGTATAGGTGTGTGTCCTGTTGTCCTTGAGTTTTCTCCTGGTAAAATTAGTGATGATCTCTTAAACATGATTGACTTATTTCTTTAGCATTGGAGTACTTCAGATTCTTACAGAAATTATTGGAGGATCCCTAGAATTCTTGCTTCTCTGAATGCAACATAAAGAAGAAAAACTATTGTGTGGCTAGTGGGATCAGATTGTGGCTATGCAAAGCCGCTACATGATAACTTTCACACTTGATTTGCAGTGTGTGGTGAGCTGTGAGATGGCCACCATGGAAGTATGTGTTGTTATTAGTCTCACTTAACAATTGTACAGTGCAGCTAGCTGGTTTAAGAAGCAAAAACATACTTATTAAATGTTCAGAGGACATCCTGTATACCTCATGGGAAAACATTGGCTAAAAGCATTTTTAGAATATAGAATTAAGTACAGACATACTTAGTTTTATTGCGCTTTGACTTACTGTGCTCTGCAGATACAGTGTGTTTTATAAATTGAAGGTTTGTGGCAACCCTAAGTCAAACAAATCTGTTGTCATTATTTTTCGAACAGCATGTGCTTACTTCATGTCTGTCACATTTTCATAATTCTCACAATAGCTCAAACTTTTTCATTATTATTGTATCTGTTATGGTGATCAGTGATCTTTGATTGTTTTGGGGCACCACAAACTATGGTCATATAAGAAGATGAACTTAATCAAAAAAGGTGTGTTCTGACTGTTCAGTGACTAGCTGTTTTCCCTTAGGCCTCCCTATTTCCTGAGACACAACACTATTGAAATTAGGCCAGTTAATAATCCCACAATGGCCTCTTGAGTATTCAGGTGAAAGGAAGAGTCTCACTTCTCTCACGTTAAATCAAAAGCTAGAATGATTAAGCTTAGTTAGGAAGGCATGTCAAAAGATGAGGTTGGCTGAAAGCTAGGCCTCTTGCACCAAACAGTGAGCCAAGTTATCAATGCAAAGGAAGAGTTTTTAAAGGAAATTAAAAGTGCCACTCCAATGAACACATGAATGATGAGGAAGCAAAATAGCCTTATTACTGATAGAAAGTTTCGGTGGTGTGGATAGAAGATCAGACCAGCCATAGCACTCCCTTATGCCAAAGCCTAATCCTGAGCAAGGCCCACTCTCTTCAATTCTGTGGAAACAGGTGAGGATGCTCCAGAAGAAAAATTTGAAGCTAGCAGTGATTGGTTTTTGAGGTTTAAGGAAAGAAGCCATCTTCATAATATAAAAGTTCAAGGTGAAGCAGCAAGTGCTGATGTAGATGCTGTAGCAAATTATCCAGAAGATCTGAGGTCATTGATGAAGGTGGCTACACTAAATCACATTGTCAGTGTAGACAAAGCAGCCTTTTATTGTAAGAAAATGTAATTTAGCACTTTTATAACTAGAGAGGGGAAGTCACTGCCTGGGTTAAAAGCTTCAAAGGACAGGCTGACTCTCTTATTAGGGGCTAATGCAGCTGGTGACTTAAAGTTGAAGCCAGTGCTCATTTACCATTCCAAAAATTTTAGGACCATTAAGAATTTATGCTAAATCAACTCTGCCTGTGCTCTATAAATGGAACAACAAAGCCTGGATGACAGCATATCTGTTTACAGCATGGTTTACTGAATATTTTAAGCCCACTGTTGAGACCTGCTCAATAAAATGATTTTTTTCAAAATATTACTGCTCATTGACAATGTACCTGATCACTGAAGATCTCTGATGGAGATGTGCAAAGAGATTAAGTTGTTTTCATGCCTGTTAACACATTATCCATTCTCTATCCCATTGATCAAGGAGTAATTTTGACCTTTTAGTCTTATTATTTAAGAAATATATTTCATAAGGCTGTGGCTGCCATAGATAGTGATTCCTCCAGTGGGTCTGGGAAAAAGTCAGAAACCTTGTGGAAAGCATTTATCATTCCAAATGCCATTAAGAACATTTGTGGGCCAGGTGTGGTGGCTCACACCTGTAATCCCAGCACTATGGGAGGCCGAGGCAGGAGGATAGCATGAGGCCAAGAGTTCAAGACCAGCCTGAGCAATATAGTGAGACCCCATTTCTATTAAAAAGAAATTTAAAAAAATCTTAAAAATCCGTTTCAGTTTTTTTGCCTATAAAAATCGACATTAACAGGAGCTTGGAAGAAGTTAGTCCCTCATAGATGACTTTGAGGGATTTAAGACTTCAGTAGAGGAAGTAACTCCAGATATGGTAGAAATAGCAAGGGAACTAGAATTAGAAGTAGAGCTCAAAGATGGGACTGAATTGCTGTGATCTCATGATAAAACTTTAATAAATGAGGAGTTGCTTCTTAGGGATGAGCAAATTAAGTGGTTTCTTGAGATGGAATGTATTTCTGATGAAGAAGCTGTGAACATTGTTGAAATGAAAGGATCTAGAATATATATAAAGTTAGTTGATAAAGTAGTACAGGGTTTGAGAGGATTGACTACAGTTTGGCAAGACATTCTCCTCTGGGTAAAATGTTAACAAACAACAACTCATGCTGCAGAGAAATCCCCTGTGATGAGAAATGTCAGTTGATGCGGTAAACTTTATTGTTTAAGAAATTGCTGCAGCCACCCCAACCTTCAGCTACCACCGCCCTAACCTTCAGCTACCACCACCCTAACCTTCAGCTACCACCACCCTGATCAGTTGGCCATCAACATTGAGGCAAAACCTTCCACCAGCAAAAATGCTATGACTCACTGAGAGTTCAGATGATTGTTAGCATTTTTAACAAGAAAGTATTTTTAAAGTAATGTGTACATTGTTTTTTTAGACATACTGCTATTGCATACTTAATAGACTACAATATGGTATAAACATAACTTTTACATGCACTGGGAAATCAAAAAACTTATGTGATTGGCTATATTGTGATATTTGCTTTATTGCAGTAGTCTGTAACTGAATCCGTCTCTTTGAGATATGCCTGTATGTACTTCACTGCAGTCTATAAATCTTAATACTTGTTGCATTGATTCATTGCCTATGAGAGCATTTGGCAATGGAGTGTGATACTGTTTGAGTGTATTTACTTCTGAAGATGTATGTTCATAATCACTGTAATCCTAGGATCTGCAAACTCAGCTCATAGGCTAAATATGGCTGCCTCCTGTTTTGGAAAATAAAGTTTTACTGGAATACAGTCAATTCCCTTCCCTACATGTTGTCTGGCTGCTTTGGTGCTATGCCAGCAGGGGGATAGAGATCATATGGCCTGCAAAGCCTAAAATATTTGTAATCTTTTTTTTTTTTTTCCCCTGAGATGGAGTGTTGCTGTGTCACCCAGGCTGGCATGCAGTGGCACGATCTTGGCTCACTGCAACCTCTGCCTCCCAGGTTCAAGCAATTCTTCTGCCTCAGCCTCCCGAGTAGCTGGCATTATAGGTGCCTGCCACTGCACTTGGCTAATTTTTATATTTTTAGTACAGACAGGGTTTCACCATGTTGGCCAGGATGGTCTTGATCTCTTGACCTTGTGATCCGCCTACCTTGGCCTCCCAGAGTGCTGGGATTACAGGCATGAGCCACCGCACCCAGCCAGTCTTTTCCTTTACAGAAAAAATTAGCCTGTCGTAATCCCAGGCAGAAGTGTTAAAGTAATAGACTTCCTTCAAAGAAGGGGAGTAAAGAACATGAAAGTTCTTCAGTATCATGGGATGGTAAGACTGGGGTGCTCTTAAAGACGCTTGAAGAAATGCGTATGATTTTAAATTTACTTAATTTGTAAGCTGAAAACATAATTGGAATCTTATTCTACAGAGTATTCTTATATAAATTCTTCAAAAAATTGTAACAATTTTGGGGGACACAACACAAATCAGACTGAATGTATTACAGTCTTCAGAATTATTTTATGTGAGTAGGTTTTAAAGAAATTAGTTTGTGAGCAAAAGCTACAATGGCATTTGAAATTGTATCTAAATATTTATAAGTTAAAACAATTTATGTTCAGACAGAGGGATAAATTGGAAGAAATCTTGCGGGGATTAACTCCAAGGAAAAATGATATTGGAGATGCAATGGTTTTCTGTCTTAATAATGCTGAAGCTGCTGAAGAAATAGTGGATTGCATTACTGAGTCGTTGTCCATCTTAAAGACACCCCTTCCTAAAAAGGTATGGGAATGAATTTTAAGAAAAGGGGAGATAGTTGACGTCTTTTGGGATTAGAATTGGTTTCCTTTTTGCACAAAGCACTTGACTGATGAGATTTTTCCCATGCAGTCTTATGTTATTTCTGCTTGGAAATTTAGGTTCATTAACATACAAGTTAACAAACAAGTTGAAATGTAAATGGGTTAACAAATTTCATCTCTGCCAGAGTCATAGTTGTGGTGATACTGAGCTTCATATAACTCTTCTAATTAGTAGCCATAATTAAATTATAGCTAAACATTAGCCTTATATTAACCTATTTTGTGTTATCTTTTGATATTATAGATTGCCAGATTATATTTGGTTTCTGATGTTTTGTACAACTCTTCAGCCAAAGTTGCTAATGCTTCATATTATAGAAAATTGTAAGTATAATGATATAACTGATATTCCTGAAATAAAGTATTTAAGGGTAAGGAGTTCAGAAAAGAGGATTGTTTTGTTAACATCCTGCAAGAATAAGAAGTACAGTCAGCCCTCCATGTCTGTGGGTTCCTTATCCATGAATTCAACCAACCATGAATTGAAAATATTTGAGAAGAAAAATTGTATCTGTACCGAACCTGTACAGACTTTTTTCCTTGTCATTTTCTAAACAATATAGTATGAAAACTCTACATAGCATTTACATTGTATTAGGTATTGTAAGTAACCTAGAGATGATTTAACAGATGGGAGGATGAGGATAGGTTACAGGTGAATATTATGCCATTTTCAATCAGGAACTTGAGCATCTGTGGATTTTGGTGTCCATGGGAGGTCTTGGAACCAGTCCCCCCATGGATACTGAGGGAAGACTAATTTGAATTTCTTAATGGTTTGTAGAATTTTTTAAAAAATTGGCTTACACTTAAGCTAAATTACCAATTTTTTGGAAAGATTTTATATCATATCACTTTCTTAGCTATTGACAGTATAACAAATAGGTGTTAAAGAGAACTTTATTGCATATCTAGCTATTCATATAATAAATAGAAACAGTGTATATACTGGCAAACATAAGAGACCAAAGACATACTATTAACTATAGAATCTGTGTTCTCTTCTGATCCTCAGCATATTGATTTTAGTTCATTGTAAATGTTTCCTAAGGCAAAAGGAAGTTACGTTGCTGTATTATAATTAATGTATAATTCAGCTGGGCACAGTGGCTCACGCCTGTAATCTCAGCACTTTGGGAGGCCAAGAAGGGCTGATTACCTGAGGTCAGAAGTTCGAGACCACCCTGGCCAACGTGGTGAAACCCCATCTCTAGTAAAAATACAAAGATTAGCTGGGCGTGGTGGTGTGCCTCTGTAATCCCAGCTACTCGGGAAGCTGAGGCAGGAGAATCGCTTGAACCCGGGAGGCGGAGGTTGCAGTGAGCCGAGATGGCACCATTGTCCTCTAGCTTGGGTGACGAGCAAAACTCCATCTCAAAAAAAAAAAAGTATAACTTTTCCTCTGTTCCCCAGAGCTCTCTTTCTGTGTTTATTTTATGAATTAGGCAAAGGGAAGCTTTTCCCTAGGATGTTGCTCTGAAAAGAAATTTAGAGAGCTGGATCCTACTCTTAGGTCTGCTATTAGTTTTTTTGCCTTGGACGAGTCACTTTTCTAAGTTTTCTGTTTTATAAAATAAAGAAATTGGACGAGATGGTTCAGCATATCCTAGATATAACGTTTCTTGCTCGTAAAGGGAACTAGTAGGGACTGTTGGGGAGTTTGTAGGAGAAAAATTCAGAGTAATAAGAGTTCAAGCAATTCAGTTACGGTTTTAGAGTTTAAACACCTAGTTTTTGATTTTTAATAATTTCTTGATTTGTAAGTATTTTAAGTTCAGGAGGGGTTTTCATTGGCTGGCATGCTAAAAGGGAAAGGAATTTTAAACATTTTATTTTAAAGAATGTGTTATTTGAATTTCAGTTTTGAAACAAAGTTATGTCAGATATTTTCAGACCTCAATGCCACCTATCGTACAATTCAAGGCCATTTACAATCTGAAAACTTTAAGGTACGTTTATTGTTTTACTATTTTTGCCCTAGTGTTTTAAATGGGTGGGGGGAGGGCATTGAAGGGCTAGAAAAGTGCATAAGACAAGTATGAGACATAAATTTAAAACTTAGATGTTACAGAAGTTACTGTTTTAAAATTCTGTCGTTTTTGTTTTTATCAAATCAAAAATTTAAAAGATACTATTTTGTCAGGTTTAATTTTAGTTTTAAATATTGTTTAAAAATTATAAATGTTAGTCTTTTTTCATAAAACATACAGAAGAATCACTTGTTTTGTAATGGTATATACTATTTGGCTGGATTAAAGACATACATTTTAATCATGTTTAGAAAGTCTATTCTGTTACCAATTTTTTTATAACCTCTTAAGCTCTAGACCAGTGTTAAGAAAAGCCAAGTGTAGTACTTCACTTATAATTGAATAAGTAAATATGCTTTCATGGGAAGAAGACTTTTTTAAGAAAAATTTTTAGTTTCGGAAGATGCCCAGTGACGCCACCATTTAGGGCATTCAGACAACTCCCATTTTAAAAGTTTTTGACCTTAAATTTTGACCATAAGTTAGAATTTAAAGACAAGTTTCAGGAAGATACAGAGTAAAGTATTAGCCAGAATTAGGAAGTACTTTATTGGACCATAAGGGATTCAGGTCAAAACTTGGCTACTTTGGTTTCCAGTTTTAGTAAGTTTCTATGTAAGTGTTTCTGGAATGTGGCTCATGGGTAGTACTAATGGTATGGGAGCTGACCTTAGGTGGTAAAGAGCAAATAGTTACTGTTTATTTTTCATTATATTTATTTTTAGGGGTTTTTTTCCTTTTAATTAGAAGGTGACATTGATTTTTTTAAAAAATATGGTAATGATATATAGTTATTTTCTTTAAAGTTTAAAAAAACATCAGTTTAAAGGCAAATTTAGCAAATCTTGATGATCATTCTCATGAACTGAAATTTGAGACATATAGCCCAAAATAAAAGTTTGTTGTCTGTTTCCTGTTTCTTTAGCAACGGGTAATGACTTGCTTCAGAGCATGGGAAGATTGGGCAATTTATCCAGAACCATTTTTGATCAAACTACAAAATATTTTCTTAGGACTTGTAAATATTATTGAAGAAAAGGAAACAGAGGTAGGCAGTCTGTATTTGTCTGGTTGTTTTTAAAATTCGTTTCTGGGGTGGAGGTTTCTTGGAGTTGTTCTGTGTTACATATGTGAGGTACATTTCTTTGTGAAAAATATCTATTGCTTACCATTAAGTAGTGGATTTTTATTGCTGGAACCCAGAAGTCAAAATTACATGTAACAGGAATTCTCTGTCTTGTGTCCTTATGTGAAAATTGGTGAGTGTTTTTTTTATTTAATGATATAAGAGTTATGATATATTGTTAATAGTAGAAAATAAGCAAGTAATAGAGCAATATGTATAGCATGACTTTATTTTGTTAAAGATAGCTATATAAGTAAAATATGTGCATGAAAAGATGCATCACATGATAGCAGATATACATCACCATTCTGTTGTTTTTTTTCTTTTTTACCTCCTAAATAATTACTGAATCCTTAATGTTTAATTCTGCCATGCTAGTCAAGCTATTATGTTTTCACTTTCACTCCTGCAGGATCTTCCTAATTGGCCTTACTGTTGCAACCCACGTGGTCCTTGTTTCAGTTTCTTAAATGTGTGTTTCCACCTACCATTGGACTTTGTACATGTCCTTCCCTCTTTCTGGGACTTATCTTCACCTGAGATCCTTCAGATCTCAGCTCAAACATAACCTTAGCCTTCTCTGACCTCTTTAAGTGAAACTTAGTATGCTAATAGTATGATACGCCCTTTTGCTGTAGCAGTTACCATAGTTACAGATAAGTATATATTGTTGTGATGATCTGATTTCCTGGTTCCCCCACCCCTGCAAAACAACAGCAAAAACCTTTACCAGGCTCTATAACAGGGGGACCAAACTTGTTTTTGCTCATCATTGCCTCACAAGGTACCTGGCACCAGTGAGCACTTGGTAAATATTAGATAAATGCACAACTGACTGCTTCTTTAGCAAACTGGATGATAGAATATGTTCTTACATTGTACCTCAGATTGTGGGTATCCAGTTATGTTGGCTTGTACTGGATTACAAATTAATCTTACAAGCAATGTGACTTCAGCAAGCAAAGGAAAATGTTATAATAGTACACATTTCCATAGGATGTTCCAGATGACCTTGATGGTGCCCCCATCGAGGAAGAGCTTGATGGTGCACCTCTGGAAGATGTAGATGGAATTCCTATTGATGCTACTCCCATCGATGATCTTGATGGAGTCCCTATAAAAAGTCTTGATGATGATCTTGATGGAGTGCCTTGTAAGTTCAGATTTCAAACTGATTAAATCTAGCTAATACATTTGGTGACCAAAACTCTAATTTCCATACATGCTGATATGGAAAAAGGTTATAGTTTCTCATGAACGTATCAAGTTATTAACTTTTCTATTTCTGATTTTTTTCAAAATTCATATACCCAGTAATACATTTATTTGTATGCTATGTATATAAAAGGCCAAGAAGAAGCATTTTTTTCTGGTCACATTTCTTTGCTGGGACAATCAGCCTCCTATAATATTAGCAAGTTTCTCTTTTTGTCTTGTCAGGAAATTATAGGCAAAATCTTGTGCTCAGTTATGCATGATCCTAGGTACCTGGTTTTATCAGTTTTTATTAGTTTTTCTAACTTACAACTTCAGTTTTCCTAGCTGCCTAAAATCATTTTGAAAATAGGAACTGTAGACAGCTCTTTGGTACATTTGAATTATATGTTTAAATATTGAATAATGTATGCAGTTTTATATTTCAGAGATTAGGTAAAGATATTAAAGATTTGTTTTACTTCTCAACTTCTTCACTTGCTTAATATATTACTAACCTGTATTTTCTGAATTGATATATATACTGTTAAAAATATTGCCCTCAGATGCAGAGAATTGGTTTAGTCATAGTCCTTGTTCTTAGTATTACTATTTGTCCATCTGTGTCCTTATTTTACTTTGCTTTTTAATAATATGGTGAATACCCATGAATGTAATACTTCGGGTCATCCACTAGTAGTCAGGGTTAATGGCTTATCTTTCCCTAATAGTGGATGCAACTGAAGACTCAAAAAAGAATGAGCCTATATTTAAAGTTGCCCCATCAAAATGGGAAGCTGTGGATGAATCTGAATTGGAAGCACAGGGTGAGTAAAAGTAAAATAAATATTTTTTAAATTAAGTACTTGTACGTTAATTATTGGTGTGCTTGTATATATGTTTTCCTTTTATGTTTTATAACACGTTTTAACCTTAATGCTCAATGTTGTCATATTTTGTGTCTAATGTATGCTTTTATTGTGGTTGGTGTTGCTGTTACAATTTTCTTAGGTCCTTCAGTTTGGAAGCTTTGAGAGTAATGAGATATCACTGAAAACCTTTCAGGTTAAGGCATTTTAGTAGCAAATGTAGATTGGAAGCTGTACCTACGTAGAAATCTACATAGAGGTCAGTTTCATAGAAACCAAGCTTTGACCCTCCCATAATGCTAGACTGATTAGATGCAATTTAGACCTGTCTTTCACACTTACTTAGACCTGTATCCTAGTGCTAATAATCTAATTGTTGCTATTTGTAGGTTCTAATGAAATAAATCTTAATATTCAACACAGAAATAAGGATGACATTATTCGTCACTTCATGAATTTGAATTATATTGTAGGTGTGAGGAAAGAGATTTGGCATATAGAAATAACTATTTAGAGAATTGATAAACATAGATTAAAAAAACTTCTGTAATATAAACTTTTCAATTCTAAAGCTTGAGCTTCCACTGTACTACTGAAAAAATGCTAGTTTACCTCGTGGAATTACATCCTCCTTTTCCTTTCATTCAGCTGTTACAACTTCTAAATGGGAATTATTTGACCAGCATGAAGAATCAGAAGAAGAAGAAAATCAAAAGTAAGAATCTAAGTTTTGAATATACTGTTTCTTGTTCATATACACTCCCCTTTTCATTAAGAGATATAGTTGAAATAATAGTGAAGTGGAAAACTTCACTCTTAAAAAATTTTGGGAGAGGATCATTTTTAGTTCTCCATTGGTTTTCCAGTGAATAAAGAGCTTTTGTTTTCTGGTCTTGATGGATCTGGTTTCATTTTGCTTTTGAGTTTTTTACGCTAGGTTATATTCTCACTTTGTAGTTACTAATTGGTCAACTGCATTTTTTTCAAACCTTTGCCATCAAATACTGTTTTGGGCTCCATAAAAAGTGGTTTTTAAAATGTGAATAGGAAAGGTTATACTCCTTTCTTTTGGATTGTACATTCTAAGAAAAAGATTGCATTATGGCCATTGTGTTATTTAAATATAAACCTTTCAGAAGAACTAAGAATGAATACAAAGGAAAAAATCTTTTCTTTTGAAATATAGAGAAATAATAATTTTGATTTTGCTGTTTGGTAATCACCCCAAAATTGTTTTTGTATTTGACACTGTGTGGTTGTAGGAATCTCTCCTCTCAGATTCTCCTGCAAGTCTGTATTGGCAGTTTTTAGGAAGTTCTTGACACTTTTTAAAATCATTGCAAAGGGAGTTGAATTTTTTTTTTTTTTTTTTTTTAAATGAGTAGGAAGAGATGGTATCACAAACACAAAGCACAGGTTACTGTCTTTAAAAATTTTGCGTTCTTCTATTCTCCAATGGAAGTGGGAACAAAGAGAAAACCCCTGTGTGTCCTAGCACAATATGGGCATTTGTGTGGATTTAATAAATGGGCATTTGGATTGTTGGGAAAATGTGATCAATCAGCAGGCTATAGAAACACAGTTTGATACGATGGTGAAAACTTGTCTACAATGATGTTTTTTCAGAAATGTTGGTGTGATTAGAACAAGTCAGCAATGATGATGACAAAATATTTACATAATGTTATAGATGTGGCTTGCTAATGGAAATACCTATCTGAGGCTGTTTAGGAATACACAAATTGAGAACCGTTTAGTTCAGTTTGCTTTAAAACAGTGGTTTTCTGAACCCTTTTTATGTTCGTGATCCTATGATTAGTAACATCTTACCATTTTAGAATCACTGCTTTAAAAGTAGTATACGTACTCATAAAATAATTATTTAATTTAGGGGGAAGGAAGGGTAGAAAAGCCGTTGAACTGAAAAAAGTATTGTTCTATTAGTTTTATTTCTAAAGGTATTAGTTTTTTGGCATAAAACTGATATTTGTGTTAATGTTTGGAATATGAATACATTTTAGCATTGATGTTGGAATACGCATACATTAATGGAAGCCTGGATCACTAGAAGTATAATTTTAGATTTTTCATTTTTCTTAGGAATTTCAGGTAAATCATGATAATGTAAAAATAACAAAGTACAAAGCAAGGAAAAAAAGCTTTTGTGCAGCTTGTGATCCTTGAAATGTTCTCATGCCTCACTACTACTCTCTAGTGGCTGAATCCTAAATGTCTTTTTACTTAAGGCTGATTTTGTAACTAGTAATTATTATATTTTGTGGCAATATTGTGATTCGTGGCAGAAATGTGATTTTTAAAGCATGTTTTGGAGAAAAGTTACAAAAAGCAGTTTCATTTGTATTGAATACTGTATGGATTTAGAATCTTGAATTTGCATGTCTTTTTAAAAAAAGAAGAGGAAGAAGCTGTGATAAGATTTGAACCTCGAATTGTGGCTAAAAGCTAAGGCCAAAACCAGTTTAGAAAAACTGCTTAAGCCTTGAAAAAATTATAATAGCAATTTAAAATATTTACATATTTTAAATCATGAATAGAGCTCATTTAAAAAGTCTTAAGTAATATGGTTAAATGTTTAATGTTCAGCCATCTAGACCCTTTCTGTGTGTATAAAAACATGCATAACTATTGACATAAATGATGTAATATTACTGTACATGCTATTCTGTGACACGTTTTTCATTCAATGTCATTGGTATTATGCCATTTTAATCTGTTTACCTGTTCTGTATTCATCTATGATTGAAAGCAAACATTTTGGTAAACATACAAGGATGTTTACCAAAGAATATTTGAAATTGCAAAAAAAAATTAGAAAAAATTTTACAGGCTAGAATTGGTTAAGTAATCAATATCTGCTGTATTATTGTTTCATAGTAACTGTGACTCAGTTTAACAAAGTCACGTCCTTATTGAGTCTTCTAGAATAATTCTTCAGTAAACATCCCTGTTTACATAAACACACATACACTTCAATCTAAAAGCATCTGAAACACTTGTATAATTTTATGTACCATAAAACAGGAAATTCTTGTGTTTTAAAAAAATTAACTAAAAACTGTATTTAGGAAATTTATGACAAATTAATGAGAAATATTAAGTAAAACTTTTTTTCCAAGAAGAATATTTTTAAACTGTTGGTTTGGACTTTTTTCTTCCTTAGCTAATATTGTATTGAGTTGTACCTGTATGGTGATATTAATGATTTGTGTGGTTCTGAAGATGAAGTTAGTAAAATATTTTAGTAATGTCTAGAAAGGACCTTTGGTTGAGAAATTTAAAAGCTAGTATCAGAGTTTTCTCAGTACCATATCTTTTCTGATTCTGAATTGACAGCCTTTCTTTTTATCTGCCTGGTGTAAATTTTTCTCTCATACAATGAAGGTCTTATTACATAAGACTTTAATTAAATTTTATTTGGAAAGAATTTGATTATAACTTTTTACATTATTAAGAATAATTCTACATGTATATTAAAAGGAATCTTTCTGCTCATCGTAGAATGTCCTTAGTACCCAAATACCAACATAGAAGGGCTTGCGAGATTCAAGTATTAAAGGCAAAACAGCGTTTGTTCTGGGTTATGCCAGTAATGTTATCACAGTCAACATTGTTTGTAAGGAATTTTGTTTGTATATATATAAACATTCTGAGTTTGTTTGTATATGGGTATCTTGTTTTGCCCAGATTTATTTGCCAATAGTATACACACACACACACACACACACAACCCAGTCTCAGAATGTATTTTTTTTAAAAAAACCATTTGTTCTTTGTGCTTCAAGAACATTTGGTTAATCCTGTACTAGCATTGATGACCAGCTTTACACACAGTTGCCTGTTTGTGTTTCCACTAGACTGCTTCTGGAAGGACAGGAGAATTTTTCTTCTTTGTATCCTAAGTGACTTACTCATGATAGTCTCTCAGGTTTTTATTTTCTTGTCTGACCCAGAACCAGTGCAACTTTCAGAATCAACTGAAATGTGAATACCGGTATTTGCTAATATATAAAATGCATACATTGCTTTATTATTAAGGTTATGTGCTAATCAGATAAGGTCTTTACCAGCTGTATTGGTTATTTCTTAGTAACTCTGTGACTCAAGCTCATGTATTTTCTAGATTGATTATAGGCTCTGCTGAAGTTACTAAAGGCACACATACAGCTTTTTTTATTTTTAATTTTTTTTAATTTTCATTTTAAAAGTTTTTGGGGTACAAGTGGTTTTGGGTTACATGGATATATTATTTAGTGGTGATTACTGAGATTTTGGTGCACCTGTCACCTGAACAATGTACACTGTACCCAATATATAGTCTTTTATCCCTCACCCCCCTCCCATCCTTCCATGTCCCAGAAGTCCATTGTATTATTCTTATGCCTTTACATCCTTATAGCTTAACTTTCACTTATAAATGAGAACATAGAATATTTGTGAATATTGTTGCTCACAATATGAGTGAAATAACTCAGGAATGGAGAACATAAAGCTTCTTGAAATCACTCTGAACTGTGAAGTATGCAGAAACTTGATTATTCGTTTCATTTAACTGCTGCAAGGAAAGTTTGTTGCAAATGGAAGGCACACAGATAACAACATAAGCAGAATTTATTACAGTATGCTTATGTTGAAGCTCACACATTTTCTGTGGAGGAAAGAAGTGTTTTATAAAATTGTCTGTAAAATATTGATAAAATATTTTGCAAAATATGCTTGAGGTATGAATTGTCCTATTATGTTTTGGCTATGTTATTTAAGCTCTAAGACAATGAAAAATAAAATAGGTAGACTGTAAAATATGGTACTCTCTTGCTGCCTTGACATACAATGTATTCTGCTTGTTTCTAAAGTCAAGAAGAAGAAAGTGAAGATGAAGAAGATACTCAAAGTTCCAAATCTGAAGAACATCATTTGTACTCTAATCCAATCAAAGAAGAAATGACTGAGTCTAAGTTCTCTAAGTACTCTGAAATGAGTGAGGAAAAACGAGCCAAACTTCGTGAAATTGAGGTTGGTGTTGCAGTGAAACTTAAATTACACTTTATTGGCTTTTCACTTTCTCCACCAAACTAAGTTGCCTCTTTGCATTGTACCGTAGTACATACTGTTCCTTCTCTCTGCTTAGAACTCTTCATACCAGATGACTTTTCTTCAGGCCTCTTAGTTCAACCGTCTGTTCACTCACAGCCTTTTCTTACCCTTTTGGACTTACTTGCTTCTTCCTATTTATTTCTGTGTGATTTTATATGTATTGTGGGGTATGTATGTGAATGTGTATTTTGTTTGTTTGCTTACTTGCTTGCTTGCTTATTTAATGTCTGTCTTCCCCATTAGGCTGCACTTTCCATGAAGGGAAAAGGCCATGTCTGTTTTCTCTTTATCATTGTATGTCTAA
This sequence comes from Homo sapiens, assembly GCF_000001405.40. NCBI lineage: Eukaryota > Metazoa > Chordata > Mammalia > Primates > Hominidae > Homo > Homo sapiens. Next base: position 143,043,662 of record NC_000003.12, read on the forward strand.
TACATGACACATAGGAGATCCTCTGAAGAAATGGATTCTAATGTATAGATTATATGTATATATATATATATATATGTAATACATTATGTGTTATGTACTGTGAGAAATCCATTTTTTTTTTTTTTGAGATGGAGTCTCGCAGTGTCACCCAGGCTGGAGTGCAGTGGCGCAGTCTCGGCTCACTGCAAGCTCTCCCTCCTGGGTTCACGCCATTCGCCTGCCTCAGCCTCCGGAGTAGCCACCATGCCCGGCTCATTTTTTTGTATTTTTTTTAGAAGAGACAGGGATTGACCGTGTTAGCCAGGATGGTCTTGATCTCCTGACCTCGTGATCCGCCCACCTCGGCCTCCCAAAGTGCTGGGATTACAGGTGTCAGCCACCACACCCGGCAAGAAATCCATTTCATCTTGAGTGTTCATAGTTATGCAACTAGGAAAAAGTAAAATATTTTCTGGCATATTCTGTTATGTTTACATTTTATTAGGCTCATTTTTAATGTCTGTACCATATGAAGGAGAATAGACATTGAGTGGGTCTTAATACTAAAAGATGGGGAAATGTATAGAAGAGCCCAGACTATCTCAGGCAGACATTTCCCTCCCTTTCCCTTTTCCCCTCTCCCCTCTCCTTTTTTTTTTTTTTTTTGAGACGGGGTTTCTTTCTGTTGACCAGGCTGGAGTGCAATGGTGTGACCATAGCTCACTGCAACATCAAACCACCAGGCTCAAGAGATTCTCCCATGTCAGCCTCTGGAGTAGCTGGGACTACAGATGTGCACCACCAAGCCCGACTAATTTTTTTTTTGGATAGAGATGAGGTCTCACTATGTTGTCCAGGCTGGTCTCACCCTCTCCTTTTTAAATGCCTTTTCTTTTGTCCAAGGCTATTCAGACATCTCAGAGAAGGGCTTTGTAATGCCCTCAAGGGGATGAAATATTCCCAGTAAATGCTAGCAGTAGTTTAGCAATCAGTCTCAAACCTCTAAAGAATGTATGAGAGTGAATTTTCATACTGTATACATTCATTGAACGGTATTTTTGAATGCCTACTGTATGTCAGTACTATCTCCCTTACTAACTTATGATACCTATCACATTAGTTACCTCATTGCCACTTCTCCACATAGTCACTGTTGGGCTGATAAAAGTTCTTGCCCACCTCTTTGTCAGACATCACCAAACTGAAAAGTAAACAGACAGCATTTTGTTTTAACCTTATGTAGAGTCAGCGTGGTGTCATTTTTAAGTAGAGATGAAGGATTTTCAGAGTTGATTAGTTGATTTATTTTTTCCTGGGATGTATTCATATACATTTTAAATATTTTTCAGGGGATAAGATGTGTGTCAGTGAACACACTCACCTGTGCACCTTTTCAACCTACACATGCTCCTCTTTTACTCCTCTCACCTTATAAGAAGCTCTGCCTTGGCCAGCTGCGGTGGCTCATGCCTGTAATCCCAGCACTTTGGGAGGTCGAGGCGGGTGGATCACGAGGTCAGGAGATCGAGAATATCCTGGCTAACACGGTGAAACCCGGTCTCTACTAAAAATACAAAAATTAGCCGGGCATGGTGACGGGCACCTGTAGTCCCCGCTACTCAGGAGGCTGAGGCAGGAGAATGGTGTGGACCCAGGAGGCGGAGCTTGCAGTGAGCCAAGATCATGCCACTGCACTGCAGCCTGGGCGACAGAGTGAGACGCCGTCAAAAAAAAAAAAAAAAAAAAAAAGAGCACTCCCTTTCTGACCTGATGAAAACTGTTGGAGTAGAAATAGACTTGAGTTAAATAGAAGTGTATTTTCTTGATAATACAAGCTATTCCCTCATATAAATGCCCCAACTGTTTAGTATGTTCTGTTTCCTTATTAACTTAAAGAGAGGAAAGCATGTAATTTAGCTTTTTTGTTAACTTAGGTCGTTTTTACAAACCTTATTCTTTCCACCTTGTATACGTATATATGCGATACACGTGCATGCACATTGCACACATATATGCATACATTTCCATACTTCATGTGCTCTTTTGTAATCTGGCCTGTCCTTTATGTATTCAGTGATTATTTCTCCTGCTTTCATAGTGACTGCCTCTCACAACTTAGTTGTCTTTCTGGGATTTGGACCATGAACTAAGTCCTGATTTTAAAATGTTTATCTTGGCTTCATCTTAAAATTATCTAATCTTCTCTTGTGTTTCCTCTGAGAGATTTAGTCATATGGAATAAAGTTCCACAACAGGTGGCAAACTTGGACTAGAACTCGGAGCTCATGAGCTTTATCCCAGGGCTTTTCACAACTAGCTCTCTTCTCTGCCCCTAAATTTGGATATCCATTTCGAGATTTAGAATCCAAACCCTTTTATTGGAGAACCATTAAATTAAGAATAAAGTTCTAAATCAGTTTCTCCAATTAGTTCTATTATATTCTATAGTATATATACTGTAATTTTGCATCCCCACGTGTGTCCTAATAAAGATACCTATAGCTGAACAGTTTGTAGCATGGAATAAATAAAAACCAAATGATTCGTGTTATAAAATACTAACATCCTTTGTAAAAACACAAAAATCTTGTACCTATATGATGTTGTGGTGGCCAGAAGCCAGTTCTTTTTTTTTTTTTTTTTTAGTTTATTTTTTATTTTTTTTTATTTTTATTTTTTTATTTTTTATTTTTTTTTTTATTGATCATTCTTGGGTGTTTCTCGCAGAGGGGGATTTGGCAGGGTCATAGGACAATAGTGGAGGGAAGGTCAGCAGATAAACAAGTGAACAAAGGTCTCTGGTTTTCCTAGGCAGAGGACCCTGCGGCCTTCCGCCATGTTTGTGTCCCTGGGTACTTGAGATTAGGGAGTGGTGATGACTCTTAACGAGCATGCTGCCTTCAAGCATCTGTTTAACAAAGCACATCTTGCACCGCCCTTAATCCATTTAACCCTGAGTGGACACAGCACATGTTTCAGAGAGCACAGGGTTGGGGGTAAGGTCACAGATCAACAGGATCCCAAGGCAAAAGAATTTTTCTTAGTACAGAACAAAATGAAGTCTCCCATGTCTACTTCTTTCTACACAGACACGGCAACCATCCGATTTCTCAATCTTTTCCCCACCTTTCCCCCCCTTCTATTCCACAAAACCGCCATTGTCATCATGGCCCGTTCTCAATGAGCTGTTGGGTACACCTCCCAGACGGGGTGGTGGCCGGGTAGAGGGGCTCCTCACTTCCCAGTAGGGGCGGCCGGGCAGAGGCGCCGCTCACCTCCCGGACGGGGCGGCTGGCCGGGCAGGGGGCTGACCTCCCCCACCTCCCTCCCGGACGGGGCGGCTGGCCGGGCGGGGGGCTGACCCCCCCACCTCCCTCCTGGATGGGGCGGCTGGCCAGGCGGGGGACTGACCCCCCCACCTCCCTCCCTGACGGGGCGGCTGGCCGGGCAGAGGGGCTCCTCACTTCCCAGTAGGGGCGGCCGGGCAGAGGCGCCCCTCACCTCCCGGACGGGGCGGCTGGCCAGGCGGGGGGCTGATCCCCCCACCTCCCTCCCGGACGGGGCGGCCGGCCAGGCGGGGGGCTGATCCCCCCACCTCCCTCCCGGACGGGGCGGCCGGCCTGGCGGGGGGCTGACCCCCCCACCTCCCTCCCGGACGGGGCGGCTGGCCGGGCAGGGGGCTGACCCCCCCTCCCCCCTCCCGGACGGGGTGGCTGGCCGGGCAGAGGGGCTCCTCACTTCCCAGTAGGGGCGGCCGGGCAGAGGCGCCCCTCACCTCCCGGACTGGGCGGCTGACCGGGCGGGGGGCTGACCCCCCCACCTCCCTCCTGGACGGGGCGACTGGCCGGGCAGAGGGGCTCCTCACTTCCCAGTAGGGGCGGCCGGGCAGAGGAGCCCCTCACCTCCCGGACGGGGCGGCTGGCTGGGCGGGGGGCTGACCCCCCCCACCTCCCTCCCGGACGGGGCGGCTGGCCGGGCAGGGGGCTGACCCCCCCTCCCGCCTCCCGGACGGGGCGGCTGGCCGGGCAGAGGGGCTCCTCACTTCCCAGTAGGGGCGGCCGGGCAGAGGCGCCCCTCACCTCCCGGACTGGGCGGCTGGCCGGGCGGGGGGCTGACCCTCCCACCTCCCTCCTGAACGGGGCGACTGGCCGGGCAGAGGGGCTCCTCACTTCCCAGTAGGGGCGGCCGGGCAGAGGAGCCCCTCACCTCCCGGACGGGGCGGCTGGCCGGGCGGGGGGCTGACCCCCCCCAACCTCCCTCCCGGACGGGGTCAGAAGCCAGTTCTTAATCTTTCACATACCACTGAGAGCAGTGCCTAGGCTGGAGTTTCCTTTTCTTATTCTACTATTGTCCCCATTTCTACCAACAAGGTTGGAAGAGTAGAATAGTGGGTGGGGAACCAAGTGGAGGGTCTTCTGTCTTGTTGGAAGAGAGAGATCACTTTCTGTCCTGGTCCCTGAGGAAAGAGTGAACAGTTGAGTTGGAAGGTGATACCTGTCTGTTGCCTGAAGGCAATAAGGGCTGGATAGTTAAGAAGCCATTGCATGGGCCACTTCCTTTTGTGTTGAGACCCTTGATCATCTGTTTTCTGTGTGTCTTGGACTTGTGCTTGAGCCTCAGTTAGACTGTATCAGCAGGAACTATAAGTAGGGATTGTATAGTGATTTTTAAAATGATTATCTTAGGAATCCCTTCTCTCCCCTAAGTAACATTTGGGTCTGTTGTTTGACTCTTTCTAACGCAAACTGATTTACTACAAATACATTCTGTGGAAGAGTCATCTTGGTCACGAGAGGCTTCACACAGCGATGAACTTAGCTATTTATGTTGCCCACCCCACCCCCTTGCTTTCTCAGCCTTACATCTTATCTTTTTAAATGCAGTCATGATTAAAACACACGAAAAATGTAGACTTTTAGAGAGCTTTGAAAGAAGAGAAGGAGAGAACATCAAAGCTCTGATTATAAAAGACCCTGATTATGGAAGTGAAAATATGTCTGAAATCCCACCACTTTGGGAGGCCGAGGTGGGCGGATCACTTGAAGTCAGGAGTTTGAGACCAGCCTGGCCAACATGGTGAAACCCTGTCTGTACTAAAAATACAAAAATTAGTCAGGCATGGAGGCTGAGGCAGGAGAATTGCTTGAACCTGGGAGACTGTCTGGGAGGCGGAGGTTGCAGTGTGCCAAGGTTGCAGTGCACCTGGGTGACAGCGTGAGACACCGTCTCAAAAAATAATTAATTAAAAAGTGAAAATAGATGGAAAAAGGACAGAATTGGAGAACGTATAAGAAACATTCATGAAGTCAAAAATAGTGAAAATGCCACTTGGGGCCGGGCATGGCGGCTCATTCCTGTAATCCCAGCAGTTTGGGAGGCCAAGCTGGGTGTATCACCTGAGGTCAGGAGTTCGAGACCAACCTGGCCAACATAGCGAAACCCTGTCTCTGCTTAAAAAAAAAAAAAAAAAGATTCAAAAATTAGGCTTGGTGGCGTGCGCCTGTAATCCCAGCTACTTGGGAAGCTGAGGCGGGAGAATTGCTTGAACCTGGGAGGTGGAGGTTGCAGCGAGCCGAGATTGTGCCACTGCACTCCAGTCTGGGCAACAGAGTAAGACTCCATCTCAAAAAAAAAAAAAAAAAAAAAAAAAAAGAAAGAAAATACCACTTGGAATGGGGAGAAATGGTAAAGACTAATTTGTAATAAAGGGGGGTAACAAGCAAATGAAGTCTTGTTTTTGAAGTATAAATAAAATGCTGTAGTAGCATTTAGTCCATTTAAAGGATATATCAGTGTCTGAATAAAATAGGATAAAATGTTAGCATCTACAGTAATTTCATGGGACAAGAATGCTTCCTCTTTCTCTTTGAGTGGAACAATATTGAGCAGATTGGCAGCCCAGTGGTATCATCCAAGATCCATGTGCTTTCTACCACTTGGAGGATCTTCCAGGTCCTCATACTTTTCACCTTATTTGTCCTCCCGTAGAATTCAAGAAGAAGGTATTTTCACCCTTGTAAATTTTTTGGATAATTTAAGCTCCTTTAAGCCTTAGGATAGTTTTTATTTTAACCACTTTGTGAAGTTTTTATTTTTAAATTCAAAATAAATCATGAATTTATTCTTTTTACTATTTTTATATAGTACAAAATTTTAAGATACTTATATCTCCAGAATAAAAAGTAAAATTAAGCTCACTTATTGCAGGTTTTTCCTCTCCCTGTAACTGATTTTACTAGTTTTTTCAGATCTTTATCCATTGCCAGTATATAAGTATATTACATGTATTTGTTTGTGTGGAGGTGTATTAGCCAGAAATCTCTGGGTAAAGATGTAGGTGGTCTGTTTTTACAAACAATGCTGCAATGAATATCTTGTAAAATACCTTTGTGCACTTATATAGGTAATAAGAGATGGAAGTTTTTCTGGTCTGGTTTTTTTTTTTATTTTAGACGGAGTTTTGCTGTTGTTTCCCAGGCATGGAGTACAATGGTGCCATCTCGGCTCACCGCAACCTCCGCCCACCGGGTTCAAGCGATTCTCCTGCCTCAGTCTCCCGAGTAGCTGGGATTATAGGCATGTGCCACCATGCCTGGCTAATTTTGTATTTTTAGTAGAGATGGGGTTTCTCCATGTTGGTCAGGCTGGTCTTGAACTCCTGACCTCAGGTGATCCGCCCACCTCGGCCTCCCAAAGTGCTGGGATTACAGGCGTGAGCCACTGCGCCCGGCCTGGTCTGTTTTAATCAGTATTTGCTCTTACTGTCTCATAAAGTACCCTCCAAATGTGATTTAACCTTTTCTTTGTGTTTTGATATCTGGTGATTGCACTGTGAGTGAAACCTTCAGACTGTGTGCAGCTTTGTGTTTGGTCTTACATGAGCTGAACCAGAATGCCACAGCCTTCCCACCTCCCATCCCCGCCTCTTTTTTAAAGATGTTTAATCTGCATTCTGACTGTCATATCATGCTGGCAGTGTGCGTGTCTTTAGCAACCTTGCTTTTCTAATTTGGGGAACCAGATACCAAATTTGTTATAATTGTGTTGAGAGAATAAGTGAGTTCTTACAGCCATGAAGCACGGTTCACGGTTTTTGAGTCCTCTCATGACCAGAGAGGGTTCCCATCTGGTCAGCTGATTTTTGCCTAGTTGGACTTGTCTGACAAGTGGCCTTCAGGTGAGGTTATATTTTGACTGAGTACTAATTAGTTACTACTTTGCTATAGAAAAGAAGCAAAACAGTGCTTGAGAATCTAGAATGATGAAAATGCTTATTTTTAAAATATTTTATTTCACAGCTCAAAGTTATGAAGTTTCAGGATGAATTGGAATCTGGGAAAAGACCTAAAAAACCAGGCCAGAGTTTTCAGGAGCAAGTAGAACACTACAGAGATAAACTTCTTCAACGAGTAAGGAATAAGTATACCCAATAATACACATATTTTGAAGTTATTTATTTGACTTCCTAGAATACTGGTATACCTAAAGATGATTTCAAATTATATCCTTTGTATAAATTTTGAATACTAGTAGGGCAATCAGAAACATTTGAAATTTGATATTTTAAAAGTATTTTGATTGGAAAGGAGCTTAAAGGCAGCAGCACACTATTTTATTCTGAGTATTACCTGTGGACAAGAAGATTAATTCTGCTAAGAGCATGCTTTCAAAACTGGAAAACCCTTCAGGACAAGTCACATTTTGTGACAGTGAGACGCCAACAACCCTGAGAGGTAGTACAGAAAGAAAAAGATGGAGGCAGGGTTTGGGAAGTTCTGGTGTTGAGAAGTTTATTTTCATTTCTCATGGTTTCCAGGGAGGGACAGCAAGTGGTAGAATACCTCATTGGTGAGCTCTGAGTGTTTGAGGGACTTTATATTCTCGTGCATCACAAAATTTATAGGCATGTGCAGAGAATTTTAGAACCAGGAACCTCAGGAATTTTGTTGAGACTGTCGTTGCAAAAAAAAAAAAAAAAAAAGAAAAACCAATAATAATGAGATTATATAGAAAGTGAAATAGGAAAGAGCCATAAAAAGGGAACTTACAATCACTATAAAGCTGTTAATGTACAAAACGTGTTGGGGAGCAGTCTGGTAAAGCAACTGTGGTGCTGCTCAGACCTGTGGAATGCTAGTACTGCTCTCTGCTGTGTACTCCTAGGCAAGTCACTGCAGCCTGCTTTTTCTCTGAAACTGGGTTGATACTCCCAATTTTGTAAGATTATGAGTTAGATAATAGCTAATATTATTACTGTTACTCTTCATTATAAGTATTTTAGCTATACGGTTCCTATAAAATAGGCATCTCAATTAGGAGATCATTTTCATTTTCATTATCAATCAGGAGAATGCATCCTACAGATCACCAGAGGGAGTCAGTCTGCTTAGCACCACTGTTTAAAAGTTGCCCTCTATATATTTGGAAAAAAGATAAATGAGATTTTGTAAAAGATGCTACTTATGGCTGGGCGCAGTTGCTCACGCCTGTAATCCCAGCACTTCGGGAGGCCGGGCAATCACCTCAGGCAAATCACCTGAGGTCAGGAGTTCAAGACCAGCCTGACCAGCATGGATAAACCCCGTCTCTACTAAAAATACAAAATTATCTGGGTGTGGTGGCACATGCCTGTAATCCTAGCTACTCAGGAGGCTGAGGCAGGAGAATCACTTGAACCTGGGAGGCGGAGGTTGTCGTGAGCTGAGATCGTGCTATTACACTCTAGCCTGGGCAACAAGAGTGGAAAACTCTGTCTAAAAAAATAATAATAAGATGCTACTTACCTATACCCCATAGGAGATTACACCTTGAGATGCTCACTGTTCTGATGGTAGCAAGCACAAAATACATAATATTTGTGTTACCACTTTAGTCTCCTTTGATTATAATTGGAGAGAAGGAATATGGTCCTTGCCTGATTCTGTAAATAGTTGTATTAGAACACAGCCATGCACCTTGACTTAGGTATTTTGTAGGGTGGCTTTCACTCTGCTGTGGCAGAGTTGAGTAGTTGTGGCAGAGACTGTATGTGGCCCACAAAGCAGAGAGCATTTACTGTCTGGCTCTGTACAAAAAGTGTTTGCCAACATCTGGTATAGGTTCTTTTCACCTTTTAGAAATCAGAAGAATCAGCTATCACATAGCTTGCTTGATGCATATGAATCGTAGAGAAATTAAATTCCATTTAGTGAAGAACTAAGTTAGTTGTGTGGATTTATTGTCTGTAGCCACTCCTTTAATTATATACCAAAATCAGAATTTCAAATGAGAAGTGGCAGTTGTAGCATCTGGGGATAAGCAAATGTGTTGGTTTTTTTTTTTTTTTTTGGTTGATTGTAGAGTCATGTAGTCAGTTTGTATTTAGGATTTAAAATTTGCAGTGTAATTGGTACTTGTTTCCCACTAATAAAACTTCGATGGAAGATTATTGTGAATAACCATTTTCCTTTTCTAGCCTTTTTTCTTTGGTAAGAGCTCTTTTTGATTAAATCAATTTGTTTATAGTTAGAGGGATCACTTTTACTGACTATTTTATTGTAACTTATGGAAAGGGCAGTACATTGTTAGCTTTTTCTGATTGGAATTTTTCGGCAGGTGGGACAGTGGGGGAAGAGCTCTGACTCTAGAGCTTGGTCTCAAATTCTGACCTGACTCTCCTGTGTGACCATGCACATGGTACTTAATCTTTCTGAGTCTCAATTTTCATCTCTAGAATGAGGATAATAGTAATTTTCTTAGGGATGCTTTAAATGATTACATGAAATGGTCTGTGGAAAGCTGTTTAGTATATTGTTTGGCCTGTGGTAAGCACTCAGTAAATGTATAGCTGCTGTTGCTAGGATTAGTTTTATTCAGTATAAGCAAAAGAAATGACTAGTTTCCCTGAAGGGGTAGATTTTTTTTTTTTTAATAGTATTGTACCTTAAGTAGTAATTTAAAAAATTATTTCCTGTAAGAGAAGATATTGTTCTATAAATGAGATTAACCCACATTGATATTTTTAAACAACTTAATATTTTCTATAAAAAATAACAGGAGAAAGAGAAAGAGTTAGAAAGAGAACGAGAAAGAGACAAGAAAGATAAAGAAAAATTGGAATCTCGCTCCAAAGACAAGAAGGAAAAAGATGAGTGTACTCCGACAAGGAAGGAAAGGTATAACATTTCTCATATTTAATTGCATATACTGGTTTCAAGATTTGCAGTGGTGTTTTATAATACTTTCATCATTGATGCCCGCAAACTGGAAGTGTTTGTTCATGATAAACTTGTTTGGGTCCTGCTTGCAGAAGGCAGAAATAGCGGAGAAATGGGGCATTTAGTTGGCACTTGACTTAGTTAACCAGGGCATCATCCCTTCACATGGTTTATATGGTATCCTTAGCCTTAGTTCAGTGCAAGGATTCAATTACAGTATTAGATATCAAACCTGAGGTTTAAGTAACAAAACAACTTGCTAGATTTTCCTTGTTGCATCCAATTTAAGCATATTTTCCAGTATCTGTGCTGAGGCTGCTACTTGTAAACTTGAGTCTTAGTCTTATCTTGAAAGGAGGTTGTATACATAGGCCAAAGCTCACCTTAAGTCTTCATTCTAATCAAAAGCATTTCTCTTTCAGTTTTTATGTCTTACTCTCACGGTTCCTAAATCTCTGATTGAGTAAAGAAAATTGTTTCCCTTAACTGAACTGAGGTTTTCCTAATAAAAAGACCAAGCCATTGCAAATAAAAGTCTAGCTTAGTCACGCTACAGATAGTTACAAATAACAAGTTATGCCAATTGGTTAAAAGTCTGTCACTTTTTTGACTTTTATTACTATTTTGACATAGTTTTAGATTTATAGGAAAGTTGCAAGAATAGTATAATTGATAGTTACCCTTCACCCACATTACCCAAATGTTAAAGTATTTCTACTTTTGCTTTATTCTTCCTCTTCTGTCCCACCTCCAACCATTTAAGAATAATTTGCCAACATGATGCCCCATTCTCTTAACCACATTCAACATTTTAAAAAACTGATATTTAATCCAGAGACCTTAATTAGATTTTGCCAGTTGTTTCAATAACCTCTTATTGCAAAGAGAAAATCCAATTTAGTTGAATTCAGTTGTTGTCTCTTGACAACCTATCTTTAACACTTATTTGTTCTTGTTACAAAGGACTTTGAGTATTGTTAAAAGTAACATTACATGGTTAGAATAAAAGAGTAAGCTGGTAGCAATTAATAGCTAATTTAGTAAAGGAAAATGAATACCCGATCCTTTGCTCATTTATGGAATGTTTTGGGGGCTTTGTTCCATAGGAAGAGGCGACACAGTACATCCCCCAGCCCATCTCGCAGTAGCAGTGGTAGACGAGTGAAATCCCCATCACCAAAATCGGAGCGATCAGAGCGTTCAGAAAGATCTCATAAAGAGAGCTCACGGTCCAGGTCATCTCACAAAGATTCTCCTAGAGATGTTAGCAAAAAAGCCAAAAGGTAAATGCAAGTCATTTTTGCTAATATTTCAGATACCAGTTTCCTTGTCATTTCATCAGCTTTTGAAAATAATTTGGTTGGCATACATTTTTTTTTTTTTTTAAGGATTTTAGAAAACCAAAGAGATACACTTTCATTTTTGGTTATTCCTCCCCACCTCCTCATCCCAATCTCTTTCATGACTGAAGTGAAGGCTTCCAACAAGTGAGGACCAGCCAAGAATTTTAAACATCATATCCAATGTTTTCTGTGGAATAGGGTTAGCTGCTTTACTTTTCGTTCTGTTCTTTAGTTTCTATAGAATATTATTTGATTTTTGTCAAAGCTGAAAGAAACACACATTTTTCCCCCATAGCAATATTATTAGCAAGTTCTTGGGTAGATATTTTTGGAAATACATATCATGAATACCATTTTTTCAGTATGTATTTTAGTATTTTGTATACTTTTTTTTCCTTTAGTTCCAGAAAAATGGTTCAGAAATGTTTTATTTATCTGGTGATACATAGAGGAATTTTCCTGAGAGCTAAAACTGCTTTGTATGCTAATACTTTATTATTGTAACTATTTTTAGTAAAATCTTTACAGAATAGATACCTTTCTCCTTTTCTAAATGGCACCTGTATATATATGTATGTATGTGTTATATATGTATGTATATGTACATGTATCTTTATTGGTTTAAGTAATCCTTCATGAACAGCACTTACAAAATTATGTCTTAAATGATGCCCTTGAATGATACTGCAGTAGTTGTTTGCTTCAGGATGATAAACTTCAAAGCTGCTGTGTTTTTTAAATTTTGTGCATGATCTTAGGTGCAACTTTGAACTTTATCTTGTAGATTAAAGGTTCAAATTTGGGGGTTATCAGTCACTTATGGAGCTTGTTAAAAATGCAAATTCTTAGTTCCATCCTCCAGAGATTTTGATTCAGTAGAGCAGTGATAAGGCACAGAAATCTGTCTTTATAAACAAGCGCTCTACTGATGATCATTGATGCAGTGCATAGTAAGTACAAAATAATCTGTGTGTGTGTGTGTACAATAGAGTTTAAATTTTAGAAGTTCATAGTCTTATTGCAGTGATTTTTCACTGTGCCCTGTTAAAGATCATTTTCGATCGTTTAAGGATAAACAGTTTTGATCACATGAGTACTTTATCAATTGGGATTTTTTTGTTTGTTTCCTTAGATCACCATCTGGTTCAAGGACACCTAAAAGGTCTAGGCGATCACGGTCTAGATCTCCTAAAAAATCAGGAAAGAAGTCCAGATCCCAGTCCAGATCTCCACACAGGTCTCATAAAAAGTCAAAGAAAAACAAACACTGACGTAAATTTTTAAGATGCTGTCACTTATTGGAAATGCGATTTGTTTTGTGCCTGAACGGTCTGTTTTTTAAAAAAACAAAAAATCAAATGAAAGAGCATTCCTGGGGTTTTTTGTTTGTTTGTGTATGCATGTGTAAACTCATGAGCAACTGCATCTGTAGATCTGTCATTGTTTTATATTGTGTAAATTACTTTCATTGTGGCTATTTCTCAAGATGAAATTTTTATTGTTCTAATGGATTTCATCAGAAATGTGTATAATGGATCTGCTGACAGTAGTAGTATTTTGTTTTAGGATGTTGTGACTTAGCAAAAATAATACAGATGTCTTCCCCCCTTTTGTAGCTTTGACAATTTGAATTAGATTTCAAATAAAATCTGAACAGAAAACTATAATGTTGTTTTTTTGCCCCACCGGTGATATTAAGTCCCTTAAAGTCCTACTGAGTTTCACACTACTGTTGTGCTTCTTATACCTGATGCACTTTATAAGCCCCAGTGTTCAAGTAGCTTAAGTTTTATATTTACTAAGATGACTATCCAAATTAAGGGACCTGAGACTCCTATTTGGTGGTTTGCTAACCATTTGCTTTTGATAAGTTTCTCTTGGGTAATACTAATACCCAGATATCAAAGACTAGGTAGATATGGCATGGCGTTTTGTTAGTGGAATGCCTGGCTAAAACATTTTTTTCACAGAAGCAATATGATTTCCATACATCCAACCCATGTTCTGAGCAACTACTTACTTTTAGGGGGAAATTAAATATCTTTTCATTTCCTCTTCTATTATGAAAGAAGTTTATTTGTAAAACAAATTTTCTAACAAGGTTTGGCCATAGAATTCTCTTGTATGATCGTTGACCTTTTATAATCTTCTGTAGGCTATCTTTCAAACACTGGCATCAGAATATTTTTTATAAGTTTGTGTTTAAACAGCTTAGTTGGTCCCCCCCCACTCCCAAGAGACTTGGGTTTAGTTATAGCTTTAAGTAAAATTTAAAAATAAAATGTTTTTCAGGAAACTTCGTATCTAATGGTTTGTAAATTCAAGGTGCAAAAAGTTGATTTAAACCATTTGCAGAGTTGAACTCTATTATGAAAATAAATTTGCTACGGTATGAGGAAGAAATAAAACTTGTGTAATGTTGGTCATAATACTGCTATAAATATAATAAAGGGTTATGTAGAATTGAACTGACACTATTATTTGTGAATCTTGATTTCAGTTTTTTATGTAGGCACTTCATACACTGGTTTGATGGGTTTTTTTTTTCCTCCCTAAAAGAGAAAGTAGAAAACTATTCTAACAATGGATTATTTTGATTTAGCTTGCTTTTTAAAAAAATCTTTTCAACTTGTTTTACTTAATCTTGCCTAGTCACAAAATAAGATGTGCACCCATGGTTTGGAGAGTTCCTATATTAGCTGAGCAGTGAGATACACTATTTCCAAACGGTGCACACCTACAGTAGCTTTGGAAATGAGCCAATCACTGTTTTACTTAATGGTTCTTATCAGCATGCAAATATTGCTTGAAAGTTATTTCCTTATTCACTGTTTTGTTAGTCCATTTTGTTAGGAAACATTAATTCCTAAAAATTTGTTCAGAATAATTAAAAGTGAACATTTGGTGCTGATACTCAAAAACCTACAAATGTAGCCATTTAAAAAGTAACATGTTTTTCTCCCCTGCTCATTGCCTGGGAGAATGGAATTTTATATAACTACCTTTCTTTGCAAAAATAACGGTCGTGTCGAGTTGGTGGTGATTTTGGCATTCCATCTTGCACTGGTTTCTAGTATAGGCTTAGAAATAATTGGTCAGGTAATAATCTTTCCAGTCAAGTTGCAAGGGATGCTTATTTCTCTTCAAAAAAAGACATCCTGCGGGATTGAGTAGAAAATTTTAGGTCAGTTTTGGGTGCTTATTTGTAATATTTTTCCTACTACATTGGAGTTTAGCAGTTCTTTTTTTCTGGATCCAGATACAAGTGTCATGGTTTATCTTACAGTGGGTGAAACTGACTTTCTTTTGGTTGGGTGGGTGAGGATTTCTTAGGCCTGATAGAATATATATTCTGTGAAGTTTGTTAATGTACATATTAGATTGTATTGGATTTTTTTTTCTTGAATTGCAAATGGTATTATTAGATAGGTTATTTCCAGTTTTACTTCATGACAAATTACCTAGAGTAAACCTACTTAATACTCCCATGGATTCTATGAAAGTTTAATGGGATCAGAAATTGGTGACTTATAAGGGGGAAGATATTCTACCATATTTTTATAATAGCTTATTATTCATGTTTCTTGTCTGAAGGACACTCAAGTTACAGAGCAAAATTTCTATAGGTTGACTAGAATGTTCATAAGCATGGTCTTCCAGTTGCAGGAAAGATCATGTTCTATCTGTGGACACTTACTGTCCTCTACCACAGCTACGTGCCAGAGTTGTTTTCCACAGTTCTTATAAAGGGCATGACTTAGGCTCTTTACCCTCCAACTTAATGTTTATACACAGGGATTGTTTACTAGGTTAATGACATTTAACTCCCCTCTCTTCTGTAGGTGAGAGAAAATAAGTAAGTCTTGATCTGTTTCTTACCAAAGAGAGACAGACCTATGATGGAAAATGATCACGTCTCTGAATTTTTTCTTTAACGTTATAGTTCCTTATTACAGATAGTAAGCATATGGGAATTTCTGAGCTATAACATGTTGAGAAGTTAGAAATTAAAACTAACACAACAAAAGGCGCTGAATCAAAAGATCTTTGCTTTTATTTGGCTCAGAATGTTTTTGGCTTTTCTGCTAAAGATGGCAGAAATTACTCTACACAGACCTGATTTTTCTTTATTGCAGACCATTCTTGTGGGCTTACCCTGAGACTTTTATCCCAATTAGTGAATCTTGGAGGGAATACTTGCTTATTTATGACTTAGGTATTTCCCCCCAAACTTTAATATTCTTGAGCACTTGAAAATACTTTTGAGAAATTTTAACTGTGATTAAATTTAGGTTTATTAGAAATATTCTGTACACATTTGCCTCCATGGTGGCGTAAGTTCTGAAAAATTATATGACCGTGACAATAGTTTATCATCATCATTATTGTTATTCAAAATAAGGGTAAATAAATCTCTGTATTGCCAAAGTGACTTAAACTGTTCTGATGACCACACAGTGTGATTTCTTTAGCAGAGAAAGTTGGTTTTAAAAATAAATAGTACCACTTTTCTAAGACTGTACAGTTTACAAATAAGGTTTTTTTCTTTGTTGTTTTCCTCTTCTATTAAGTTTTAGTGAAAAGCCTAATTACAGAAAATTGTGCAGATACTAGTGAAGATACTAGTATAAGTTTAAAGGAACACGTGACTGTAAAATCTCACATTTACAAAGTGCTTGATCTCTTCATATTTCACACGCATGTTTTAGAATAGATTTTAGGGAGTGTTTAATTCATTATCCTTTTGACTTAAAATTTTTGTTACCAACTTCCTAGGACTTAGATAATATATAAATAAGTACAAATCCCAGGGGAAGTGTTGTGATGCTAGACTAAAAGGTGGGAATGTGCTGCTGTTCCGTGAGCCTTGTTCCATTGTTGAAAATTTGATGCCTCAGTGTTTATTCAGTACCACCTCATGGAGCTTCAATGTAAATGGATTATATGTATAATTGGTAATTTGTATAGTTTTGTAGATTGTAGATTAAATGCACTCATCATGTCACATGTAATTGTGCTTGGAGTATTTGTGTTTTATTCTTTTACTTCAACGGGTTCTTGTCTGTTACATCTCTGGTGATTTGAAATATCAGGAAAGACAGTTTGTCAGAAATGAGAATAATATAGTTGAAATCAGTTGGGCTAAAATATTCTACAGCAAGACAATTTCTTTTGGGTGAACTGATTCTATAATTTACTTACTTTTAATGTAAGGATTAGATTTATTGTTGAGCTGCTTTCCAGATCAGACTGTCACTTTATAGTTTTTCTACATAAAGATTATATAGTTGCAAACAAAGGTTGTGAAATTTCCCTTTTGTTGTTTTTGACTTTTAATTAATAAAAGTACATTGTTTTCATAGCAAACTTAGACTGTCCATGTAATTTTCTCCATATTGTTTTTCCGATGCAAGCCCAGTTAATAATTAGTTTTTTAGCAGCTTTCTCTCAAGTGAAATAAGTGATGTGACATGTTTATCAGTTATGGCTAAAATGTTACACTTTACATGTTTAAACTATAATCATATGTTTTCATGCTAGATGGTTCTCTTGGTTAGGAAAGTTCATTTCCTTATTGGTTTCCTTTTTTAAAAGTTATTTTATTCTGTTTAATTGAGGAAAATTTTAAACATTCTACAAAAGTAAAATAGTACAGTGAACCTTACATACCATAAACATGCAGATAACAACTTACATGTATCTCTAAATACTTTGTTTTTAAAACATACCTGCAGTGTCATTGTCACATTAACAAATCATTGGGTCCTTTTAAAAAATGACATTTAGTTATTTTAATTGTGAGAAGATGCTCATAACAAAATTTACCTCTTAACAAAGTGGTGTTAGGTATACTCATATGATTACGCAATTTCCAGAACTTTTTTTGTGTTGCAAAATTGAAACTCTGTACCCATTAAACAACTCATTTCCCTCTTCCTCCCCTGTCTCTCAGTATCATCATTCTACTTTCTGTTTCTGAATTTGACTACTCTAGATACAACATATAAGTGAAATCATACAGTATTTGTCTTTTTTTGCGACTGTTTTATTTCACTTGGCATAATATCCTCGAGGTTCATCCATATTATAGCATGTATATTGTTTCCTTTACAAAGCCCACTTTTTCTTTAAGTTTCCATATTATGGAATTTGAAAATGATTTAGCCCAAATGGTTCATTAGTATTTTCTATTTTGAGTAAAAACTTCAAAAGAGAACATGTAATACCAAGTGTATATGCCAACTACTCCACTTTCTTTATTTTTTAACCGTCTTCACTACTTTTTGTGCTCTCTGTTCTCTTTAATGGTTACATATGATGTACTTTGATATCAACACTTCATAGCATGGGGTAAAAAATACACTTTTGAAGCAAACTGATTTTGATATTTTAGTGGATTAGTACTATTGATGACCATACTTGAATGCTTTTTTAGTTTTATGTATTGCCCGATGAAAAGAAAACTTAAAATTTTGACATGTAGTAAACTCACTGATTATTCATTTTGTCACAGAGAAAGGAAAAATAGCTTTTTAAATTTTTTTTCAAGTTATTTTCTCTCATCCTTAGGAAACATAGTGTGTCGAACTGTTTTAGAATAAATAACTTACTTTTGATTTTCAAACGAGATGTGGCATGGCACAATGGTGAAGGAAGAGGAAAGGCCTGGGCCGTGAAGTCATATTTGGATTTGTGTATCAGCTATTCCCTTTTATCACCTAGAAGGAGGGGATATTAACCTTGAATGGTTATTGAAAGGATGAAATCACATGTATATCACTGGCACAGGGTTGTCATACAGTGGTGCTTAGATAAATATTCATTATTCCTGAGAACTAATGGTGGGAACATCTTATAACTAAAACAAGATAAAGAATAACAGTATAATTCCATAGCACTGATACCTTTACAAGATTTCCTTATACTTGATTTGTATTCAGTTAACAGATTTTATAAATAAAGTTGGTGATATGTTGGCATATTTATTGCATATGGAATACCACTTCATAATCTGCTTTCCCAGTGTTTTAGATGACATTTAATTCTTGATCTCCTATGAGAAAAACTATTAAATAGATTTTAAAATATACTTTTTATTAGTTGTCATTTATTATTGTGAATTCCCCTAACCAAAGTTCCTGGAAGGAGGAATCCCATAAAGGAAAATCTAAATGTAAACAGCTGAAATAGGGGATATGTGGAAAAAGCCTGGAGAATAGTATAAAGTGTGATGAAGCACTGGATTCTTTGTCAAAGTTCAAAGTAAAAGAAAAACCTGTACAATTATCAGAGCAGAGCAGCAGTATGCAGTTTTCACAAAATGGGTGGACAGAAAACAATCCTGTAAGAATTAAGAAGAGGGCTAGTATTATGAGTACAACTGAACTCCTGTGTTTTGTGTATGTTTGCAAGTTACAGTTTGTATTTTCAGATTATTCAAGAATAAGAAATGTACCCTAAAATTACTTTTAGAGTAGAGTTCAAACCATACGGAATTTGGAAAGGAAATTACAGTTTAAATTCAATTCAGAAATTAACCGCTTTGTAGTAACGTCCTCAGGACACATCAAGTTCTTTGGAGTTCTCACAACTGCACAAATGTAAATCTGGAAGAGCACAACTTTGATTAGAAATACTCTTTCGTCCTCCAAATAGCTGAAACATTGTCTTTGGAAAGAATAAGCACCTTGCTATATAGTTTGGCTACCTAGGCCACTAAATATTCTTATTACATGAGGGTGGTATTAGATGATTGATATGGTTTCGATGTTTATTCCCTCCAAATCTCATGTTGAAATGTAATATTCCCAGTGTTGGAGGTGGGGCCTGGTGGGAGGTGTTTGGATCATTGAGGCAGATCCCTCATGATTGGCTTGGTGTGGTAGTTCACATGAGATCTGGGGGGAGCGTAGCACCTCCCCCATCTCTCTTGTTCCTGCTGTTCCCATGCAATATGCCTGTTCTCCCTTTACCTTCCACCATGACTAAGCTTCCTGAGGCCCTCACCAGAAGCAGATGTCAGCACCATGCTTCCCATACAGCATGCAAAACCGTGAACCAAAATAAACCTCTTTGTTTATAATTTGCCCAGCCTTGGGTATTTCTTTAGAGCAATGCAAAATGACCTAATTGTTTTTGTTTCAGCATATTTTGTTTTATTGCACTGTGCAATAGCTACTGGATGTGAGGGGTTTATTAAAAACTTCTAGAAAAATGCTTTTCAGATGGCTTTTGGCCGTGCTAACATTTTAATAAAGGATCTGTCATATCCTTCTAGAAACGTAAGCAGTCTCTCTCACAGGATGTAGAAAGGTATCAAAAGCCAAAAAACATTCTATGTAGCTATTTTATATTTTCTAATCACAATAACATTTAGCTAACATGAACTTAAACTGTAAATTTCAAAGTTACATATTATGTATAGCTTACATATTTCATAGGATGCTTATCCTCAACTTTGGATACATCTTATCTGAAGAATGTGTTCTCCCCAGAAAAATACGTAGCATGTCTAATTCTGTGCCAAATACTATATATGTGTAAGTTCCACAAAGCAAAAATATCAAGTATTTCTCAAGAGACATTTACATCTAAAAATACTGTTTTAATTCTGAATTGATTGCCCTGAAAGCATGTGTAATTTGCCTTAAATATTAGGTAGGTTAGAGAAAGTCTTTAAGCAGGGACTGATCTTTGTGCTTGTTTGTTCTCATGACTGACATGACCTGGAACTTGTAAAAACTCAGAATATTCTTTATTTGCATGTATTTTGT
This sequence comes from Homo sapiens, assembly GCF_000001405.40. Taxonomy (NCBI): domain Eukaryota; kingdom Metazoa; phylum Chordata; class Mammalia; order Primates; family Hominidae; genus Homo; species Homo sapiens. The sequence goes on from NC_000003.12 coordinate 143,063,954, forward strand.
AATAAAAGTATTATTTATCTTGCCTATTATGTAATAAAACCATGACTAATAATGTATGAAGAATGAGAGAACAGTTTGGTGTTAAGGTAAAGAATTACTGTCCACTGTATATTTCAGAGCCTATAATGCCATTCATAAGTTGCAGAACTCAACTGTCTAGGTGAGTTTAGTGTATTTCTAGAATAGTTTATCTTAAAATATTCTTCATGGTGAACAATCAGCATATATACTGATATTGTCCTCCCAGTGAGTGATTCTCTTCAAGTGCCATAGTGAAATTCAAAATATTAGCTACACAATCACCACTTCGTAGCTTTCCTTGTATCTCACATGTCCATATATAACTTAGATTATAGGGAAAAAGCCTTCAAGCTATTTTAGTGCCCAAGTGTACTCATACATACCCTTCTTTATTCCACACTTGGGCCCTTTGTCAAGAGTCCTTGCATAGCACCCACTTGATATGTCCTTGCATAGCACCCACTGGACATCCAAGGACCCTTGAGGGCCTTGCAAAGCTTATGACTTATGACTGTATGGAACATGGTTTACCTCTGGTGAAACAGACCGTTTTGATGAAAATAGAGGAGGATGTAATAAACTTTTGAAGAAAATAGAGGACTTGCCCTGGCCTACTTGCCTCTTCTGATTGCCTTGCAATGCATTTATTCTCCACTTTCTCTGCAACGTTTAGTTCTTTCCTTGCAGAGTGTTGGAGACAAGGTAAACGTGATCAGCTGCCTGGTCTTGGGTAAGGTGGTATTTTCTCTCTGTTAAATTTGTACAGATTCTTACGTTTGACTGAAACACTGCCCAATGCAAAAAGAAAGACTGGGGCAAAGAGATGAAATATTAGATATAATTACTTTCATAATCTTATATGTAAATAAATCTAGTTGCCAAACCTCAGGATCTTTGAGTTCTTCGGTTATTTTTTGTGGAATGTGATTTCCGTAGATTAATTTTGGACCTTGATCATCTTTAATGAATCTAGATGAGCTCATACAGAGCTTGAAAAGACAAAGTTCACAAAAGCAGAGTGCCTCTTTGAAAACCTGGCTTTTTGTTTTGCGTGGCCCAGCGGGACTTGCCCAACCATAGAACAAAATACCTGGACTCCAGAGATCCAAAGACTCCCTTCAGCCTTCAACCATTGCAAGGCAATCACTTCCCAGCTGTGTGGTCTCAGTCACGATGTTTAACCAAGGCCTTTTGAGCCCATTTCCTCATTTGCAGCGTGAGCATGCCATCTATTTTACAGGATTCTTCAACAAGTTGAGCATCTACTATGCACAGGCACTGGGGAAATACAGTGATGAATAGAACAGACAAGGTCCTTATGTCTTGGGACTTACATACAAATGGGAGGAATCAGACAAAAATTTGAACAAGATAATTTCAGATGGTAAAATGTACTGAAAAACAGGGTAGTAGGATAGAAAGTGAGGGAGGGGTACCTTTCTTAGATAGGGTAGTCAAGGAGAAACACTGGTGGTGAGGTTGAGTAAGAAGGTAGAGCTGGCTGTGTGAAGATAGAGCACCAAGTGTTCCAGGCCGAAGGTGCTGGAAGTTAGAATGTTTAGAGGGAGACCATGTTGGCGTGTTGAGAAATGGAAAGCAGTCAGTGGAGTTCAAGTGCAGTGAGGAAAGGATGGTGTGGTATGAGATGAGGTTAGGTAGGGCTTGACAGGTTTAAGCAAGGGAGTGAGTGACCTGATGTAGTTTCAAAAGACACTTCAGCTGCTGTGCAGAGACAGAATGGGAGAAGGACAAGAGAAACAGGGAAATGAGTTAGGAGGTTCTTGGCTGGGAAGATTAAATGGGATTATATAAATACAGTATCTAGCATGCCCCAAGCACATAGCAGCTCTCTAATAAATAATTTAACTCCTCATTTCCTTGGATCTTGTGATTCCTTTCCCTGCAACAGAGGTTGTATTCACCTTAAGATTAGCTTCACTTCAGTGCTGTTATACAGAAATCAAACCAGTAGATGATCAGGACATAGCACTCCTGTTGCTCTTAGGCTGGTATAGGAGGAAATTATAAATTGTGTTGACTACAGAAGCGTTAAAGCATTAAAGAATGCTTCTGTAGTCACTGGCACAACTACCTACTGCACTGTAGAGTGTTAATAGATGTTACTTGGAAAAAGGAGTTGTGTGATAAACTAAATTGGGAAATCCTGGGCTAAATTGGCTTTTTTATAGCAGTGCTTCTCAGAACCTTGAGTATGTACTGTGTATACCCAGGCGGGAGACATTACGTATTTTCCAAACGTAACTCAACTCAGAGGTCTAAGGTTCCACAAACATACTTTCGAAAACACTTTAGAACTGGGATTGGGCAGCTTTGTTTTTCAGAGTCTGATGATGTAATTAATGGGTTGGTTAGGTGTGTCAGGGTCTTTTGGTACAAACAACAGAGACCATCTGTAGCTAAATCAGGAAAAGAGTTCAGTGGAAGCCTATGGAGGCTCAGAGAATTGACAGTGCATCTGGAAGGCCAGATGTAGGAATCAGCAGGACAGGAGACAGTGGCAGGACAAGGAAGCCAGAATCACAGATGGGGGCAGTCTGGCCAGGCTTCAACCTTCAGCCTCTCTATCCATCTGCTGGAGGTTCCAGTTCTAGGAAGGCGGCACTTGATGGACCTAGCCTTTTGTGTTATAAACTTTTACAAAATGTAACTTTAATGACTACAAATGATCATTTACTGTAGGTTACTTTGCCAAGACCCTGTTGTTAGAAATTGGGTTGTTTCTATTTTTTTCTTTTCTAAGTAATGCCGTGATGAACATCACTTTGCATAACATTTTTGTTTTCATTCATTTAAAAATTATTGGAATTGTTGGGTCAAAGAATATAAACATTTCAAAGCTCATGTGATGCATGTTGCCAACTTGCCTTCCAAAAATGGACTATTTTTGACTTCTTCTAATGTTGGGGAATGGGTGCTTTGCTGCACCTTTGCCAGCACTGGGAATTTATGACATGTCATTTTAAAAAGTAATTCAAATTGGATGCAATTACTTGCTCCCAGCTGGGAATATTTCTGGGATCTATAAAACAGGGAAATTTTGGCAGGCTATAAAGATGACTGAAGTAACTGGTCTAGTCATCTGAAGAAATTTGTGAGTCTAAAGCAATCCCACCTGCCTCTTATGCCATACTGTGTGGCAGCCTTGTCCCTAGATCATAGATTGCTTTTGACAACCAAGATAGAAGGCCGAAGACTCCCAGTATGAATCTATTGTAACTGAGTTTTTTAAATAAGTCTCTATGCTATTTTTAGAAAAGAAATTGTATAATATAAACTTAAATGTAAGTCTTTGCGTATCTTCAGCTGTTTTCAGTTTTTATGTGTAATTTTGCCAGGTTAGTGTTTGTTTGCTGGCATATGGTCATGGGGAAACTTCTCCTCCCCTGTGACTCTTGAGCTGGAATGCTGTGGGATCCTCCTGCACTGGAAGTTAATCCGAAACTGGACCTTAATGTTCTTGTCCTCTAAATCTTATCTTGTGAATCATACTTCTCCTAAGCTTCCCACTCCCATCATCATGGGTGATGAGACACCTCCTACCTTCTGGGCCAAGGAGGAGCCGGGGCTTTTGATGGGGGTTTGCCCCTTTCCCAACAAGGGTCAGGTTAGGAGTGAACCTCCCTTAAGCCTCTACTCCGTCACCAAAGGTCAAGAAGAGAGACCTTCACTAATTAAAAACTGGTCATGAGAAAACCACAGACACCTAGCCCTCCCTCCTCTCCTTTCCCTTCTCTCAGCTTCTCACAACCTCTCCTATGTCATTTTCCTACATTTGACCAAGGATAACCCAGTCCTTCATCCCAGGTCATGCCAGTTATCACGAGAAGCCCAGACTCACAGGTTACCCCTCACCTCCGACATTCTCATGTTCTGTTCTTAGCAAAATTCTTCCTATCTTCATCCTCTTTTCTGAATGTTCCTATTACCTTCTGGTGTGATATCTGGACTCTGAAGTTTGGAGGACACCTGGGGAAGGTTTGTGGCCTCCATGTATAATCTCGTTTGGAAGTTTTAAGTTTGCATTCCCATGTGCAGGTGCAGCTAAAAGGCTCCCTCCCTTTCCGCAGTAGACATTGAGGTCTTCATGGATCAGGTAGCCCCATGCGCCTATGATTTCAAGGGTGATGAAAGATCCTAGACAACTTCCAGGGCATTTTCTGGACACATGCGTTTAAACTGGGTCAAAGCATCATGTTACCCAACAGGAATACATTCAGGCACTAATGCATTTGCATTCAAAAGGCAGCCTATTATCTCGAGAACGACCCTGGATCAGAGTCAGGCAACTTGGCTTCTTGCATGAACTGGCTGTAGGAGCTTGGGCAATTTACTGTCCTTGTACCTGAGTTTCCTTGAGTCAAATCACTGTTTCCCAGACACCAGTCCACCGACCAGCTACATCAGAATGTTATGGGGGGCTCTCAGAACTCAGACTGCCAGTCCCTACCTCTGAGATTCTGGTTCAGCAGGTCAGGGCCTAGGACCTGATGTATATATATTTTCTTTTAATTATGGAAAATTCAAACATATACAAAAGTAGAAAGACTAGTATAACATGACATGCACAGCCACTTTAATTTGTACTAAAATTCCATACATAATTTTAATTGTACATATTTTTGTATGTTTCTGTATAAGACATGGACTTTAGTGGCTACTTAATATCATGAAAAATCCTGATATTCTGAAATCTACAATTGTCTTACAAGGTTTTTTTGTTTGTTTTTGTTTTTGTTTTCAGTTTGCTTGAAGTCTTTCAAATGAAGTTCATGCATTATGATTAGTTAATATATCTCTTAAGTGACTTTTAAGCTATTGATGTCCCTCAGTTTCATTTTTTCCCCTTTAAACTTGTTACAGAGACTTGGTGGTTTGTCCACGAGACTTTCCCACAGTCTGGATTCTGCTGAACACCACAACCACCGCCCGCCTCCCCAAGTTTATTTTCTGTAGATCAGTAATTTAATCTAGAGGTTTGATCAGATTTAGTTCAAAAATTGTGGCACGTCTACTTCATAGATGAAAGCACTTCTTTCAGGGCCACATAATGTCTGCTTGTGTCTCTTTGTGACATTTGCAGCCATTGATCATCATTGCCTGAGTTCTCCAATTCATTAGGGTCACAACTGGTGATTCCTAAATTTATCATTTCTTTTTCACTTATAACTTGAGATAATATAGAGAAACTTCCTCACCTACTATTGACTTACTCCACAGTACAGTTCATATAAGAAAGGCAGCCTCAATGCTTGATTTTTTCCTTTATTTTCCAGTTTTCAATGTCACTTTCATGCTGGGATATTATTACCATTCTCTAAAGTGACCACTAAAGTTTTATTATTATTTTTAGTATTATTACAACCTCATGGATTTTATACTGATGTGCTTTATCCATCACAATTTTTTTTTTTTTTTTTTGAGACGGAGTTTCTCTTTTGTTGCCCAGGCTGGAAGGCAGTGGTGCAATCTTGGCTCACTGCAACCTCCGCCTCCCGAGTTCAAGCGATTCTGCTGCCTCAGGCTCTTGAACAGTTGGGATTACAGGCATGTGCCACCATGCCTGGCTAATTTTGTATTTTTAGTAGAGACGGGGTTTCTCCGTGTCAGTCAGGCTGGTCTTGAACTCCCAACCTCAGGTGATCCACCCACCTTGGCCTCCCAAAGTACTGGGATTACAGGTGTGAGCTACCGCGTCCGGCAATCCATCACAATTTTTATCCTTAGAATTCCCCTCTTTGGCCAATGAGAGCCTCTTCAAGTTGGCTCCTGAAGTCCCTTTGACACATGACATTACTCTTTCATAGCTTGTTTTCTGAAATGACAAATTCTCCAGCCTCATCTTGTACATTTTTTACTCCACACCTAAAACAACCATTTCTCCAAGGAGCTTTCGGGAACTCATATTATTTAAAGACTCTTCAGGTAATTCTGATGTGCAGCCACGTTTGGGAACTGCTAGGCATCTGAGGTTCCTTCCAACTCCAAAACACTTTTGTTTTTTCCTCTTGCTAATTAAAGTAGCAAACATATATTTGAAATGATTGTTAAACACTAATATGAAATAAAAAAATACTTCAATGATATATTCTTTTCCTTTGTGCATTGTGCTTTAAATTTGTACAATGTTTTAAATGCAATTTGACCAAATGTATTATGCTTTAAATATTTTCATACACTTTGACCCAGAAATTCTACTTTTAGAAATCTGGTCTAAGGAAATTTTTTTTTTTTTTTTTTTTTTGAGACAGGGTCTCACACTCTTGCCCAGGCTGGAGTGCAGTGGCACACACAGTTCACTGCAGCCTCGACCTCCCCTGGCTGAGATGATTCTCCCACCTCAGCATCCTGAGTAACTGGAACTACAGACATGTACCATCATGCCCGGCTAATTTTTGTATTTGTTTTGTTTGTTTGTTTGTAGAGACAGGGTCTCCCTATGTTGCCCAGGCTGGTCTTGAACTACTGGGCTCAAGCAATCCTCTCACCTCAGCCTCCCAAAGTGCTAGGATTATAGGCGTGAGCCACCACACCTGGCAGAAAACAATTTTTAAAATATAGAAAAAGAGGCATGCATCAGGGCTTATTTGCAAATTGTAAAACATTAGACATAGCTCTAACATCCAAAAATCGGGAGCAGTTTGTAAGACTGCTAAGAATTTACTGGAAGGAATATTATGAGGCCATTAAATGATGCCTGGGAGGACTATGCAGCTGTTGCACAATTGTATTTATGATATGTTAAAATATGCATACGAATAAAGTTTAAGATGGAATATATCAAAATGATAGTAGTAGGTTAGTAGACTTTACAGATGATTACTCCCTACACTCTGTCCTTTTCCACAATTTTTGCAAAAATTACTTAAAACCTGCATTTTAAGATTCTGTAAGTCTAATATTACATGATTAACTGACTTGCTGTCCTTTGTCATTTAGAAAGAACAGGGCTTAGGAAAGGAGGAGGCACAGAGTATAAGTCACAGTCCAAAGTTTGGGGCAATACCTGGGGAGTATTGGGACTGGAGGAGGAAGCGCTGGGCTGAGAAAGGCCGGTGGGTGTGACAGTGGACATGACTCTCCTGCCTTCCCTGCAGTTTTGCCTGAGCGCATGTCTTTGTTATGCTCACCAACTCATCAGCTAGGAGCAGGGCTTGGAATCTCTGAAAGTTCCTTAGTCTCTCTCTTGGACATCCCAGGCATTTCCCCACTGGGGAGTACTGTGGATTCATTTTCACACCAAGAAAATCAACAAATGCAGCTTGCTGGGGATGACTGTCCAGCCTGGCATGCTAAGGAATTTGGTAACCAAGGGAATCAATAACAATTTGTTTGGGCTTGTACTTTTAATGATTTAGACTTTGAACAAGCTCCTTTGGATTGTATTTATTGGTATATGAGGCAACTTTTCTCAAATCCTTTCTCACATCTGGAAGCCTTTCCCTGGCTTTCTCTCTCTTGACAGGAGGTGGCACCTGAGGTGAAGCTGAGTGGGAGGAAGGATAGAAGCCCTGGCTGGGACTGCTAGCACCCACCCAAGCCCCTTTGACCCCCATCTGCTGGCGTCTACTCCGCTTATCACCCTAGCATTTCACCCTCACGGGAGAGATGATGCTTGAGGGGTAAGGACGGAGAGGCAGACAGGAGCCACATTACAGAGGACTTGGAATGCCAGGCTGAGAATTTTGGACTTTCTTCTGTAAGAGCCACAGGAGCTTTTAAGCAAAGGAGTGACGTGGTCTGGCATATAATTTAGGAGAACCACTCTGGTGCAGACTGGGGAAGACGTTGGTGTGAGGTGAAACCAGCGTGAGGGCCGCCAAAGCTAGGCCAGGTAAAAGGCCGTAGGTAGTAATATGGTAGAATGGTAGTAATATCCCAGCATGAAAGTGACAGAGCTGGCTGCAGCAGAAAGGATGGGATTGATTCATCCATGGAGGAAAAGGCTGCTGTTAGTTACCAAATTCTGTTGTCTTTTCCTCCTTGGCATGTGGCTGGACCACTTGTCCTATGGCTGCTATAACAACCACAAACTTAATGGCTTGAAACAACATACATTTGTTTTCTTACAGTTCTGGAGGTCAGAAGTCTGACAGTGCTGGCAGGGCCGCTTTCTCATGGGGGCTTCAGGAGAGAATCCTTTTCTTTGCCGTTTCCACCTTCAAGAGGCCACTTGCATTCCCTGGAGTGTAGCTACTTCTGCTTTCAAGGACAGTCACTCCAACCTGTTTCTATCTTCATGTTTCCTTGTTTTTGATTTGTTCTGTTTTGTTTTGTTTGGCCCTCTTTGCCCACCTGTATAACCCAGTATCATCTCATATTAAGACTGTCACGCGCGTTCGTGTGAAGAGACCACCAAACAGACTTTGTATGAGCAATAAAGCTTTTTAATCACCTGGGTGCAGGCGGGCTGAGTCCGAAAAGAGTCAGCGAAGGGAGATTAGGGGTGGGGCCGTTTTATAGGATTTGGGTAGGTAGTGGAAAATTACAGTCAAAGGGAGTTGTTCTCCGGAGGGCAGGGCCCAGGGTCACAAGGTGCTCAGTCAGGGAGCTTCTGAGCCAGGGGAAGGAATTTCACAAGGTTAATCGCTCAGTTAAGGTGGGGCAGAAACAAATCACAATGGTGGAATGTCATCAGTTAAGGCAGGAACTGGCCATTTTCACTTCTTTTGTGATTCTTCACTTGCTTCAGGCCATCTGGATGTATACGTGCAGGTCACAGGGGATATGATGGCTTAGCTTGGGCTCAGAGGTCTGACAAATACTCTGACCTTAATCACTCCTGCAAAGTCTCTTTGGTACTTAAGGCAACATGCTCACAGGTTCACATAGGGATGAGGACATGGACATTTTTGAGAGCCCTTATTTTGTCTACTACACCACTGTTCCCAGTCTGGCCAGAGAAATGGGACCTCTTTTTCAGGCCTGGCCCACAAAACCTCCCTTGTCCTCCATGTCTTTCCTTTTCTCTGTGCTGAGGACCCAGAGGGGAAGCAGAGCCAAAAAATGGGGGCGCCTGGGGCCCTGGATGACCAAGCAAAAGGCTAGTCATTCATAACTGGAAATTTTCACTTTACAGTTTATACACTCTAAATTTTTAACATTCTTATTATCTCTTATATTATTAAGTATGTGTAGAATTTAAAAATACCGCTGAGGAACATACACACTGGGCCTAGTTCAGTGGAGAATAAGCCTCTGTGTTAAGCCGCTGTTTAGTCAAGATAAAGATAGGCTTGGAGTCTCCGATGGAACCCTTTGCCTTTGAGGTGTCAGGTGGGCATCCCAGTCCATATCCAAAGTCCAAATGTAAAAGTAAGAATACATCTGTTACCTCAGAGTGAAAAAATTAATAAGGCAATAGATCTAAAAGATCATAGATCTAAAAGATTCATAAATGTTTCTCCTCCTTTCTGTTTTTAAATTAGGTTTTCATAGGAACCGATTTCTGGGGAGAACAACATATTTTAGATGCAACAAATTCATCTGCAGTCAGGCTTAGATCAAGCTTCGTGAGAGGCTTCGCGGCAGTGGGGGTGGAAAATGGCAGGGATGAGACCATGATGGTGTAAGAGGGAAAGGGCTGGAGGAACAGGGCAGGGGTTTAGGGCAGCCCTCACTGGTGGTCCACGTTTCTGAAGGAAAACAGCTTTGGTTAAGGTCTGAAGTATTTTTCAATTCTACACATACTCAGAAATAATATGAGGTAATAAGAATGTTTAAAATGCAGCCCCCGCCCGGCCAGCCGCCCCATCCGGGAGGGAGGTGGGGGCGCCTCCGCCTGGCCGCCACCCCGTCCGGGAGGTGAGGGGCGCCTCTGCCCGGCTGCCCCTTCTGGGAAGTGAGGAGCCCCTCTGCCCGGCCACCACCCCGTCTGGGAGGTGTACCCAACAGCTCATTGAGAACAGGCCATGATGACGATGGTGGTTTTGTGGAATAGAAAAGGGGGAAAGGTGGGGAAAAGATAGAGAAATCAGATTGTTGCTGTGTCTGTGTAGAAAGAAGTAGACATGGGAGACTTCATTTTGTTCTGTACTAAGAAAAATTCTTCTGCCTTGGGATGCTGTTGATCTATGACCTTACCCCCAACCCTGTGCTCTCCGAAACATGTGCTGTGTCAACTCAGGGTTAAATGGATTAAGGGCGGTGTAAGATGTGCTTTGTTAAACAGATGCTTGAAGGCAGCATGCTCGTTAAGAGTCATCACCACTCCCTAATCTCAAGTACCCAGGGACCCAAACACTGCGGAAGGCCGCAGTGTCCTCTGCCTAGGAAAACCAGAGACCTTTGTTCACTTGTTTATCTGCTGACCTTCCCTCCACTATTGTCCTATGACCCTGCCAAATCCCCCTCTGAGAGAAACACCCAAGAATGATCAATTAAAAAAAAAAAAAAATATTTAAAATGTAGAGTGCATAAACTGTAAAGTGAAAATTCCCAGTGGCGATGGCTAACAATTTTTTGTTCAAGTTTCCTGAATTGTTTTTCTGTTCATGTACTCATACACGCATGCCCACCCGCCTCAACGTTTTCAACTTGCCTTTGATACTTATGAGATCTTGGGTATACTTCCTGATCATTACCTATAAATCTGCCTCATTCTTTAATTACTATTGAGAGACATTTAAGCTGTTGTTATTTTTATTTTTTCTTATTACAAGCACCGTAAGAGTGAATAGGCTTTGAGCACTGGGAGAGCTCCTCGGGGAATCTATCCACTGAAGAATAAATCTCTTGGAGTGAAATTGCTGCATCAAAGAGTAGGAACATTTTACAACTTTAACAGCCATTTAACATTTCCTCTAAAACTCTCATACCAATGCCCCTTTCTTGAGGGGCAGAAGTTGTAGAGTCAAGGAGGGGCTTGGAGCAGAGGGAGGATGGATTCTTGTTTGAAAACCTGAGGGAGACAGGAGGCTGGGGCCCAGAAAGAATCAGAACTCACTGCTCTGAATTGCAGGGGCCCAGGGGCCAAGCCCTGGGGAGAAGGGCCATGCTTGATCTAATGCTCCACTGTCACTGTATTGAAATTCTTAATTTTTTAAAGAGAGGCCCCACGTTTTCATTTTACACTGGGTCTCTGGAGGAAAACCGGGGCGGGGCCAGTGAGTACTTGTCCTTGTGGTGAGGGAGGAGCTGCATGGACCGCAGTTGGCTTGAAGTCTTGGGAAAGTTGGACTCCTAAGGAGGAGGCGCTCAGTGCACCCAGCTGGGGTCTGAGGGCCATCGACCCAAGGAGCAGCTGGACTGGGGGCCAGTAGGAACCTTTGTATATTGGCTCCCTTAGAGTATCCTAAAACAGTGCCCCAGTGGTTCTAGAGTGTGGTCCCTAAACAAGCGGCATCAGCATCCCCAGAAACTGGTTAGAAATGCAGATTCTCGGCCAGGCGCGGTGGCTCAAGCCTGTAATCCCAGCACTTTGGGAGGCCGAGGTGGGTGGATCATGAGGTCAGGAGATCGAGACCATCCTGGCTAACATGGTGAAACCCTGTCTCTACTAAAGATACAAAAAATTAGCCGGGTGTGGTGGCGGGCGCCTGTAGTCCCAGCTACGAGGGAGGCTGAGGCAGGAGAATGGCATGAACCGGGAGGCAGAGCTTGCAGTGAGCTGAGATCGGGCCACTGCACTCTAGCCTGGGCGACAGAGTGAGACTCCATCTAAAAAAAAAAAAAAGAAAAAGAAATGCAGATTCTCAGGCCCATAGACCTACAGAACCAGAAATTCTGGCAGGGCCCAGCAATCTGTGTTTCAACAAGCAAGCCCTCTGGATGATTTTGACAGGCGCTCAAGCTTCAGAGCCACTGTCTAAACCAACCCTGAATCCAAGAGGGACCTCTCAGGGTTGGTTTCTAGAAGAGCAACAGTCTTCTGGCCTCTCAAGGCAGAAGTGAGCCCTACGAGAAGACACTAAGGAGTCTGACTTTTCTCTTGCCCAGACCAAGGCTTCTGAAGGAAAAACTTTGGACCATTACAAGCCTCCTGAGAATGTTAACTTGCTTTTTCTCCCCCTCCATCATGAATGTAATCTACAGGGCTAATAAAATGTCACATAGGCCTCATTTCTGTGGGTCCCCTGGTGGATACAAGATATAGTCTATAATAAGTTCTCCCCACATAGGGGGATAAAGAAAAGCCATGGAAAGACGAATATTCTAAAAGACTTTTTAATGATGTGAATTCTGCTTTCAAGAAGCTAAAAGCCGCCGTGTTAGCTAATAGCTCTATGATCATATTTTAGACTCCTGGAAGTTACACACATCTAAGGTAAATATCTTTGTCAGGAAAGGGGCCTCGTGGGATGCACAGAATATGAGAATATTAGAATTCTAAAGGGCAGCTAGAGATGGTAATAAAGTTGTGTCTCATCTAGGAATAATTTTGAAAAATGCTAACGCAAATTGTAGAAACTCTCTGAAGAGTTAGTTCTTCGTGCTTTGGCCCAGTAGAATGAGTTATGAATGCACTGTATAGAATAGAAATTACAGAGCCATACTGGGTGTGGGGGGTGAGCCAAGGTCTGCACCATCCCCCTCCACTTCCCCACGAGCTAGGCAGAGCAGATGCCATTTGAACTTGCAGTGGCTGAAGCTCAGGGGGTTGCACACATTTATTTATTTTTGTTTATTTTTTATTTATTTATTTTTTAATTGAGATGGAGTCTCGCTCTGTCACCCAGGCTGGAGTGCAGTGGAACGATCTTGGCTCACTGCAACCTCTGCCGCCTGGGTTCAAGCGATTCTTGTGCCTCAGCCTCCCAAATAGGTTGGACTACAGGTGCGTGCCACCATGCCCAGCTACTTTTTTTTTTTGTATTTTTAGTAGAGACAAGGTTTTGCCATGTTGGCCAGTCTAGTCTCAAACTCCTGACCACCCGCCCCAGCCTCCCAAAGTGCTGGGATTACAGGCGTGAGCCACCGCGCCCAGCCACACACATTTAGAAACTGTGCAAAGGAAGTGTCCATTTCTGGTTGAGTGGAGGCCTTTCACTGTGCCCTGGGTTAAGGGCATGGCAGGCTGAGGGCAAACCTGGGGTGCCCAACTTCCCTACCCTGGGAGCCGGGGCACCACAGGCCCGTTACAGTCCTGAAGGGGAGCCATTTTTCACTGGACATTTCTGCGCTGTGGGGATTGGTCGGAGCTGGACCTTCCTCACTGCCTATCTTCTTTCCTTGGAATTCTACAAGCACTTTGTGAGCTTTCTGAACCAAGGCCCTCCCTCCAGGTGTGTGGGAGGATGGACAAACTCAGCCCGCAGAGTTGGAGAACAGTCTTCCTTTCCCTGCTCTCTGTTCCCCGTAAGAGGTGCCTGGTTTGTGGAGACAGAGGTCTGCAGATCTCTCTTATGTGTGCCCAGATTTTTATATTCTCTCAGCAGCACTTTCCCCTAAAAGGAATCTCTGGGTTTTCTATAGGCTGGCTGGCTGCAGCCACACCTGTGCCTGTTGGAAACATGTGCAGGCAGGTGGGTGACAGATTGATTCACAGAATTTTCTCTAAGCTGCAGGTGTGAAAAGAAGATGAACTCAGGGTATCATAACTGATGAAAAGGCTGCATGGATAGAATTGACTTTCCAAGTCATTGACACCAGCAGGAAAACATTAACTGGTCAGAGCAGCTTGTTGGGTCAAATGCCCCAGAGCCACTGGGGGCTCTTTTCCTTCTCCTTGGTGTCAGCCCACTGGCAATCTCTTGTTCATCTTCTCCAACACATTTGCAGTGAGAGGGGACATGATACTGTTGGACAGATTTGCAAATGAAAGTATGTGATATTCTCTAAAGTTTGTGGGCATCTTCTGGACCTTGTAAGATTAAAAAGAAAGTCTTTTTTTTTTTTTTTTTTTAAGACAGAGTCTCAATCTGCCACGCAGGCTGGAGTACAGTGGTGCAATCATGGCTCACTGCAGTCTTGTCCTCCTGGGCTCAAGCGATCTCCCTCCTCAGCCTCCCAAGTAACTGGGACTGCAGGTGTGTGTCATGATGCCTGGCTAATTGGAAAAGTTTTTTTTTTTTGGTAGAAATAGAGTCTCAGTATGTTGCCCAGCCTTAAAAAGAGAGTCATAATAAATTAGCCAGGCATGGTGGCGGGCGCCTGTAGTCCCAGCTACTCGGGAGGCTGAGTCAGGAGAATGGCGTGAACCCGGAAGGCGGAGCTTGCAGTGAGCCAAGATCACGCCACTGCACTCCAGCCTGGGCGACAGAGCAAGACTCCATCTCAAACAAAATAAAACAAAACAAAAAAAAACAGTCATAATAAAAGATTATTCTCCAGATACACTGCATTTATTTCTTTTTAAAATTTTCCCTTTTACGTGACCTTTTCTTTCAAGAACGGGCCTCTGATGTTGGGTTTCCTTGTGTCTGCTGCTTTTCCTCCTTCTGAGATCATTCTTTGTGACATGATCACCATGTCCCTCACCTCTACCTCAGATGCTGTGATTGGTGGTTGCAGGTGGTGAGAAGAAAACAACTTGCACGGATGAATTCTTGAGACCTGGGCCCTGTATTTATCTCAGTGGCTTCAATACAGGGCAGGGAAGCTCACAGAAGTTGTGACACACAGGTGTAATTATGGCTAAGTGGAATGCTTTTCAAAACTTTAGATGGCATTGTTGGGTTTGTGAATAAACTCTTTTCTGCTCCCAGGTGGCTCCCAGGAGCAGAGAAATTCAAGCAGGCTGTTGTGTAGGCTGAATTCCCACCTACTGCATGGAGAAACTGGAACATGGACATGGAATAGCATTTCTGCATGGAATCTGTTTTTTTTTTCTTCTCTGGCTTTGAAATTTGCATTTCTTTTAGTAAAATAAGCTGGTTCAAAAACGTGTACACACCCTTGTTTTGTCCATGTCACTTAACAATTCCAAAGGATTTTGCATTTTTACAGGTTTTTTTTTTCTTTCAAGAATTCAGTGAAATAGAGCTAGTGTTAGCAGCTCCATATTTTAGTTGGGAAACTGAGGCACATTCTAGGCCTGGCATCTTATCTAAGCACAGTCTCTCTCCACTGTGTGAATCACAGTTTAGTGCTGTCCAAATCAGGGTTCTTCGTTGCATGCAACAGAAACTGACTCATGATGACTGAGAGAAAGAGAATTGCTGGGCAGATCTGGGAATTGCTAGGAAGGCAGGAGAGCCAGGCTTGGAGAATGGTGGAAGCAGAGGCACTGCAGCATGGACGCTCAACTGCCACTGCTGCCACTCTCAGATCAGATTCTCGTCTGCTCCTGTCCCTGCATGGCTGACTAGCCAGACGGAGGGCACAGGCTGGGCCTGGGTGCAGAGGAGCCCAGGAATGCAGTGTTGGCTCCTCTTTGGCATCTCCAGTGGGATATGGACTCTGCTCTCCTATTGGGGAAATTTCCAAATATGGGAAACTGATTTGGTTACTGATGTATGCTCAAATCTTTTGCCCATTTCTTTCTTGGGTTGATAACTTATTAACAAAAATTTCTTTCTAAAAAATTCTTCTGTAACATCTGTCTTTAGGAATTTCTGGGAAACAAAAGCATAAGGAGTGGAAAGCCAGCTTATCCCCAAGCCATAAATTTAACATTATATACATTTCTCAGACTAAAATATTTATGGTCAGTTGTATGTTACACAGGGTTATTTGGAAAATTTTGGTGTGTAGAATTAATAAGGAGCCCTAGGATGCCTTGATCTCTCATTTTCTAACTGTCAGGCACAATCCCAGAGGTGAAGGAAAAATAATTAAACAATGGAAGAAAAAAAATCTCATTTGCTGTGTTTTGATTTTCAGAAAAGATAACGTTCTAAAAGCCATAACCTCAGGAAACTAAGAAACAGTTTCTTATTTTGAATCAATTATTTTAATCTGTTAGTTTTTCTGTAATTATAATAAAAACATTTAACTGAGAGTACATTGATCCGGTAGAGTTTCGTACCACTTGCTTTAAATTGCACAATCCCGTTTTTCCCACCACATCAGTTAAAATGTATTGAACATTCATTACAACCTATCATTAAGGAGATGTATAAAGACCCAATCTTGAAGTGTTTAGCAATTAGGTAAAGTGGGTTGGTTCCCCATGAGAGCGCTGCATTTAGCTACCACATTTCACAGAGGAGCAGGGCTGTTTAACCTCCCTGCCTATAAAGAAGACAGGCAAGGACCTCACCACTTGATTTCTGGCTTGATAATCTAGTCAAGATATTTCACACTTTTCTAATGTTCACATGTTGGATTTCCCTGCTGCCTGGGCCCACCACCATTCTATATTCTGTTTTCTTCCTTATCCATTCCCTATTCAAACTCCACATCTACCTGACAGCCACTGGGCAGTGGCCTCTGTCAGCACATTTTATGAGAAAGGGGAAGCAGCTGTCTAGTCCTTAGAGCCTCAAAAGACCAGTGTTAGCCAAATGCGAAACAAGGGAAAACTTGGAAAGCTTGCAGATCAAGACAACAAAATCCAAAGACGCCTAGGGGAAGTCCAGGCTTCTGGCTGGAGTAGAATTTGCTAAAGTTAGAACGATTCTATGGTCCGCTCTCAAGTAAATGCTTCCATTAGTTCAGTGATAGGCTTTCTTGTGGAAATCATGTAGACTTGCATCTGCGAACCCAGTGACCAGTGTTGTGTGAAGAATTGGTTTCTGTGATCATTAAGATCTGTTTATTAAGATGTGAGTTTGTGGAACTGTTGTATTGAAAGAGTAGGAATCCTGAGGACTCATAAAAACAAACAAACAAACAAACAAACAAAAAACTCCACATTTTTCACTTTGGGAGGCTGAGGCTGGAGGATCACTTGAGCTTAGGAGTTTGAGATCAGCCTGGGCAGCCTAGTGCGACCCCTTGTCTACAAAAAAATTTAAAAAATTAGCCAGGCATGGTGGTATGTGCCTCTAGTTCCAGCTACTTGGGAGGCTGAGGAAGAAGGATTACTTGAGCCCAGGAGGTCAAGACTGCAGTGAGCCAAGATCGTACCACTGCACTCCACCCTGGGTGACAGAGTAAGACCCTGTCTCAAAATAAAAACAAAAAATGCCACATATTTTCTCCTCTTGCCCCTCAACCCCCTACAAGTGCTCTCTTCTCCCACTTCTCCCCATAGAAGGAGGGAGAGGAAAACATACACATCTCAACACTAGCATTCCTCAACGTCAGCTCTTTAATACCCTCAAGGTGGTATTGGGCTGATTGAAATTCCTGATCTCTTCTTTTGCAAGTCTTGTGTGAGGGATCTGTACCAACCTGTGAAATGTGGGAGTACTTGACACCTATTGACTCCAATGGAGCTTTGACCAAAGCTGACCCATTTCATCCTATTGGGTCCGTGCATGCAAATTATCATCTTTACCACCATCATCATCATCACTACATTGCCCAACTTGTTTTGTATCATATTTAATCAAAATTCCAAAAGCAGGAAACATTGCATAAGAGAAAGTGGGTAGAGTTTCGGAAGTAGTGATGCAAAAAATAAAAAACAAGTATGGATACATAAAATTGGAATAAGGCTAAAAACCACACACTTAACATCAGTGGGCCAAAATTTGGTTCTGAGCTTTTGAGTCAAACCAGGAGGAGTCCAACTGGTCTTAGAATGTGAGCCAGAGGGATATTTTTGGAGTTCAGGTAATCAGTAGATTGTGATGATGACAGCATTTCTCATGTATTTAAATTGAATTTGCTTTTAAAAGCTAGACAATTATAATGCTATTAATTTCCTCTATTGCTCACCCTTCCTTCTAAAAAGCTCCAACATTAAATAAATGAACATAAAAATCCCCCCAAAAAAACCAAATCTGCCCAAGACACAAAATTATTTCCACCTTACATGTGAAGTTGTGAACTATCCTACCCATGAACATTGTTACAGAGGCCATTTTCAGTAAAGAGGAAACAAGAGTCCTCTCGTGGTGAACAGCAGTTTTTTGATTGTGCAGTATCCATTCCATAATCGCACCCAAGGGGTGGGCACGGGATCCAAGCAGGCTGATGGGAATTCCCTCGCTGGAATTTGAATCGCAGAGTGATGTAGAGACAGAAAACGCCCAGCTGTCATTCATCCAGTTTCTGCACCTCGGTGGGCTGGAGTCCAGTCTCTGAGGCCCCCCACCCCTGGCTAGACCTACTGACCCTGTCCTTTGTGAGCTTGGACCTTCTTCCTTCTTCCCTCTCCTGTGAGACTACCAGCCTCTCCCTGCCCCCCTCAGCCTCCTATAACATCTTTTTTTACTTACGATAATCAGAGACTCAGTTCCTGTTTCTTGCAACCCAAGTGTTCTGACTGGTATGCTTTCAATACGGTTTCAGAGTGAAATACAGTCAGTGGGATGGTTTTAGGTGGCACACAAGGAACATTTACATTTTTCAGTTATGTAATTATTTTAATGCACATTGCGAAAAACTATAAACAGCACATCAAACCCACAATGTCATGGGTATTATTGCTTAGAATGACTTCAATACATTTATTTAAGTCGAAAAGTGAGTCATTTAAAAGGAAAACGCTACGTGATAGTACAGGTGTCCCTGGCTATGGGGGAGAAACAGTCTCAAATGTGCTGTGCAAATAGCTTGCAGAGGCCATGAGGACGTCACATTTTTGTAAGAGAGCGAGCGCTAGATCTGAGTTTTGAGGAGTTCCTTCTACCATCGTGGGACACGGTGAGAGATGAGTGGTTGGGGAGGTCAGAGCTGGGGGGAAACCTCCTGC
This sequence comes from Homo sapiens, assembly GCF_000001405.40. NCBI lineage: Eukaryota > Metazoa > Chordata > Mammalia > Primates > Hominidae > Homo > Homo sapiens. The sequence goes on from NC_000003.12 coordinate 143,082,678, forward strand.
CATGGCCCAGAGAGAGGGACCAGGCATGGACTGGAGAGAAACGGATGGCTGCCCTGAGCCTCACAGATGACCCTTCATCCTCCTCCTCCTTGGCTGGCAGGCATAAAGCAGATCAACCAAGGTCCAGGGGAGGAGGGGCGCTTCCAGAGCCCTCCCGGGGTTTCTTTTCTTTCTCCGTTTTCCCTTCTTCCTTCCCCATTTCCTTCCCTTATCATTGAGTGTCCCCTAACCACCCCCCTTCCCCCACCTCAGGCCTGTCTGGCTTCGCTGGCTGAGCGGCCCTTGTGGTGGTTATGGCAGGTGTGAGGCTTTAGAGGCCATCCTGCCCTCAACAAGGGGATGGCTGTGGAGCATCATCCCAATTCTGCAGCCTCTCATCTGAAGCTCAGGCCATCAGGAGGGAGCCCTCAGGCTTCTCTCTGACGTTTCTTCCATTTGTCAACCTCTCAGCTCCTCAGCTCAGGTCACAGACAAGGTGGAGGAGCCCCCAGCACGTTTAGGCAGGCTCTTTCCCTGTCACCCCTCACCACCCCGCACCATACACTAACCTGGAGGTCTCCTGGGTACTTTGCCAAGTCAGGGAATGAGAAAGGTCTGACCCTGTGGCTTCAGGCTAGAACTCTCCCCCATCTACTTGGCTCTGGTCCCTGAGCCAGCTGCCCATCCTTCCAGGGCACAGTGGATGCAAACCCCACAATACCCAGTGGCTTCTTTAGCACAGACATTGTTCTGTCTATATCAAGACCCCAGAACCATGTCCGTGCTAAAGAAGCCACTGGTTTTATTGTGGGGCTTTATCTTTTTTTTTTTTTTGAGACCCAGTCTTGCTCTGTCGCCCAGGCTGGAGTGCAGTGGCATGATCTTGGCTCACTGCAATCTCCGCCTCCCAGGTTCAAGTGATTCTCCTGCCTCAGCCTCCTGAGTAGCTGGGATTACAGGCACCCATCACCACGCCCAGCTAATTTTTTGTATTTGTAGTAGAGACGGGGTTTTACCATGTTGGTCAGGCTGGTCTCGAACTCCTGAACTCAAGTGATCTGCCCACCTTGGCCTCCCAAAGTGTTGGGATTACAAGCGTGAGCCACCGTGCCCGGCCTGTGGGGCTCTATCTTAATTCTGCCTTTAAGGACCTAATAAATCACTTTACCTCTAGTTCCTGAGCTATACAATTAGTGGGCTGTGTTATCCGAGCTCTGTGTCACTTATTTATGGCTGCTAACAAACCACCCCACATCTTAGTGGCTTAAAGCAACACTGGTTTATGATTTCACAATCCTGTGGGTTGACTGGGCTGTTGTTAGCGGGTCTCAACAGGTGGGACAGCCAGGGCTGGGCTCATCTGGGACACCTGGGACTCTCTCACCTGGGTCTTTCATCCTGGGCTTCTTCCTCTCATGGTGGCCACAGGTGTTCCGAGGGGATGAGGTTGGACACTACAAGGCCTGTGAAGGTGTAGGCTCTGAGGCTACATAACTTCACTTCCACTGCATTCTCTTGGTCAAAGCAGCAGACAAGGCTGCTCGGACACAAAGAGTGGAGAGGTGAGCTACACCCTTTGATAGCCATCGGAGTGGCTGTAAACCCTCGCCCTGCCCCATGGGGTTCCTGTGGGTGTTGATGAGGTGCCTTTCATGGAATCTTTTTTTTTTTTTTTTGAGACGGAGTCTCGCTCTGTCGCCCAGGCTGGAGTGCAGCAGCACGATCTCTGCTCACTGCAAGCTCCGCCTCCCAGGTTCTCACCCTTCTCCTGCCTCAGCCTCCCGAGTAGCTGGGACTACAGGCGCTCACCTCCATGCCCGGCTAATGTTTTTTGTATTTTTAGTAGAGACGGGGTTTCACTGTGTTAGCCAGGATGGTCTCGATCTCTTGGCCTTGTGATCCGCCCGCCTCGGCCTCCCAAAGTGCTGGAATTACAGGCGTGAGCCACCGCGCTCGGCCCATGGAATCTTTTTTTTTATCCCAGCTGACTGCCTAATGCTTAAGTGTCCGACCATGACTAGGGGTCCCACACACAGAAAACGTGTTTATCCTGGCAGACGCCTTCGTTGCTCTTGTCCCATCTGTGTCCAGTTCATTCCTACGAAGACAGCCACTCTCTAGGAGAGCCCCGACCAGGAAAGAAGTTAGTTTCAGGTGCATCCGACTGGGGGAGACACAGAGGAGGCCTCTCAACAAAACAGGTGAGTTAACAGAAGCAGAGCATTCCACAGCCCAGAGAAGAGGGAGGCGCGCCTCTCAGGACGGATAGGAAGTGGGGAGCCATCTGGGACATGGGAAGCCCACCGGCGGGCGGGGAGCGAAAGAGTGCGGGTGATCTGCGAGCCTGTGTCTTTTTTTGGGGTCCAGGGCATTACCCAGGTGGGAGTTCCAATTGGTGGGTTCAGAGTAGGCAGGCTCTGGACTCCCTGGTGGGTTCAGAGCAGGCAGGCTCTGGACGCCCTGGAGTCCTGCTGTGCCTGAGAGGAGGCCACTGGGGCGTATCTCCACAGTGCATGTGTTGTGTCTGGTCAGTGGAGCCAGTCAAGTAGGTTGTATCTAGCTGTCCCACGGGGAGGCTGTCACCAGGAGGGGGTTGTATGAGCCAGATATCTGAACTGACCATATTGAGGAAATGGGAGGAGGCAGAGAACTGGAAACTGTAGACGGTGACTAAGCCCTGCTTCTGGTATGGGAAATTGCTTAAAGCTATATTCAAAATGGACGCTGAAGCAACACAAAATTATAGAATTCACTACAAATAGCAAGACAACTCATTTCTTTTTTTGAGACAGGGTCTTGTTCTGTTGCCCAGGCTGGAGTGCAGCGACGTAATCACAGCTCACTGCAGCCTTGACCTCCTGGGCTCAAGCAATCCTCCTACCTCTGCCTCATGAGTAGCTGGGACCACAGGCATGTGCCACCACTCCTGGATAATTTTTATTTTATTTTATTTTTATTTTATTTTTCCTTTTTTTTTTTTATTGATCATTCTTGGGTGTTTCTCGCAGAGGGGGATTTGGCAGGGTCATAGGACAATAGTGGAGGGAAGGTCAGCAGATAAACAAGTGAACAAAGGTCTCTGGTTTTCCTAGGCAGAGGACCCTGCGGCCTTCCGCTGTGTTTGTGTCCCTGGGTACTTGAGATTAGGGAGTGGTGATGACTCTTAACGAGCATGCTGCCTTCAAGCATCTGTTTAACAAAGCACATCTTGCACCGCCCTTAATCCATTTAACCCTGAGTGGACACAGCACATGTTTCAGAGAGCACAGGGTTGGGGGTAAGGTCACAGATCAACAGGATCCCAAGGCAAAAGAATTTTTCTTAGTACAGAACAAAATGAAGTCTCCCATGTCTACTTCTTTCTACACAGACACGGCAACCATCCGATTTCTCAATCTTTTCCCCACCTTTCCCCCCCTTCTATTCCACAAAACCGCCATTGTCATCATGGCCCGTTCTCAATGAGCTGTTGGGTACACCTCCCAGACGGGGTGGTGGCCGGGTAGAGGGGCTCCTCACTTCCCAGTAGGGGCGGCCGGGCAGAGGCGCCGCTCACCTCCCGGACGGGGCGGCTGGCCGGGCAGGGGGCTGACCCCCCCCACCTCCCTCCCGGACGGGGCGGCTGGCCGGGCGGTGGGCTGACCCCCCCCACCTCCCTCCCTGACGGGGCGGCTGGCCGGGCAGAGGGGCTCCTCACTTCCCAGTAGGAGCGGCCGGGCAGAGGCGCCCCTCACCTCCCAGACGGGGCGGCTGGCTGGGCGGGGGGCTGACCCCCCCACCTCCCTCCCGGACGGGGCGGCTGGCCGGGCAGAGGGGCTCCTCACTTCCCAGTAGGAGCGGCCGGGCAGAGGGGCTCCTCACCTCCCAGACGGGGCGGCTGGCTGGGCGGGGGGCTGACCCCCCCACCTCCCTCCCGGACGGGGCGGCTGGCCGGGCAGAGGGGCTCCTCACTTCCCAGTAGGGGCGGCCGGGCAGAGGTGCCCCTCACCTCCTGGACGGGGCGGCTGGCCGGGCGGGGGGCTGGCGCCCCCACCTCCCTCCCGGACGGGGCAGCTGGCTGGGCAGGGGGCTGACCCCCCCACCTCCCTCCCGGACGGGGTGGCTGCGGGGCGGAGACGCTCCTCACTTCCCAGACGGGGTGGCTGCTGGGCGGAGGGGCTCCTCACTTCTCGGACGGGGCGGCTGCCGGGTGGAGGGGCTCCTCACTTCTCAGACGGGGCGGCTGCCGGGTGGAGGGGCTCCTCACTTCTCAGATGGGGCGGCCGGGCAGAGACGCTCCTCACCTCCCAGATGGGGCGGTGGAGCAGAGGCGCTCCCCACATCTCAGACGATGGGTGGCTGGGCAGAGACGCTCCTCACTTCCTAGATGGGATGGCGGCCGGGAAGAGGCGCTCCTCACTTCCTAGATGGGATGGCGGCCGGGCAGAGACGCTCCTCACTTTCCAGACTGGGCAGCCAGGCAGAGGGGCTCCTCACGTCCCAGACGATGGATGGCCAGGCAGAGACGCTCCTCACTTCCCAGACGGGGTGGCGGCCTGGCAGAGGCTGCACTCTCGGCACTTTGGGAGGCCAAGGCAGGCGGCTGGGAGGTGGAGGTTGTAGCGAGCCAAGATCACACCACTGCACTCCAGCCTGGGCACCATTGAGCACTGAGTGAACCAGACTCCGTCTGCAATCCCGGCACCTCGGGAGGCCGAGGCTGGCGGATCCCTCGCGGTTAGGAGCTGGAGACCAGCCCGGCCAACACAGCGAAACCCCGTCTCCACCAAAAAAATACGAAAACCAGTCAGGTGTGGCAGCGCGCGCCTGCAATCGCAGGCACTCAGCAGGCTGAGGCAGGAGAATCAGGCAGGGAGGTTGCAGTGAGCCGAGATGGCAGCAGTACAGTCCAGCCTTGGCTGGGCATCAGAGGGAGACCGTGGAAAGAGAGGGAGAGGGAGACCGTGGGGAGAGGGAGAGGGAGAGGGGGAGGGGGAGGGAAACTTCCTCTTTCTTCCCACTCTATTTCATAAATCCATGTCTACACACATGCAGGATCCCCAGTCAGTGTCATCCGTGGAGTTAGCCCTCCCTGATTTCTTCCTGGATAATTTTTAAAAAGCTTTTTGTAGAGAGAGTCTCTCTGTGTTGCCCAGGCTGGTCTCAAACTCCTGGTCTCAAGCAATCCTCCTGCCTCAGCCTCCCAAAGTATTGGGATTACAGGTGTGAGCCACTGCACCTGGCCAAGACAACTCATTTTTTTCCTGCTCCATGAAGATGCCAGGGTTATAGTAGAGATACCAGGAGAGACACAGTTTCCAACGATTTCATCAAAAGAAACATGAAAAGGGCCTTGGGGACATTTAGTGTTGTTAAGATCCTAGAAGCCACAGGGGTTTAGAATTTCCTTAGGGCTTCTCTCTGCTCTCCAGTCTCTCATTCAATCCCAATCATCATCATCATTAATGATAATCAATATTATCATCATCACTGAGCACCTGAAGAGCTTACCACTCAGAAAAGAGAAAGAGGATTAAGCACTGCACATGTTTTTCCTTAGTAGTGGCATGAACTATCGGGGGCAACAGTCATTCTTTTGGAGACTTATGCCTGTAGTCGAACTGTGCTAATTGTGTATATATTTTAGAGTTCTCACACAGCTACTCTTTTTTTTTCTCTTAAGAAAAAAAAAAAGAAATATCTGAGACTTTATTTTGATCTTTCACATCCATCTGAAGAAGGTTCTTTAAAGATAAGTGGGTTTTGTAATCTGGTGAAGGCCATGAATCTATTCAATTCAGTGAGTTCCTATCAACTGCATCTGAAAAGCACTGGTGAAGACCACAGTACTTAAAACCCATTTTTTTAATTTTAAAAAATTCCATAAGAAACATGTACTTATGGTAAAATGATAAGTTTCAAACATATAAAAACATGAAAAATGGAAATTAAAAATCTCTGCTCTCAACTATTATAGCAGGGCCTCCAGAGGCAGCCACTGATCATAGATTTTGTCCTGAATTTTTCTGGTGCTTGCTGTCCTAAATCGAGGTAACATGCTTGTACCTCTACTTCATGATTTATCAACTTTAAGTGGAACCCTTTTACTTTTCTCTATCAAGAAAGATGTTAGCTCACTTCATACTACTGCTCTGTTGCCTGTTATTTTGCCTAATTCTTCTGGGGACTGTCAGCCAGGGGAATTCCTGTAGATTACCAACCCACTCTTCCTTTCATCTCTTCTGTCTCTCTTTTTGACCTCTTCTCCCCTCCTCAGTTTATAGTTGGTATATTTACAATGCCATGGTTTACCACAACTGCATTCTGTTTATGTAATTATAACTAAGGCAGTCATCTTGTCTTTAGGTTAATTCTAAAAGCTGAAAACCTGTTAACAGTATTTGCAATGATGTCATTATGTAGGTATTGGCCACTGTGGACCCAACTATGATTTGAGCCTTGTAGTAGAGATGTAATCCTTTTTTTAAAAAATTTTTTTGCTTGTTAAAGAGAAATTTTTCAAGCATGACAGCCTAATGCATTTTCCCTTAAATTCTCCCGGTTTCCTTCACTTCTATGAGATCATATTCAATGGCCACTCTTTGATTTACGTAATATATAATATATTTTATTTCATTTAATTTTGCTTGCTTAGTTCTTTCATATGGAGGATGTAGGTGATAAATCCTTTGGTACTCGTTTGCTTGGAAATGTCTCTATTTTACTCTAATATTTGCCAGGGCATAAAATTTTAGGTAGAAAATGACTTTTCATTGGACGATTAAATACATCACGTGATTGTCTTCCAGAGCCCAGTGCTGCTTTAAAAAAGCCGGATTTTTGTTCCAGTTTGATAATCTGATTTTTTTTTTTTCTGGAAGCTTTTAAGATTTTCTTTTTATCCTTGGAGTCAGGAAATGTTAACAGGATGTATCTAGATGAGGGTATTTTTTTTGTTTGTTTAAATCTTGTTTGGAACTTGATGAACCCTTTCAATCTGAAAACTCTTATCTTTCTTCACATGAAAGTTCAGTGGCAACTTCTTTTATTTATTTATTTATTTATTTTTTTGAGACACAGTTTCGCTCTTGTTTCCAGGCTGGAGTACAATGGCACGATCTCAGCTCACCGCAACCTCTGCCTCCCGGGTTGAAGCGATTCTCCTGCCTCAGCCTCCGGAGTTGCTGGGATTACAGGCATGTGCCACCACTCCCGGCTAATTTTGTATTTTTAGTAGAGATGGTGTTTCTCCACATTGGTTAGGCTGGTCTCAAACTCCCAACCTCAGGTGATCTGCCCGCCTTGGCCTCCCAAAGTGCTGGGATTACAGGCATGAGCCACCGCGCCCGGCTGCAACTTCTTTTATTATTATTTTGATTATTTCTTCTCTTCAGGTATAATTGTAAACTTTTACTAGAATTACTATTAGATAGATGTAAAACTTTCTGAATATATTTTCCATGACCCTAATTTTCTGCCATATGTTTTCTTTATTTTTCTTAGAGACTGGGGTCTTGCTATGTTGCCCAGGCTGTACTCGAACTCCTGGACTCAAGCAATTTTCTCACCTCAGCTTCTGGAGTGGCTGGGACAATAGCTACATACCACCATGCTTGACATATTTTTTCTCTCTTTCTCCCTTCCCCTCTCCCTTCCCTCTTTCTTTCTCTTTTCCATCCCCTCCCCTCCCTTCCCCTCCCCTTTCCTTCTCTATATTTGGGAGACTTTAACTCTGGCTTTAAAATGAACAACTGGGTCTTCAGTCTTTTCCATTATTCCCTTTTTAAAAAATTACTTTCGTGGTCCTATTTTCAAATTGCTATGCTCTCTTTTCTTTTTTCTGATTGATCATTTTCCACACACCTAGTAGCTTACATGAGTTTGCCTTTTGGATGTGGAGGTCTGAGTTTTCCTGAAATTGGAGGCTTGTGCTTTTGTGTGAGCGGATGGGGCATGTGGAAGGCCAGCCTTCTGGTATATTGACAAGCCAGGCAGGTGGCCAGGAGCCCCGCTTGCCAGCAGCAAGCCTCACTCCACTGTGGAGATCTTCAGTGTTGCCAGCTGCCGTCTGCTTGTCACAAATGCCTTCTCTGCATTCCGATGATTTGCTCCAGAGCAGTCCTGAGTACCTGGCAGAGCAAATCTCCACCCTACACTTCACTCTGCTGTCTGGCACTGCCTTTTTCTCTTCTCCTTTAACCTGGGTCTCACCATTTTTGGGGAGTCCTCAGAGTTTCACGTCTGCTGTTGCTGCTGCCTCTCCTCATGGCTGGGAAAAGGGATAAGTTCACAGGCATCCTTGGTCCTCCATCAGGAGCCAGAAGCCTGGAAAGTTTTTATCTTGTGTTGTTCAAAATTCTGCTATAAAATCCCCCCTCATGAAACACTTTCCCACAAAGAGCCTATCAAGTTTATCTGTGTGCTGTATCTCTAGGTAGCGAATACGCCTTGGCGTCTAGATGCCCAATTAGCGGGAAGAAGATGCAACTCCTGCACATTCTTTGGTTAATTAGATCTGCTATGAAATCATTCATTTGATGACCATCCTAATGAATCTAATAAAAGCCTCTTCTGAAGCCGTCTATTCTTTGTACCTTAAGTACTGTACCTTGCTCAGCTACGCTGGCACCAGAGCTAACAGACTCATTATCTTCCAAAGTCTGATGTCTGTTTTCAGGCTCCGCTGGTTTCATTAGATACAAAATAAAATCACTACCTATTAAAATTGCATTAAAGCACTAACTTAAACTGACAAAAGCTTAGAAACATTGAGCCTGAGCTGTTGTTTGGCCTTCTGGATGTGGGAAATTCCTGCCTTTTGCAGACTGAGTGGATCAGGCCAGCCCAGACTTTATGGCCTAAATTTTCTGTGTCCCTCGGCTTAAATGGGAGCTAGCAGTGCCAGCTGCCAAAGAAATGACTTGGGTTCTCATCAAGCAGTGATTCAACTATGTTTTAATGGTTCAGTGATTATTCTCTGATTTTCAGAATCAAATGAGGTGAATGAAAAGGTGGGAAGACAGACAGTTTTTACATGGCCACTGTAGCTTCTTCAGAAAAGATCACAAAAGGAGAAATTGATGGTTTGGGGCTACCGATAAACAGGCTGGTAGAGTGGTTATACTTCTAGCATCACATGGAATCAATGTTACTTTCTGCACAGATTTAAAAAACAAAAAACTTGTGTGGTGGTTCACACCTGTAGTCCCAGCACTTTGGGAGATTGAGGCAGGAGGATCGCTTGAGGCCAGGAGTTCAAGACCAGTGTGGGCAACAGAGTGAGACCTCATTTCTACAAAAAATTTAAAAAATTACTCAGGTTTGGTGGTGCACACCTGTGGTCCCAGCTATTCAGGAGGCTAAGGTGGGAGGATCGCTTGAGCCCAGGAGTTTGAGGCTACAGTGAAGCATGATTGCACCACCACACCCCAGCCTGGGTGACAGAGTGAGACCCTACCCCCACCAAAAATAATAAAAAACAAAAAACAAACAAATGAACAGAACAATTTTGGTTCTTGTAAAAAAAAATAGGAAGAGAAGGTTAAGTGTCCATAGTTTTCCAAAACGAGTATGTAACCCCACTGTATGCAGGGGCATGAGGCACAGTGGGTGTCTAGGGCATGCTTTGGAAGTATGCAGCTGGCAGCTGCAGAGGGAGAAAGGCATTGGCTAAGAAGAGAACTGTGTTCCTGGCCCAGATCTTATGACCTTCAGCTAGTCATTCTATGGACTTTAGGTTCCTTATCTGTAAAATGGGCCTGTTGCACTATATGATTACTCTTATCAGCCAACTCAGAGGAGTGTGTGTGTGTGTGTGTGTGTGTGCATGCATGGTCATGCCTGTGTGAGTGTGTGTATGTTTGTGGTTTTTAAAAGCTTACCTCCAAACAAAATTGCCCCTTCTCAAACTGGGTGCCACTGTTCTAAGCCATTCTTCCTGATGCAAGCTAGTAAATGTTCCCTTCAGATCTCACATTAGGAATTTTGTTTTGATTACCTTAAAGACTCTTTGTAGCTCTGGCAGCCTCTCAATCTGTGCTTAGGAGGATGAAATGGTCTGTGCTCACAGGCTTTGGAAGATAGAAAACTGCCTCTCTTCCTCCCTTCTCCCCACGCTTCCTCATCCCCTAATCTCCACTGGAATCTATCAGCTGAATTCTGAGTTTGTGTCCCCAAGGCAGGAATCTGGGAGGTGACAGGACACTGTCCCTCACAGCAGCTTTCTGTGAGCCATAGCATTCTAGAGAAGTCATGCAGTTGAAGAATATAATTCAAAAATAGATAAACTGATAGCAAAGCCACTGGTTATTGACCACTCGTTGTGTGTCAGGCACTGTGCTAATTCCTTACATATACATTTCTTAAACCCTTATGATAACCTAGTAAACATAATGATCCCATATTATAGATGAGAACACAGACTCCGACAGGCTAAGTAATTTTCCCAAGGCCTCAGAACTCCTAAGTGGCTGAGCCAGGATTGAAGGCAGAGCTCCTTGCCATCTGGCCAAAGAGGCATTGTGGAGCAGACTGTTTTTCAAAATATAGGTTATAATCCATTAATACTCCATGAAAATAATTCTGGGCTTAAGAATAGCATTAAAAATAGAGTAGAATGGAAAATATCAGAGTGCATCTTACGTAATATGTAAATATTATTTTGTGAAATTTTGTGTGTGTATGTACAGTGTTGTGACATAAAATCAACTTCTTACTGTGGGTGGTCATTAACATTTTCTTTTATAATAGAGTTTGCGAAACTCCAGTCAGGAGAAGTTAATTAATGAGATGGAATGAAAAGGGCAAGGTGTGGGGTGTTTGGGTATTTCCCCTGCAGAAATTGACCTTTTTTTTTTTTTTTTTTTTTTAGTTTTGTAGTTTTGTCATTTCAAATACCCTCTTTACATCTTTCAGTCTCTTTTCCTTATGGTTCCTTCTTGTTCTGAAATTCTATGACCCTTTGAGAAGCACAGGCAATTAATTTGTGTTTTGGCAGGGTAGAGAATGACAGAGTCACTGGGCACTGGGAAGCTTTACAGGGTACTTTTCCCTGAGCGGAGAGGAGGAGGCTGGTTTCTCTGGGCAGAGGGAGATAATACTCTATGTTTTGCTCCTTTTAGTCAACACTGTAATAGCAAAATTTATTCATGTATTTGTTTATACTCTAGTTCAGGGGTTCCCAGCCTCTGGGCTGCAAACTGGTACTGGTCTGAGGCCTGTTAGGAACTGGGCTGGACAGCAGGAGGTGAGCAGTGGGCGAGCAAGCAGCACTGCCTGAGCTCTGCCTCCTGTCAGGTCAGCGGCAGCATTAGATTCTCATAGGAGCGCCAACCCTATTGTGAGCTGTGCATTCGAGGGATCTGAGATGGGACAGTTTCATCTTGAAACCAACCTTGTCCTCATCTGTGGAAAAATTGTCTTCCATGAAACCAGTCCCTGGTGCCAAAAAGGTTGGAGATTGCTGCTCTAGTTCATTCTTTTCCATTTTATATTCCATCATTTGACTATATAATTATAAATCATTTGTATTTGTTTTTGCTCTTTGGGTTTTATAAACAGTGTAGTTTTGAAGGTTCTGGCCTAAGCATTCTGGTGTGCATGTCCACAGATTCTCTAATGAATATGCCCAGTAAATAAGGAATAGTGAATGACCCAGAATTGCTGGGTTTTAGGGTATCAAAATGCTCACGTTTGCTAGGAAATGCCAAAACCATTTTTTCCAAAGTAGCAACAATTTATGATTTTCACCAGCAGTGTATAAGAATTCTTATTCTCACTAACAGTTGGCACTGCCAGATTTTTTACATTTTTGGCGGTGGTGTGTAGTAGCTCTTTGTGGTTTTTGTTTTTATTTTTACTTTTTGGGGGATGAAGTTTCGCTCTTATTGCTCAGGCTGGAGTACAATGGTGTGATCTCGGCTCACTGCAAGCTCTGCCTCCTGGGTTCAAGCAATTCTCCTGCCTCAGCCTCCTGAGTAGCTGGGATTATAGGTATCTGCCACCACACCCAGCTAATTTTTGTAGTTTTAGTAGAGATGGGGTTTCACCATGTTGGCCAGGCTGGTCTCAACTCCTGAACTCAGGTGATCCACTCACCTTGGCCTCCCAAAGTGCTGGGATTACAGACGTGAGCCACTGCATCTGGTCCTCTTTTTTGTTGTTTTTAATTGTACCTCCCTGATTACTAATATGATGGAGAAACTTCATGTCTATTGGCAATTTCATCTTCTTCCTTTGTGAAGAGCTTATTCAAACCTTTTACATATTTTCCTATTAGGTTACCTGCCTTTTTCTTATTGATCTATGGAATTCTTTGTGTAATGTGGATAGAAGTCCATTGTTACTTACATGTATTGCAGCATCTTCTCTCATTTCATGGTTTATCTTTCCACTAGTTTTTTTTTTTTTTTAGAGATGGAGTCTCACTATATTGGCCAGGCTGGTCTTGAACTCTGTCCTACTTAGGCTGTCTCTGTCCTACCCTTTGGCAGTGCCCACTTTGCCACAACTTAGGGTCCACATATATGATGGCAGCAGCAGCCCATTTGGAGCAGTTGCTGCAAAGATGCTGGCTGCAGCAGTGGAGGCACAGCCAGGGCTGCACGCTTAGCAGAGCCAACGGGAGCCCTGCCCCCTTTCAAGTTGGTGGGGCAGGAGCTCTGCATTCCTGGGTGCAACTGTAGCCACCCAGCTGTGGCTGCAGACTCAGGCATCCCTGTGCTCTCAGGGGCCTGGGAAGACCCCTGGTGCTTCTGCAGGCTTGGAAGTACCTGTTCCCACTGCCTGGCCTCTCCCCGCTCCTGGCACCTGCTCCAGTTTCGGAGCAAAGTTGTGGCCAAGCCTGGGTGCGGTCATGACCTGGCTGGGTGTTCAGGTGCTTGGGGTGGCACTGACATGCCAGCCTCCTGCTACCTCGGCCCCTTCTGGACTTTGGGTGTTGACGATCATGGAAGGGAGGCTGAAGTGGGGCTAAGGGCAGCCTGGCATGAGCCTGCAGGTGCCCCTCAGCATGAACGGCCTGGGTGCTCTGAATGGTGGCCAGAAGCAGAAAGGCTCCTGGGTGGAAAGGGGCAGGTCCCCAGTGAAACCCCACCTTCAAGCCAGGGATGACCTGAAGTCTGGGGGCCAGGCTGCCAGTTCCGTGGACTGGAATGAGAACTTAACGGTGTTTTTTCTGGGCCTGCCCATGGCCACCCATGGACCAATCAGCACATACTTCCTCACCTCTGAAGCCTGTAACAACCCTGGACTCAGCCAGGCTACAGCAGATAACAGGACAACCTGCCTGTAGAGAAGAGCTACCCACTGTGGGTCTCCTTTCCACTGAGGGCTGCACAGACAACAGGATTACCTGTCTGTGCATAGGAGCTACCTATTCTGGGTCTCCCCTCTTCTGAGGGCTGCAGAGCTATTGGGATGTCCTGCCTGCAGATAGGAGCTACCCACTTTGATTCTCTTGAGAGCTGTACTGTTGCTCAATAAAGCACCTCTTCGCCTTGCTCACCCTCCAGTTTTCTGTGTATCTCATTCTTCATGGACAAGGGACAAGAGCTTGGGACCCACCAAATGGCGGGCCTGAAAGAGCTATAACACAAACAGGGATGAAACACACCCCCCTACTTGCCATATTGCGGGCAACGAGAAAAAGAGAAAATAGGAGAGAAGTGCTGCAGCCCTTTGGGGAACCCAGACCTAGGAGCTCCCCAAGCTAGGGGTGTGACACCCTCTTTGGGGCTCTGTGGTTCCTGGTGTCTCCAAGCTTCTGGGCACCACCACGTTACCCGGTGCCCACAGTGGAAGCTGCTTGCAGTATACCTGGTCCAGCTGTAGCCCTGCAGGGAGCCGGTACCCATGCCAGTTCCTGGAGCTGCCCACCCCACCACAGCTGGCATGCTAGGCTGTGTGCAGTAGCCAGACTGCATACTTGCTCACTCACACACCCATTGCTGCTCTGTGCCTGGCTTGCCCTTGACAGGTGTGGGCTCTGGGCTGGTAGTGCAAGCTGAGCACAGCCCACCAGGCCAAGTGGGTAGAATGAGCCCAGTAGGCCCAAGGAAAACTCAGATAAAGGCGCCACTGGCCACAGAGGTTTCCTGCTGGCAAAGTGACACCCCAAGGATCCTGAGACATATACATGAGACTGTGATAGAGCTGCCTGGTCTATTCTAGTCCATGGTCAATTTTTTTGTTTCTGCACTAATGTCATATTTTCTTAATTATGAGAGCTTTATACCAAGTCTTGATATCTAAAAATTAAGTTCTCCTACTTTTTTTCTTTTGAGGTTCTCTTGGCTTTTCTTGGCCCTTCATGTTATATATCCGTTAACTTTCATAGTCAATGGTATGTTGATCTAAATAGGCAAGTTTTTCATTAGTGGAAGCAGAACATTCGTAGTAAAAAACTTTTAAAGATTTTGATTGTCATAACAAATGGCCCTCTGGCATAGGTGATACCAATGTGTACTCCATAAGGAGATTGTAATAATATTTGAAATGGAAAATGACTATATCAGACTATATGTGTGTTTTGTGATTTAATTTGGGGAAAAATATCTATTTCATGCCTCTAGTATTTCTCAAAAAACATGTTGAATATGAGTCTTATTAGGTTTTGCTTGTTTGGTGAGTAAAAATGCCAAGCCTCATGAGAAGCAGAATGTATTTTCTCTTTTATTGTAACTGCATGTACAATACCTGCTATGGACTGAATCGTGTCCCCTCCAAATTCATATGTTGAAGTGCTAACCTCCAATGTGGTAGTATTTGGAGATAGGGCCTCTGGGAGGTAATTAGGGTTAGCTAAGATCATGAGGGTGGGCCCCCATGATGGAATTAATGGCTTTATAAGGAGGGAGGGAGAAAGAGATAGATCGATCGATCGACTGATAGAGACCGATCGATTGATCAACCAAGAGAGATCTCTTTACCACCTGAGGACAGAGAAGGTGGCTGCCTACAAGCTGCAAAAAGGGCTCTTACCAGGAACTGAATCAGTGAGCAGCTTGATCTTGGACTTCACAGCCTTCAGAACTGTGAGAAATAAGTGCCTGTTGTTGAAGCCACCTAGCTCATGGTATTTTGTTAGAGCAGCTCAAGCAGACTAATAATATAGTACCCATGTGACTCTGAATTTAGAAAATAATTGATTATAAGTTATTCTGAAAAGAAGGTCTATATACACTTAAAAGCAAAGCAAAGTAAGAGTTTTTAAAAGTCTTAAAAGCAAACTGTATGCATATGTAGTTTACATAAGCATTTCAAAAGAATTCTCAGTTTTGGGTGCATAGGGATTGCTATCATATTTTGCAATGCTCATGAGCCAGGAATGGAAATATTTAACATTAAGTTAATAAGAAAATAACATGAAAAAGTTGTTTAGTGAGCTGGAGTCAGAGCTCCAGGTTGAGTGAAACTGCTTTAGGTTTCATAGCTGTAAACACAGACCTTCAGGTACAGAGAAGCTAGTGACTGCAGGATTAATATTAGACATACAACCCTAAACCAAAACCCAAACTTAAAAGCCAACTAGTAGCTCCAATAAACAGTGTGGTTCATGACCTAGTGTAAACCAAAAGGATGATTTGGCATGCAAGATGGGAAGTGTAATAAACAAACAAAAAATCCACTTCAGCCTCCGTAAATGACCAAACTGACCGCAATGAAATCACATACAAATCAGGTGCTGTCTACTTGAATTGTGTAATTGGAACACAGCACATGGGAGAAAGAAATCATAGGGTAGAATTTGTGTTGTGCTAGGGGGACACTGAACTGAACCAGTAGAGGTTAATGGAGCAATTAAATTGAGAAAAGGTACAAAATCAATTTTACAGCCAGGATGTTTGTACATTCCTTCATTCATTCCCTCAACAAATATTTGTTCAGAGCACTCCATATGCAAAGCACTCATGCTAAGTCCTGAAGTGGTTTTAAAGATGTACATGACGGTACTAGAAAATGTTCACATTGATTTGTTATGCAGCAGTACGTCTACCTTTGAATCACAATAGCTCCCATAATGCACTACCCTTGTCTTTGAGAAACTTTAAATATCTGGGGCCGAGTTTCTTAAAGACTAGGAACCCTACTACTTACTCATGAGGTAATTTTTAGGAGAATGAGAAATGATTTTCAATTTTAGTTTGGGGCATTCTGTCTTTAATGCTTTCTAAAACTAATCTCCCCCTCCTTTAAAAAAATAAGGAATATGTCTAAGCCTTTTATAGGCCATAATCAAACTATTATGTTACAACTTTTTTGTTTTATTTTTTGGTTACTTTTCATTTCTAGAACATGATAATGGTTTCAACTCACTGTGGTGGTATATAATTTTTATTTAAAATAAACATAAATTAGGTCTTGAACAGTGAGTCAGATGAAAGAAAATATTAAACAATAGGACAAGTGGAATCTGCTTATGGTGAAAGAGAATAAAAGTAGTAGAGCGATGAATGAGGTTTAGGAACCCATACAAAAGGAAATAAGACAAGCACATGCATCTCTATAATATCAGCTAACTCAGCGGTTCAGACATGAGCTCCGGAAGGAGTTCTGGGCATTAGCTTTTGCTTTTTCCTGTAGTAATTCTGTAAGTCTCCCTGGATGAGGCTTTCTTTGGATAGAGATTGGCATGGGACCAGTGGACTTTCCAAATCGGGGAAAAGACCATGAAAGGCTGAGTCAAGGTGTGTGCTGCTGCCACGGACGGTGATTCCTCAACTTAAGTGTGCACCAGAATCAGCTGGAGGGTGTTTCCAACAGGCTGTCAGTACCCAACCTTGGACATAGTGATTTATGGGAGGACAGGGAGTGTTTAAATTTCACTTTAAGAAGGTCTTTGGACCACTTGAAAGAGACTGTGACTCTGGAGAATAAACA